>NC_000020.11:42375325-42678355 GCF_000001405.40 Homo sapiens | reverse complement strand
GCACTCCAGCCTGAATGACAGAGCAAGACTCCATCTCAAAAATATAAAATAAAAATAATAAAATAAAACAAAAAGGGGTTTCTGACTATTTTTTTTGTGGCTACATCAAGAATTCTGTCCCTTGTCGTCATGTGCTTGTAGTCTGCTCTGTAAATCATTTGAATCTGACAGTCCTTTTTGATTGCTTGTCTTACAGAGCCTCCCACGCCCATTGCTCCCCCAGAGCTGCTGGCTGTGGGGGCCACATACCTGTGGATCAAGCCAAATGCCAACTCCATCATCGGGGATGGCCCCATCATCCTGAAGGAAGTGGAATATCGCACCACCACAGGCACGTGGGCAGAGACCCACATAGTCGACTCTCCCAACTATAAGCTGTGGCATCTGGACCCCGATGTTGAGTATGAGATCCGAGTGCTCCTCACACGACCAGGTGAGGGGGGTACGGGACCGCCAGGGCCTCCCCTCACCACCAGGACCAAGTGTGCAGGTAAGATTTTTTTTTTTCCCAGGCTCCATTATGAGAGGCTGTGCTATTGCCAAGACTGGCTTTCCTCTTGCCTTCCTGTGACAGATAATTCCGAATTTTCTTTGAATGTGAATGTGCTTCCTATTGTGGATAAACAGGATCAAGGCCTTGGGGTTTTTTTTGTTTGTTTGTTTTTTAGAGGACCTTCTTGCTGTGGTTGCATTTCTAGGGGCTTTCTAGCTCTGACTGTGATTCTAAGAACTTCCTGACTTTAGCTGGGTCACGGGAGGTTCCTGGATCTAATAGTGTTTCTGATGAGACACACTGGCTCTGTGTCTTCCAGAACTCCTGGTGCCATTTGTATGTCTGAGGCTTTCTAATGCTAATAATTTCTCCGAGGGCTCTTGGTTTTGTCTCTGGGGGCCCTGGCCGTGTTTCTCTGAGGGTTCCTGGCTCTGTTTCTCTGAGGGCTCCTGGCTCTGGTTGTGTCTCTGAGGGCTCCTGGCTCTCACTGTGCCCCGTGAACGCTTCATTTAGACTATGTCCTTGGGGGCTTCTGGTTTTGGTTGTATCTTTAATGAGTTTCTAATTCTAACATTGTTCCTGAGGCTCCCTGAGCTGGGCCTGTGACCCTTGGTTTTGAAAATTTTCTTGATGGCTCCTGGTTCTAGAATTGTCTCCGAGGGGCTTCTGTTGCCAACCATGTCTTAAATGCCTCCTGGCTCTGACAGTATCTCTGAATTGTTTCTGGAACTACCTTAGTCCCTAAGAGCTTCCTGCCTCTGTATCCCCTGGAGGCTCCTATCCCTACCTAAGAGTCTGGGTTGGGACTATTCCTCTGAAGGTCCTCTGGATTCCACTCTATCTCTATGGGTTACTGACTACACCTGTCTCTCTGATATTCCTGGATGCCATGTAAGAGTTTGCTGGCTGAGATTGTGTCTAAGAGGGGAGAGATTCTCTGGATCCAACTGTGTCCCAGGCCTCCTGGCTTCTACTGCATTTCTAATCAGGGGCTATTGGCTAACAACATGTGTCTCACTGTACCTCTGAGATGATCTGGCTCTGGATGCAACTCAAGAAATTAAACTAACTTGCTCTTTATTTGTTGCAAATTACCTTATTTATGTTATATCTTTTTTTCACACCAAGTAAACTTTTGCTGTAAGTACTTACATTTTATATATGCACAAAGGAATAGAGACTCAATACTTTTAAACTTTTTGTCCAAAGTCATAGAATGGCCAGTGGTACGGTCAGGAATTACACTTAGATTTTCTGACTCTCAGCTTTTGACTTTTGGCCACATCATGATGAATAAAAGAGAGAGAGAGAGAGAGAGAGAGAGCATTGTATATACAGCTGGGGATGTTCTAGTGGAGGCGGGTGTGGCTCAGGGGAGCAGGCAGCATGGGTTTCAGAAAACAAAGAGGAGTCACTGAGGGCATCTGGGTGGAGGGGAAGGACCCATCAGTACAGGAACCATGGAACAAACAGCAAGGGAAAGTGCATACAGCTCTGCCATGACTTGACATATAGGTGCCTAAAAATCACCACACTATGTCAAGTTACGAAATGAAAACCACAGGGATTATGGAAAAAATGGGGCTAGGGGCCATATTCATACTTCCTTAGTGACACATCAAAAAAGAGGGGAATCTAGTAAAACTGGTGGCACAATTTTATGCACGTGAAATGGCTAAGAAATGCATCCATCCAGGTGGAATATTCCTAACCTGAACCTCGGAAATCCAAAATGCTCCAGAATCTGAAACTTACTGAGTGCCAACACGATACCACCAATGAAGATGACATTGTTAACACTGCAGAAAAAGTGCCTGTAGATGACATGGCAAGCATTGGTGATGAGCTTATGGAAGGACTGGAGCAGTATGCATTCATAGCAGAACAGGAAACCAGGTCAATTTATAAAATCAGAGACGTCTAAGACAAAAATCATTGTTAATGAGGCAGATGACTCTGGAGGAAACATTTTTAAAAGCCATCCAGCAGAATGCCTCTTTATCCCTAGAGGATCCACTTCCTGGTTCCTCAACTGCTTCTGATGTTTGTTCTCACCTAAGAAAATAAAATGTGGTGTATAGGAACCCTTCATCAAAGCACAACATCACAGGGAGAGGACTGAAAGCCAGGATGTTTGTTGCTGACATTCACCAGCTGATCCAGGTATCTGCTGAGTCTACTGTGCTGCTCAGTTAACCTGAACACATTAATATTTCACAGTATTAATGACATATCATTTATTCTTTTTTACTGTTAAGCACTTATGTGTGAATAAGCTTAAGAAGATGATTGCTTATCGATAGCATATACATTTGGAGTCAGGAATTATGGTGATGACAGACAAGCACAGAGTTGTCCACGTAAGTGGCTAAGATAATTACACCTCTGCTTTCTGATGGTTCGACATACAAAAACTTGGTTCATGCACAACATTATTTAAAATATTATGTAAGATTGCCTACGATATATATAAAACATAAATGAATTTTGTGTTTGGACTTGGGTCCCATCCCCAAGATATCGTATTAGGTATAGGCAAATATTCTGAAATTCAAGAAAATCTGAAATCTGAAACGCTTCTGGTCCCAAGCATTTTGGATAAGGGATGCTCAACACAGATGGTATGTTACCTTGAAAAAGACCTGAAGTTTGCTGTGGAAGTGGGCATCAGGGAAGTTGCAGCCTGTGAGTGACTTGCAGCCTGTGAGTGACTGTGAAGTGGTGGAAGGAAAGCTGTCTGAAATTGGGGAAAAAGGTGTGGCTCAGAACACAGGCAGTGAGCTGACGGGCCAGGTAGGGGTTGGAACTGTGTGTGTTGCATGTATTCGTAGGTGGCTCAGTTCTGCTGGGTGCAGGTTTCTCCTTCACTAATGTTTCTCACATACAAAATCACACATAAGCAAATGCAGAATTCGTGTTGTGCTCAAATTGCCCTTTCATATATTAATTGGGTTGGAACAAATTTGCGTTTTCAAAGCAAGAGTTGTAGTGGAATTAGCTGTAACCATTCTTAAGTATCTCAGTGGTGTATCGTGGTAGTATGTAACCCAGGTATTTTTGTTGCTTGGAAATATTCCTTGTAAGGTTATTGAACCACTATGCTGAACAGAGATGCCATTTTCTTGATTATTTTCAAAACAGGCCTTTGGTAAAATTCCTCATTGAAACCTGATTATGAAACTTACTACTTTAAAAGGACATAATGATATGTTACTAAACTGGGTAATACCTTATCTCAGCTTTGCAATGCAATATTCATCCATAAAAATAATTGATTTGATCCTGCTGATGAGACTTCTCTCTTTCCACAGGGTAAATGTAAGAGTTTCCAGGGTTTTTGATCTTTATAAATGATATTCAAAGTACTTTAGCAGCCCCCGTGGACTTATTTGCTGATGATCATATAATACATTTTGAAATTCAATCGCAAGATGATCATCTCAATAAAGATTTACAGTCTATTGCAAACTGTTGCCATGACTGTGTAATGGATTTTACATGTTGAAAACACAATAATCTGGCTATCAATATAAAAATTATGAGTTGGAATGCAATTGTGGTATTTTATTTTTAAAAAACGTTGGTGTTTAAGTTACAGCTAAAATCTTGAATAATTCACATTTTACAAAATGTGTCATCAAGAAGATAATCTTCCTTCCTGCATCGCCACTGATGGTGGAATGTTTTTTGCCTCGTAATTAATTTTTAAGAGAATTCCAGGGCTGGTATCTATTTGTAGGTGGTGTTTATTGGTGTTGGTAGTCTGAGATTTTCCTCCTTTTCCTATTCTATTATTAATCACGCTGGAAATGTACTCATTATTTTACAAAACAGAAAGTGAGAGAGTATGTAGAGTGGAAGGTATAATTTCTGCCCAGAGGAATTTACAGGCTGGGTTAGGATTCCAACAAAACAGCAAAAAAAGGTAAAACATAAAGGCAAGCATTGAAATAGCATGCTTCATGGAGGAAAAACAGCGTCAGCATGGAAAGAGAAATGGTCTTAGAATCATCTTGGGCGGTGGTTCTCAAAGTGTGGTCCCTCGACCAGCAGCATCAGTATTGCTATAGACTGAATACTTGTGTTCCTTTAAAATTCATATGTTGAAATTCTAACCCTCGAAATGATGATATTAGGAGGTGGGGCATTTGGGTACTAATTATGTCATCAGGGCAGAATACTGATGAATGAGATCAATGCCCTTACAAAAGAGGCCCCAAAATGCTCCTTCATGTCTTCTGCCATGTGAGGACCCAGGAAATGGGCCCTCACTAGACACTTAATCTGCTGGCACCTTGATATTGGACTTTCCAGCCCTCAGAACTATAAAAAGTAAATTTCTGTTGTTTATAAGTTACCCAGTCTATGGTATTCTGTTACTGCAACCTAGATGGATTAAGACAAATATTCCCCTGGGAACTTGTTAGAAATGCACATTCTCAGACCTGTCCCCCGACGTAATAAATCAGAAATTCTGGGGTTGAGCCTAGAAATTTGCTGTAAGGATTCCACTGAGTGATGTCATTTCATACCCAAGTTTTACACTAACTTATGTATAGTGACAAGCCAACATGGCTCTTTGGAAGGATGTTCATTCCATAGCTTGGTCTTTGCAGCAGCTCTGAGATGTAGATGGGAGGAAAACTGAGACTCAGAATAGTTGGATGAAGGTCACCAATCGGTTAAATGCTAGGTCTCTTGGCCAGAGAAACTCTTCACCACAGGACTTGATGGAGTCTTCAGCCCTGGGGACCTCCTCTGCCCACAAGTGTCCTCTTGAGAGTGGCATTGGGTAGTAAGGAGGTTGGTGACTATGGAGATCAGCTGAGAATGAATAACTACTACACAAAAGTTTCACTCCTTTCTATCAAACATTTACTTAGTCTTTTCTTTGTGCCAAATTCTGTGCTAGGCACTGGTGGCAGAGGTTGGCTTAGTAAGGACATGCTAGTAGCAGGCAGAGACTTGGCAGCAGTAGGCTACAAGCTTGGGCGTAGCACAAGAAGATGCTAGAGAGGCAATTCAGCTAAGGCAGGTGGGGATGCATTCTGGCTCTGCCAGTTTTGAGAGGTCACTGATTAAGAAAATTCTGGGGTACTAAGGGAAGGCTATCCTTCCCTTAACCCAAAGGATACCTCCTCCTTAACCCTTAAGGGGGAGATTGTCAAGTGTTTGCCTGTAGCGCAGCATCCCAGCCCAGTAGGCTGGAGTTCAGAGCAAGACTCCCAGCCAGTTAAACCAGAAACTGTACAGATGATCAGATAGGAATCGAGGGATGTGGGGTTGGGAGTAGGGAGTCAAAGGTGATACTCCCATGCTTCAGTTTAGATGGCTGAGAGATGAGTGGTTGTATTAGTCAGGGTTCTTTATAGGGACAGAACTAATAGGACAGATGTATCTATAAAGGAAAGTTTATTAAGGAGTATTGACTCACACGATCACAAGGTGAGGTCTAGGCTGTCTACAAACTGTGGAGAAAGGAAGCCAGTCCGAGTCCCAAAGCTGAAGAACTTGGAGTCTGATGTACAAGGACAGGAAGCATCCAATATGGGAGAAAGATGTAGGCCAGTAGACTAAGCCAGTCTAGTCTTTACATGTTCTGCCTGCTTTTATTCTGGCCATGCTGGCAGCTGATTAGATTGTGTTCACCCAGATTGAGGGTGGGTCTGCCTTTCCCAGTCCACTGACTCAAATGTTAATCTTCTTTGGCAACACCCTCACAGACATACCCAGGAACAATGCTTTGCATCCTTCAATCCAATCAAGTTGACACTCATTATTAACCATCACAGTGGTGAAACAATTTTCTGAGCCGAAAAACACAAAAGGAAATGAGCTCAGGTCTGAATATGTTGTGTTGGAGGTGAAGATGTATAGCAGGTGATGGGAATATATAAATCTGGAGCTCAGGAGAGATCAGCAGATAACTGCCTCTTCCATGCGGACTACCTGATTTCACTTGGACTTTAGGATCAAAGGGACTTCTTAGTACTGATGAAAGCAATTTAAGTCTGTGTCTTCATGCTGTTCTGTTGAGATAATCCATTTCTTATATTTTTATTTATCATTTTGTTTCTTTTCCTTAGTTTAATCATTCACCATCTTTCATGAGATATAGGTATGAGAGCAAATGCGATCATGTATATCAAACTCAAAATGTTCTTTAGCTGCCTATAGTGAACCAAAGTGTTATTGGTTGCTGCTATTGTTATGGATGCTATGATTATGAATAATTATATCAAAACAGGAAGTCTTCCTTGTCCACTTCTCAGAACTAATTGGCATCTTGAAGGTGGACCCATATTCTTTTGTTGTTCATCATCTCCTGGAAAATCCCATTTCAGAGTTCATGCTGTGGTCTGGGATCTCAGAGACTCTCTTGTCTAGAGCATTGTGTGGTTTCCTCCAGCACATCCCCAACAGCAGACTTTCTGTGATAGGAGTTGGGTCTTAGAATTGCTGTGTGTTGCCCACCCAGCCTCACCTTGAATGCTGCCTCTGATGGGAAGTTTACACTCTTCCATGGCAGACCATTTCACTGCTGGAGATCTCGGGTGGTGACTATTATCCTCTATCCAGTGTTAGCTTGGTTATCGTACAGCTCTGGATGGATTATACACAGAGTGTCCATTAGGTTTAAAAGAGTGGGGGCAGTAGGCAGGCTGCTAGCATTAACTATTGGGAGTCCACAGTGAGAACCAAGGGCAGTGGATGCCGAGGTCAGTAACTGGAGAAAGCAGGTGAGGTGACAAGAGATAGGGACACCACATGGGTCCAACTTGGCCCTGTACCTCTCCTGCAGGTACCACTTTCAATGGCTTGGGTACCAGCTTGTTGGTGTCTTAAGACTATCATCTAGCATTAGATAGAAGAAGCTCTTCCTCATTGTTACCCTCAAATAGGCCTCCTTGAAACACCCACTTGTAAGTTTTGCTCCCAGGTTTTCCTCCTCATCTCAAAAACAGGTCTTCAGCCACTCAGTTGTCTCACTTAATCCCCAGACATTGCTTTCTTTTATCCCCCCAAACTTCGCTTGACGCAGACCCCAGGCCACTCCGATTATAGTTACAGAATCACAAATCAACAATCCAGCAAGTCACGTAATCTTAGCCCGTCCCCCTTGCGTGTCAATCAAAGGCCCCTTGCCTGGGAACCCACTTCATTGTAGTCTTGCGGAGTCCCAGCTCTCCAAGTGAAAAGTGGCTTTGTACAGCCAGAGACACCACATACGCTGTTGATTTGGAGGGCTCTCTTCCTATTCCCTCCACCTGAGGGTTGATTGCATGTTCTATTTTATTTACATATTTATGGATTTCTACTTGCAGTGATATGTGTCTACCTCTCTCTTTTCTCCAGGGGGATAAAAAAGATAAATTCAAATTGCTGGGCTCAATGAAGTGAGAGTAGTCATTAGAATTGAATGAAAAGGATAGAGGCTTTAGAGCCAAAAATAATCTGGTTTTTATTTCAAGCTGGGCACTTGCTGGCTGGGTGACCGGGATGTGTTACACCATCTCTCTGTGACTCAATTTATTTTCTTCCATCTAAGGGATATTATAATGCACCATTTTGTTGGAAAGCTTCAGTGAGATAAGTTATATGCCTTGCAGAGAACCGGGAACTTAGGGGCCCTTTAATAAACATTATTTAGAAATAAATCTTAGGCCTGGGGAAAGGATGTCAGAACCTGATTTCCTTCACTGTAGCATGATGGACCCTGTTTTAAGAAGGATTTCTCTAGCTGCTACTCTGTGTACTTTCTTAGACAGTGGTGGTTTAGCAACAAGCTCTGATCACTGCTGAGAAGGTAAGACATGTGGCTGTGTGCATGTTGTGGAGTCCTCGACGTGTAGCTGTGAGGGTATTTCATGATATAGGGCACGGGGTAAGGGGGATGGGAATTGTCCTTTTTATAATTGTCTCTAGTCTCAGGTAAGAGGGAGAACCATGTTACGCAGATGCTTCTCTCTTTGAGGAGGCCAAGGCTTGTAAGAATGAGGCCTTTCAAGCCCAGAGCAAAAAGGGATTGGAAGTGAATCCAGACTCTCTGCAATAAGCAGCCTCAGGTGGTCTCTGTGTTCTCTGAAAAGCCTGTGGGTCCCACAGGCAAGGGTCTTTCAGGGCAACATGCAGTTCTAGGACAGAGTAGAGGCAGAGAATTATAAAAAGAGGTAATTGAAGGTCTAGAAAATAGAACAGCATCACTTAACTAGTCTCGTGAGTTTTTCTTCTTCATTTCTCTATGCCTTGGCGGCACCATCTATAAAATGGGAGGAACATAACTTGGCCTAACTCTTAGGGTTCTGAATTAGAAGTAAAATGGGACATCCTTCTGGGCAGGAGGGTAGTATGAACACAGACATCTAACCTCCATCTCTGCTGTACTGTAATTCTGGTGAGATGATCCATAAATCTTCGGGGAACATGGAAACAGTAGCCAGTAGAAATGAAAATGGACTCACTATCCCACCCAGAATCAAAGCCATAGAGTTAATGGATTCTAAAGACCAATGGAGAAATTTTCAAGACCATGAGGATCTAGGGAAGGAGGGGACTTTCATGCATGCCACACCATGCTCGAAGGGACATAGTTGCTTGTGCAGTGCAGGTGAACCTAGATTGAAGGCAGTCACAGAAGATGGATTATGACCAGCACTTCCTCAAAAAGATGTGGAGAAAGGGTTCTGGCAGTTCTTGCATCACCTACCGAACTTGTTTTGCTGCTGCTGCACTCTCTGCTTCCTCTGGGTTGTAGGACCACGGAAGAGAGATGAAAGCTAAAGAAGGGAGAAAACCTGCTCTGATCATACTCGGTTATGGAGCCTCTGATTGAGACGCCATAAGAATTATCTGGGCACGGCGTGGTGACTCACGCCTGTAATCCCAGCACTTTGGGAGGCCGAGGCGGGCGGATCATGAGGTCAGGAGATCGAGACCATCCTGGCCAACACAGTGAAACCCCATCTCTACTAAAAATACAAAAAAAAAAAAAAAAAAAAAAAAATTAGCTGGGCGTGGTGGCGGGCGCCTGTAGTCCCAGCTACTCGGGAGGCTGAGGCAGGAGAATGGCGTGAACCCAGGAGGCGGAGCTTGCAGTGAGCCGAGATTGTGCCACTGTACTCCAGCCTGGACGACAGAGCGAGACTCCGCCTTAAAAAAAAAAAAAGAATTATCCGCAGACGGACAAGCACCTGTGAGGGCATAAGATGTTCATCTCCTCTTCTTGCAGACCCTCTCTCCCCTCCCACTGTCGCACGATGTCTACTGTTGGCACCATTGGAGTCCCTCTCCCTTGGCTTAAGAAAGAGGCAAAACATAAAGCTCTCTCTCTTTAAACCTATAATTCATAATCCCAGAGACTCACTTCCCCTAACCCATGAAGTCTCATTATTGTATGAGCTGACTGTAGTGCTGGGAGGGAAGAGTGAGAGTCCGCTTGGGAACCTCTTAGTGTTCTCTGGAAGAAATAGCTGGAAGTCCCTCAGGTCTTCTCTGTAGAAGGTGGCAGTGTTTATTTTGTATGCTTATTGGTTTTGTAGTCTTAGATAAAATTCCAAAGCAACAGGAAAAGCCCTATTAGACATCCAGTTGCACTTTTAGATTTTTCTGCCACTCCATGCTCCTTAGGGAGCCAGGGCCTCCTAGAAGATGAAGTGCAATAGTGTAACTTAGCACCTCGTTTTTAAAAGGGAAAAAATCAATTGTTTAACTTTTTTTCTTTCCCCCCACCACCTACTTAGCTGTTTAGGAATGAAAGTATAATCTTTACCTTCTCTCCACCAGACACTTCCAACACAGCAAGTCTGTCTAACTATGTGTTACTTAGAAGTTCCAGAGACTGAAACTTGAAGCAAACCAGGCACATCCAGAATTCTATCCCAATAGGAGATTGCCACCATTTACAACCTCACTCTGCCCATGATGGCACTAGTGAGACCTCCGGATAGATAAGAAATCTGAAAAGTCACATAGACCCTGCACTTCCTCGCCCTCTCCCCTGCGTGCCCTTCACTCCAAGCCTTCCTTTAAAAGCCTCTGCTTTCTGCCTGGAAGCAAAGTGGCACCCTGAGGAAGGAGACTGCACTACTGCCCTTCAGCTAGCTCTGGAATAAAGTCACTTTTCTTTCTACCAGATCTTGCTCTTGTTAATTGAACTCCGCAAGCAGCAAGCAACTAAATCTTTATTCAGTTACAATAGTAAGTCAACAAGTAATCCCTCAACTTCTTCTAAATTTCAGGGTTGAAATTTGAAGAAAAAGTGAGTCACAGAGAAGCATTAAAGATAGTAAAAGCTAACAGTGTTTATCAAGCTCTCTGGATTTTTAAAAAATAGCATCCCAAATATATTAAAATTAGAGTTCAATCACTCTTACAGCTCTGTCACACTTGAGATGACAATGTAAAGAAAGTGTATGATTATAGTGATGAAAACAGTGGCTGCCAATTTGAGGGGTATCTACTGTATGCAAGGCTTATAGTGTTGAGCTTGTTTTGAATATTTTACTTGTAATTCTTGCAGCAAGCTTGTGAGGGAGGTATAATTCCTCCACTCACTGTCTAGGAGGTAGGTGACTTGCCCAAGGCCACACACTTGCTCAAATGGCCCGGATGAAAATGGAACCCTTAACTGCACAGCTGCAAAGCTCTAGCTCCTGAAATCCAGAATCATTATCAATGCATAATGCACCATGGCCCAGTTGGGTGTTTTCCAGGAATACACTGATGAAAAATGTTGAATATTAGAAAAACTATGGATGTAATGCCTCATATTAGTAGGCCAAAAAATAAAAATCATCTGAGCCTCTCAAGAGAGGCTAAAAAGTAATTTGAAAAGATTCAGCCTTCATTACTGATCAGAATTCTTAGTAAGCTAGAAATGGAAAGGCACCTTCTTATTTCCAGAAGAAAACGTTCTTATAGCCTCAATGCCTAAGAGAATAAACTTAACTGAAAAAACAAGCTATTGGAACTACTAAAAGATTTCAATGCTATGGTCAGACACAAAGCAAATAAACAAAAATAAATAGCCATATGCCAGTAATAACCATTATAAAACTATAATAAAATGTATCCTATTCTTAAATGTAATTACAGTATAAACACTTAAGTGTAAGCTAAGAATTGTGCAGCATGTATATGAAAATACAAACACCTACAAAGTTTTATTGAGGATGAGAAAACAAGACCTGAACAAATGGCCATATGTCATGTTGTTGGATTAGCAAATTTAATATTGTGAGGATAGCAATCCTTCCCAAATTAATTGATGGGTTTAATACAGTTCTAATCAAAATCTTAATGGGATTCATTTTGAAACTTAAAGTGATTTAAAAGTTGATCTGAAAGAAAATACAGGAGAAAGAAGTCAAGAGCACTTAGAAAAAGTGATTGGAGGGTTTCTCTGTGAAATGTCAACATTTGTAAAAACTATAATAATTAAAGCCCAGAAATGAATACAGTACATAGCAAAACTGACTTTAAAATTTTTTTTTGATGCATGAATGAAAGTATATTTTTTTAATTTTTGAAACATAAACCCTTTCACAAAAATAAATAGGCATTCAAATATCCCAAATAAATTTAAAAGAAACTCATACATATAGAGTGCCAACCACGTGTCAGGCTCTGGGTAGCACTTTACAAGTATGGAATTTTCATAACAGGTCCTGTGTGATTGGTCTTATAAACAACTTATGATGAGATGTTACATAACTAATTTTATTTTATTTTCTTCTTTCTTTCAGCCTTTATTTTTTATTTTTATTTTTTTATTATACTTTAAGTTTTACGGTACATGTGCACAACGTGCAGGTTTGTTACATATGTATACATGTGCCATGTTGGTGTGCTGCACCCATTAACTCGTCATTTAACATTAGGTATATCTCCTAATGCTATCCCTCCCCCTCCCCCCACCCCACAACAGGCCCTGGTGTGTGATGTTCCCCCTCCTGTGTCCATGTGTTCTCATTGTTCAATTCCCACCTATGAGTGAGAACATGTGGTGTTTGGTTTTTTGTCCTTGCGAGAGTTTGCTGAGAATGATGATTTTCAGCTTCATCCATGTCCCTACAAAGGACAGGAACTCATCATTTTTTATGGCTGCATAGTATTCCATGGTGTATATGTGCCACATTTTCTTAATCCAGTCTATCACTGTTGGACATTTGGGTTGGTTCCAAGTCTGTGCTATTGTGATTAGTGCCGCAATAAACATACATGTGCATGTGTCTTTATAGCAGCATGTTTTATAATCCTTTGGGTATATACCCAGTAATTGGATGGCTGGGTCAAATGGTATTTCCAGTTCTAGATCCCTGAGGAATCGCCACACTGTCTTCCACAATGGTTGAACTAGTTTACAGTCCCACCAACAGTGTAAAAGTGTTCCTATTTCTCCACATCCTCTCCAGCACCTGTTGTTTCCTGACTTTTTAATGATTGCCATTCTAACTGGTGTGAGATGGTATCTCATTGTGGTTTTGATTTGCATTTCTCTGATGGCCAGTGATGATGAGCATTTTTTCACATCTTTTGGCTGCATAAATGTCTTCTTTTGAGAAGTGTCTGTTCATATCCTTTGCCCACTTTTGATGGGGTTGTTTTTTTCTTGTAAATTTGTTTGAGTTCATTGTAGATTCTGGATATTAGCCCTTTGTCAGATGAGTAGATTGCAAAAATTTTCTCCCATTCTGTAGGTTGCCTGTTCACTCTGATGGTAGTTTCTTTTGCTGTGCAGAAGCTCTTTAGTTTAATTAGATCCCATTTGTCAATTTTGGCTTTTGTTGCCATTGCTTTTGGTGTTTTAGACATGAAGTCCTTGCCCATGCCTATGTCCTGAATGGTATTGCCTAGGTTTTCTTCTAGGGTTTTTGTGGTTTTAGATCTAACATTTAAGTCTTTAATCCATCTTGAATTAATTTTTGTGTAAGGCGTGTAAGGAGGGGATCCAGTTTCAGCTTTCTACATATGGCTACCCGGTTTTCCCAAAACCATTTATTAAATAGGGAGTCATTTCCCCATTTCTTGTTTTTGTCAGGTTTGTCAAAGATCAGATAGTTGTAGATATGTGGCATTATTTCTGAGGGCTCTGTTCTGTTCCACTGGTGACTTTTAAAATTTATATGACACTTTGGGAGGCCAGGGCAGAAGGATCACTTGAGCCCAGGAGTTCAAGACCAGCCTGGGCAACATAGCAGGACCCCAGCTTTACAAAAATAAAAAATTTATATGAATTGAAAATTGCTTATCAAATAGTACATGATTAATAAATTGTACATGGTAAGATACTTTGTAAAAAATAGAATTTATTGCATATATTACCATGTGCTAATTAAATTATGGGTAGTTTAAAAACTTAAAAGGCAAAACTAGAAAAAAATAAAGAAAATATCATTCTTTTATTGGGAGAGACTCTCAGTTCATTAAAAGCAAGCAAATACACCATTGAGGTCATGGTTTACACATTTTACTACATAGAAAGACAAGAAAAAGAAAAATCTTCTATGCCATGTTAACTAAAATCAAAAAGCAGGTTAGTAAACTGGTGTGGGAAAACATGTGACAAAACTGAGAAAAGGGAGATAAAATATCTTTACACATAAAAAGCTCTAACTTTAAAATGTAATCACATTGATAGAAAAAAAGGCTAAAGGCATAAAGAGGTAATTGCTAAACAAAATATGAATAGCAAAAAGCGTATTAAAAATGTCCAGTGTTACAGATGATCAAATAAATGCATTTTATCTATCATATTACCTACCTATATATTTTTTAAATTGTTAATAAGCAGTATTGGTAAGGAATAACAAAGCAGGTTCTTACAGGCATTTCTGCAGGTAAGTTAACTGGTACAGCATGTTAAGAGGACAATTTGCTAATTTTTTTTCTAGCAAAATAATCAGAGCTGCTCAAAAGAGAGTTTCAGACAGAGATCATCACTGCATTATTTATAAGGACAAAGACTTGGAAATCACTTAAATGCACCAACGATTGGAGAGTAGTTAAGTAAATTTTGGTGCACACACACAGTGGAATTCTATGCTAGTATTGTTACAAACTGTTTTTGTGGTATATGTATCTAATGGCATGGGTTAATGTTCATGCTGTAGGAAGTTTTAAAAAAAAGAGCCTACAAAACCACGAGTGTAAGTAATTACTGTGTCAGTTTTGTGAAATATAAATACACAGACCGCATATCAGCTGGGGCCAGTTTACCAGTGAAATCTATGAAGTATTGACCAGAACTCCCCATTTCAAATTCTGCACATGGAGATTTCAAAAAGAGCACATGAGCCCCTGTTCACTGCCTGCCCTGGATTCTAGAACATCAGTCAAATTCTTCTGGCTCCCCTAACTGAACCAAATGTGGACCTGGGCCCTTCCACACCACCCTGCCGAAGCCACATAACAAAGGCTGTTTCCTGCAGCAGCAAACTTCTCTTGGTGTTTGGTGGGACTCAGGCAAGGGGTCGCATTGCCGTCCTGCCCAGCATAGAACTCATCCTTTCTCAGACTTTAAAAGTCCTTTCAACAGGCAAGAAATTTTCACCTCTTTCTGTTTCCTCCCTCCCAAATTGCCCACAGGTGCAGCAAAGTCTTCTCATTCAAGTTCCTAGAGCAGTTCAACTTTCTCTAGACTCTATTTCCAGGCCCCTCTTTGTACATCTTTTGCACTGAACTGAACATTAAGTGGGGTTGGGGGAGGGCGGCTCATTCTGAGATCAAAGTGTTTCTTTGAATGGAAACAACCCTTCTTAAAATATGTATTTTAACCTATCTGCCCTTGGGTATAGGTACAGAGACAGACATGCCATATATATGTCTGTATATTATGTATATATATTCATGTATATATATAAATACACACACACATACACACACACACACACACACATATATTCAGGTATTGAGACTGTGGGTCACAAAAATTTATATAATTTAGAAATTGTTGTACCCATTGGAGTCAAATGTGAATGTGAATGATTGTTATAAATTGTAAAACACTCTATATGAGGGTATTTTTATTAGTTAGTGAATCATTGACATTTTTGGACAGTACAGAAACAGTCCCAAATTTGCTAAGCCCTGAGATGCAAACCAAGCTTCAAGCTCAGTGTTCAAATAGAGTAAGGGACAGTTAAATAGGGGGTTTGCTTTCAGTCCCATCAGAGTTTTAATGCTAGATTCACTCCTTAGGATGCTGGACAGCCTTGGGCAATTGCTTGACCTCTGTGAATCAGTTTCCCCCTCTGTTAATTAGTATAATGCTGCTTACCTCACTGGATAGAAATACAGGTCATTAATATTAATGATGGCTAATAATGCTCTGCAAGGCTTACCCCACTGACTTTGCCTGCAAACCTATAACCCCATGAGGTAGGTTTTATCATGACCATTACTACCAAGGCCAGAGAGATTTAGTGTTTTGCTCCAAGTCACACAGTTTAGGAAGTAGCTGAGGTTGGGGCCTACTGAGTCCGATTAGAGTCCTGCTCTGGACCCAGCTGACCATAGAACTCTAAGTACAATGCTTAGAACTTAGTAGGTGCTTAGTAAATTGGAGCCTTTGGTACTTTAACACCTAGGGGCTCACTTTCTCTCTCATTATCAATATATTACCTACTTATATGTTTCAAACTGGTAGTAACCAGTTTTGGCAAGGAACGAAGTAGGCTCTTAACAGGCATTTCTGCAGGTGAGTTAACTGGTACAACATATTAAGAGGACAGTATGCTATCTTTTTTCAGTTTCTCTCTCATTACCTAGGCCCTAGGCCTTCCTCACCATTAAACCCCAAAAATCCTCATTGCCATGAGTCTGAGGGGCTAGCCCTTTGCTGTGTTCACAAAGCTCACTCTATCAAGAGCTTGGTATGCAGCCTCAGCCAAAATGATGCCTGAGCCAGAGGAAGCCAAGGGCACCCTGTCCATTGCTGGCCATTCTGGAACGCAGAGGTCTCCCTGCAGTGAGAAGAATGGGAGAGTTATCCTGAGCAGTGAGCCCAAACCTGGCTTGGTGCAGAGAAAAAGACTCTGCCTGACAGAAAAGAGGAAAACCAGAGTGTCAGTTGTTTCTAAATCCCACCCACTATTGGCTTGAGCCACAAGTCATCCTGAGATTCTTGAGATGAGGTGTAGCAGGAGGTGAGAGTGGGAGTTAGGGGGTCTCGAAGGTCAATGGGAATCCACCAGAGAGTGGTTGTCCATCCACCACGGCCATGTAGATTTTCCTTGATGGGGCTTCTTAATCATTAGAAGCTTGTAACTTTTCCAGCCAACCCTTTTCCCACCTGGGCTTAGGGCGGAAAATGGATGCAGCCACTATAACTACTCTGGTGGTGGCTGCCATTTTACTTCTTTATCTTCTTCATCTTTATACTTGAAAAAAAGAGGTAGCACATTTTTGAAATTTGAAAGTAACCTTTTGAAAATAGGAAATGTATTTCATATTCCAATTAAATATATATTTTTTGCTTGTGTCTATTCCCTTTTAGTCACTGACCTCATTCTCATGTAATCATGCTCCATATGCCCTTTAGTCTCATTGGTCACTCTACAGCATAAAATAAATATTTTACAGAAAAGTTTTGTGTGAACTAGTTAACTCATCATTGCCCTTTACATGTCCCTTTAAAAGTCACTTCGCAAAGGACCTTGTTGGTCTAGCTTCCTCCTCCTCACTCTCCATTTTAACCATTTAAAACACTGTTTACGGCTGGGTGCGGTGGCTCACACCTGTAATACCAGCACTTTGGGAGTCTGGGGCAGGTGGATCACAAGGTCAGGAGTTCTAGACCAGGCTGGCCAATATGGTGAAACCCGATCTCTACTAAAATGCAAAAATTAGACGGGCGTGGTGGCATGCGTCTGTAGTCCCAGCTACTTGGGAGGCTGAGGCAGGAGAATCACTTAAACCCAGGAGGCAGAGGTTGCAGTGAGCCGACATCATGCCACTGCCCTCCAGCCTGGACGACAAAGTGAGACTCTGTCTCAAGAAAAAATAAAAACAAACAAACAAACAAAAAACACTGTTTACCAAACTTACCCTAATTCATAGTTGTCTACTTATCTGTGTGTGTATTTGTTTATTACTTGCCCTTTCCATTAGACTATATACTCCCCAGGGATCGTTACCTTGTCTGTTCTGGTCACCAGTGCCTGGAATCATGGATGGCACCTGGAGGGATGCAATAAATAGGTGTTGCATGCATGAATGAATGTTGTGGAGACAAATGTGTGCACTGGAGAAAAGTTGGAAAATCATAAAAATATACACACAACAATGAAAAGAATCCAACAAAGCATCACTCAGTGATAACAACTGTTACCAAGTTGGCTTTTTTAATGGTTTCATGTCTTATATTTAGCTCATTAACTAATAGAGGGTTTGTTTTGGTCTTTGGTATAAAGGGAAGTTTCAACTTTGTTTTTCAGTATTTAACCTATTATTCCAGCACCGTTGCTGGAATAAGCTTACAATACCCCAAACAGTGATGGACTGGGGAGGGAGAGTATGGGAGTTTCTTGGGAGGGAGAAGGGATGGAAGCTTAGAGCCTGACCCAAAGAAGCTTCACAGCTGTAAGAGAACCTATCAGAGTGGGTGCCATATTTACAAATCTTCTGAACTTGTAGACATAATGGTGGAGCAGACACCCTGTTAGGGAAATTTATTTTGGGAGGAAAGCTCCAGCCCCTTCCACGTGGCCAGCACCACCTGCTCTTGCATAGCCTTTACAGTACAATCTTCCTAGAGCCCTTTATAAGCACAATTTCTATTGGTCCTCACAGTTTCCCTGCGACTTAATTCAGATGATCACTGTCATTTTACACAGGGACACTGAGGCTCTGAGGAGTAAAGTAATTTTCCCCAAATCTCAAATCTCGTAATAGCTGTGAAATAGCATCTCCTGACCCCAGACTCACCTGACTCCTGCCGTCTGTTCACTACAGAAGGTTTCTATGTGCTGTGAATCTTGGATTAACCAGACAGCATGGGGGAAAGGTGGTGGCGATGGGATGGAGGAGGCAAGAGCTCTGATTAATTGAATTTTTTTTATTTGAAGGTTAAGCAGCGAATCCATTTAAACTTGACCCACACTATTTTATATAGGACTGTATATGAACTAAACACAATAAAATTGAGCCCAGAGGAATATCCCTTAGAAGGAAGAAGTCAATAACATAACCCTTAATTACCTTTTATAGTTGGTACATGGATTTGACTTTCCCCGCACCCACCCCAAAGCATTTGACCAAAGCCATGGCAGCTTAGACATCTAAAGACCTCCCACAGGCTGGGAAAGACCATCCCACTGTCTTGAATAGATTAGACTCTAACTCCCTGAGGACAGACCTCTGTGTCTGGCTGGCGCATCTGGTAGTTTGAAGAGTGGATGAGTGTACATTCTTAATTAGGTGTGGCTATCAAGGTAACGGTATTCTGTATTATGGGAGTTTAGGGTTCAGACTGAGTGTGCAGTGGGATGCCTGTAATATGTCACACAAAATATCCCAAGACCATGACATTTAATTCTGGCCACATATTCCAAAGATAGATGAAAGATATTACCTAGGAGAGCACCAGGCCCTATGGGGATGAGCTATTAAAGCTGTCATATGAGCAGGCTGGAGGTGCTGACCCAGATGTTTTTTTTGAGAGTTAGAGAGTTCCTGGTGCCTGGAGCTGTTCAAACTTCTGCTGTATATAGTGGAAAAGTTAAGGCAGGTATTCACGTCTTAATGGCATTTCGTAGCAATGATGAAAAAAATATGTTTTCATTATTTTATTTTGGAAGATACAGAAAAACACTAAAAAAGGATGTAAAAAGAAACCATGAACCCCACCACATGGAGATTATACAAAATTTTGAGACATTTCTTTCCATTAGGGTTTACTTTTCTTAATACAGACAGATATATCTCCCTGGACAAAACTGAGCTAATATGTAAATGTTGTTGAGTAACACACTTTAAAACAATGTATAATGAATATTTTTCTATGTACTCAAGTACCTTTTTACTTCAATAAATGCAAATATTAAATTGAATAATATATAATAGAATTGAATAGATATGGTCTTAGTTTTTATGGATCCTGAATACTAATGGGGGAGACATACATTACATTTAATATAGATACAGAAATACAGTTTTCATTATTTGCAGATTTCATATTTGCAAGTTTATCTACTCACTAAAATTTATTTGTAACACCAACATCAGTACTCTTGGTTCTCTCCCAGTCATTCACAGACCTGCACGGAACAGTGAAAACTTTTGGTTGCCCAGTGCACATATTACTAGCTGGGGTCAGAGGTAGCACTCTGCCTTCTTGTTTCAGCTCCCCTACTGTAAACGAGTGTGCTTTTCATGGTTTATTTAGTGTTATGTTTTTCACATTTTTGTGCTGTTGGTGATTTTGCTGCTTTAAGTGGCCCCCAAGTGTAGTGCTGAAGTGTCATCTGATGTTCCTAAGCGCAAGAAGGCTGTGATGTGCTTTGCAGAGAAAATAGGTATATTAAATGAGCTTTGTTCAGGCCTGAGTTACAGGGCTGCTGGCTGTCAGTTCAATGTTAATGAATTGACAAAATCTGTTAAGTAAGCTGTCTTTAAACAGAAACACACAGAACAAGGTTATGTACATAAACAAGGTTCTATATTAATCATTTGACAAAAGCATTGTGAGCAGAGGCTCACAGGAACTGAACTTTGTATTTCTCCTAGGAGCCATGGGTTCAATATTCAGTAATTCAGTGCAACTTTAGAGAACATTACTTCCAATAAGAAGAATCAGTTAGATATATGTACAAGTCAGTGATAGAGACATACATTTGGGTTCTTTGGCTCTAGATATAACTTAAAACTGTTAAAAGATAATTTTCAAGAAAAGGTAAAATCAAGGTACTTTTCTTAAGAAAAGGTAAAAAAAAAAAAAAAGGTAAACCTCACAGAGATGTAAAAATGAACATGATTGCATTTAATTCATTAATGAAGAAACTGGTGAGGTGTTACAGCCAGTACAGAGGAAAATTCAAAGGTAAGAGATCTGTATACTTCAGGAATATGCAAATGGAAGCAAAACTAGCTTTTTTTCCTTGAGGGAGCAAGGTTGTCCCTCTTCCTGATCATGGAACCATTTGCATATCTATGGACAAGAATTATTCTGCATTATTATCAGTTATCTACAATTTCCAGAGTTGGGAAACAGCTCCCATAGAATCAGAATCTGATAACAAGGAAGCATGAGCTATAAACAATGCAGTTTTTCATTGAAGCACAGATTTTTCCCCCCCACAAAGCCATACTAATAAATGCCATCAACCTAGATAAAGCATGTGGAGAGACAAGAGAGGCCAATCCCAGGGAATGCCACCACCATAAGGTTGGGTTGTGAAGAAAGAGCCTGAAAAGAAGACCATGAACGAACAACTAAAAGCAGGAGGAAAACAAGGAAGTTGTGATGCCCTCAGGTCAACAGCAAAACTGAGGATGGAGAAAGTAGCCAACTCTGAAGGATTGAGTAAGAGGTGCTCCAAAGGGTCCCCTTGGTGTATTAGTCCGTCCTCACACTACTATAAAGAACTACCAGACAGTGGGCAATTTGTAAAGGAAAGAGGTTTAATTGACTCCCTGTTCCACAGGGCTTAGGAGGCCTCAGGAAACCTACAATAATGGTGGGACAGGAAGTAAATACATCCTTTTTCACATGGTGGCAGGAAGTAGAAGTGTGGAGCAAAGGGGGAAAACCCTTATAAAACCATCAGATCTCATGAGAAATCACTCACCATCACAAGAACAGGATGGGGGCAACCACTCCCATGATTCAATTACCTCCACCTGGTCCCACCCTCGACACATGGGGATTATGGGAACTACAATTCAAGATGATATTTGGGTGGGGACACAGCCAAACCATATCACTTGGATTTGTCAGTGTTGGAGTGATGGGTGACTTGGCATTAACAGATATTAAAAATATAAGCAGGCAAAAGCCAGTGTCATATGATAGGTGAAAAGGGGGTGAGAGAGTGGAGGCATTGTTTTGATTACAGTCTTAATATACTGTTATATAGATGTACAATTGATTTCATCCTAACTTTGATTTCCAGACATGTAAGTTTTTCCTAATTTTTAAAAGCTGTAATCAGCATCCTGAAAGATACTAATATATGTGCACATATGTAATATTTTTTCCTGGAATAAATTCCTGGAACCGTCCTTGCTGGGTCAGTGAGCATTTTCAAGACTTTGAGACAGTTCTTCAAAAATTGGGTCAGTTTTCACCCTGCCTTCAACAGTGGATGAGCAGCTTTGTTTATTTGGACATGCCCATCTATAGCTATTATGAGTTGACATTCTGCCTTTATTCTTCTCTGTTTTCCTGAGACAATAACTCTGCAAACAAGTGGTTTGGTGTTTGGAGCTGATAATCAATGGCTTTTATTTCTTATCACTACTTGTAAGTCTCAACCCCCTATTTGGAGCGGAATCCATTCTCTCCCTTACTGGCGTTAACACATGTCAAATATTTGCAGGCTCTTATCTTTCCTTTAGGCTTGGCTTAGGCAGGCTCTGAATTTTTAGCACCTGACATTTTCTCTCCCACATCCATCCCTCTATTTTCCTTAGGGCTTTCCTATCTTGCCTCAGCTTTTCTCCCTCTTAAGGAAGAAAAGGCCATGCCTCCATACCTAAGAACAATCCCATCTACCAGGGTCAATAGGGAGATTTTCCACCTTTACCTCCC
The DNA here is from genome assembly GCF_000001405.40 of Homo sapiens. Taxonomy (NCBI): domain Eukaryota; kingdom Metazoa; phylum Chordata; class Mammalia; order Primates; family Hominidae; genus Homo; species Homo sapiens. Next base: position 42,656,114 of record NC_000020.11, on the reverse strand, counting down.
TGTGAGCTGCATGTCAGCTTTATTTTTAAAATAAAAGCTCTATCCAGCTCATGTGCATTGAGAACTTGCTTCAAGGATCATATGTCCACTGTTTCTCATCTCTGATTTCTGCACTTGATGGTATTTCTTAGGGCTGTGTCCTCTGCCCAATTCTCTCTTCATTACACAAACTCTTCCTAGATGTCTTACCTGTTCCATGACTTCAACAAGACATGAATATATCCCCACTTCTGAACTTCAAGTCCTTATGCCTGACTACTTTTCCTACCTGTTTTCTACCTACCTCAACATTATAGGTTGATGCTGAAAATGGTCTACTCCTATTTGGTAAATAGCTACTCCAATTTGGTAAACATCATACTGTTTGCCCAGATCAGAAACCTGAGAGTCATTTGGAATCCACCCCTCACCATCCTTAGCCTTTACACCCAATCAGCCATACTACTGTGCATGTTCCCTCCTTATCCTTTAGATCTGTTTCTTTTTTCTCCAGTTTTACTCTCCCATTCACAGATGTGGCCTGAGGAGTCTTTGCTGCCACTATTCATTGAAGTCTCATGTTTTATTTTACACCCATAACCAAGGTATAAATATGAGATCTGGTAAATTTCTTTTTTTCTTAAAAAGATGGAGTCTTGCTCTGTCACCCAGGCTGGAGTGCAGTGGTGCAATCTCGGCTCACTGCAATCTCTGCCTCCCAGTTTCAAGTGATTCTCCTGCCTCAGCCTCCCAAGTAGCTGAGATTACAGGGGTGCACTACCATGCCCGGCCAGTTTTTGTATTTTTAATAGAGACAAGGTTTCACCATGTTTGGCCAGGCTGGTCTCCAACTCCTGAACTCAAGTGATCCACCTGCCTTGGCCTCCCAATGTGCTGGGATTACAGGCGTGAGCCACTGCACCCAGCTGAGATCTGGCAAATTTCTAAGGCAGATTATTACTATTTTTTCTTTTCCAGTAGATGATGATGTATTTTTAAATGTGATTTAATTTTGCTACTTCCATACCTTTCCATTTTTGGTCCATTGAAATGGACCTTTTCAGGGTGGAAGGGGTATTACATGTCTCATTGCTGATAGGATCAAATACACCATGATATGATTGGATCCATTGAATTGTCATTGCTGAAGAAGGTCTCGTGATGACTAAATGGGAAAGTGAATTTAAATGCATATAACATTAATGCAATAAGATATAATCTATAAATTTCTCTTCAATGCGGGTAGTAGTGATATTCTTGCCCTGATGTTAGTGGGCTTTGGGAAGCCACAGGATATTCCAAGGAGAGTATGACCTTCCAGATTTAAACTCTCATCTCACTACTTACCAGCTGTGTGAACCTGAGCAACTTACTAAACTTCTCTGGGCTAATTCCTTATCTATACATTTGGAATAACTGTACCCATCTCAGTGGGCTCCTGTGAGGCTTTAATGAACAGATATGTAGAGAGTCATTCAAGGTGCCCAGAACATGATAGGTACACAGGAAAAATAGTTATCCAGCAAAGCTGGTATTGTCTGGATGTGTTGGACGTAGTGCAGTCTGCAAAGAGATAACTCTTTCGCTTGTCCCTACCCCTCTCTGTAGTAACCATCCGCTTGAATAGTTTCGTGCCCTCAATGAGTGGGTTCTGGGGGTAGAGTGGCCCTGGATGTCTGGTGTGGGATGTTCTCATTTGTGGCCAGTTGCTACTTCCTTGTTCCACTGCAGCTTTTTGAGAGGTCCTCCCTAAGTTGCCTGCCTGCCTGCCTGTCTGGGACAGTGTTTTTTGTTTTTTGTTTTTTGTTTTCTTCATCCTTGAATGCACTGTGCTAGGGAGAGCCTTCTTGCATCATTCTTGGACCTTTCTACCAGCCTTCTCCTCCTGGGTGCTAATTACCAACTTCATGTCCTTGCTGCTGTTCATTCTCTATGGGACAGCAATGGGGAGCATCCCAACACCAAACCTAGCCTGATTTCTCCCTCAGTTTACATAGTTTCCATGGCCTCTAACATCCTGGGAGTGTTGTCACTACCTTTCCTGCCATTTGAAGCCCTGCAAGAGCTTCTCCAGCCTCCCCTGTCCTGTCCTGCTCCCTTTCTGCGCCCTTTTTCCTTATTTTACTTTGTGGTCAGGAGATTTCAGGACTTATGGAAATGTTTTACGGCCTGGAAAAGCAATATGTTGACTCAAAAATGTAAAAAGAATACTGAATAATTGAAGCTAACAAGAATTCGTTATCTATGACATATGTGTCTACATGCCTTTATAGATATTGTCAAATTTACTGTTCAAAAAATTTCATTACACTTAACGATAAACTGTGGGTTAGTTTTCCTCGCAGATCAAGAATTCCCAAAGGAACAAAGTGATTAGAGAAACCACAGACAGTGATAAATTATTAAGTTCTTGGAAACCAAGTGATGTTGAAAATGAAACTATTTTTTAAATAGTTCAAAATAATTTTATGACAAAAATATTCCAGTTACTCTCAAAGGTAGAATGCAGGTGTATCTTAATACGCTGTCAGGGAGAATTCCACAACTAGACTGGCCTGTGAAGATCAGACACATCTGTGGGCTTCTCCTTGACCTCCAGCCTTCCACTCCTTAGCTGCCTGCTGCCATGAATTTGCACCTGATGATTGCAAGATCATCTACCTTTTTCTTTTTATTATCACTCAATTCTGTGATACTTGATGCTGTCCTTGATAGGCTGTAAGCCATACAAGACTGAAGGTGTGTGTATTAGTCTGTTCTCATGCTGCTAATAAAGACATACCCAAGACTAGGTAATTTATAAAGAAAAGAGGTTGAATTGACTCACAGTTTTGCAGGACTTAGGAGGCCTCAGGAAACTTACAAGCATGGAAGGGGAAGCAAACATGTCCTTCTTCACATGGTGGCAGCAAGGAGAAGTGTAGGGCAAGTGGGGGAAAAGCCCCTTATAAAACCATCAGATTTCATGAGAACTCACTACCATGAGAACAGCAGCATGGGGGTAACCGCCTCTATGGTTCAATAACCTCCCACTGGGTCCCTCCCACGACATGTGAGTACTATGGGAACTACAGTTCAAGATGAGATTTGGTTGGGGACATAGCCAAATCATATCAGTCTGTTAGTCTTATTTATCTGCTGGGTTCCCAGTACAGAGCACAGGACTTCACACATGATGTAGGCTGTCAGTGCTATTAACTGGTAGAGCACTGGTCAGTCCTGGAAAGTTATGATGGAGAAAGAGAATGCTGGGAAATTTGCCTTTTATGAGGTCCTTAGGGTTAGGTCTGAGTGTTGCCAGATCCATTCTGATTATTCTACCACATGCACCTCATATGAACTGAAGGACACACTGTTCAGGAAATCTGCACTAAGTGATGTGACACAAAGATGGGGGAGGTGACACAAAGGCAGGGACTCACCCTTGGCAACCATCAGGCCCTTGATTTGGCCTGCTATCAGAGGCACCATAGGCATCAATGTCTTCAGTAGCCTCCCAGCAGCAAAGAAAGGAATGTGATGAGTAGGATTGGTTCTGACAGCACAGATTGGAGTTTCTAGGAGCTCTGGGACTCATGAGTGAAGGGGAGGGGGATGCTCTGAGAGGGAAACAGGAAATCAGCAACCAGTGGCAGAAAGAATCCAGAGAGCCACAGCAATCATAACCAGATGCAGGCTGGAAAGTTACAACACCCTGCTTCGTGCACCATCCCTCAGCACATTCCTCAGGGTAGTGATCACAGTGTCTTCTAAGCTCTGGTACCTCAGTGCCCAGCATGGTCCAGCATTGAGCAAGTAAGTACTCAAGGAGGTTCTGTTAAATGAATGAAGGGCTACGTGGTCTAAGCATGCAAATGGCAATGTGGATTCAGAGCAGATAATTCCCCTTAAAGGAATCTCTCCAAGTATCCTGATTTCATAATGAATGTTTAATAGACCATTTTTTTTGTCATTTGAATAGAATAGAAACAATATGTGGCAGGCATTTTACCTACATTCTCTACTTATTAATAGCAATTGAAGATATAGTATCATCCATCTTCCTTTTTTTTTTTGTTTTTTTTGTTTGTTTTTGTTTTTGTTTTTTTGAGGTGGAGTCTCGCTCTGTTGCCCAGGCTGGAGTGCAGTGGCACCATCTCGGCTCACTGCAACCTCCACCTCCCGGGTTCAAGCAATTCTCATGCCTCAGCCTCCTGAGTAGCTGGGATTGCAGGCACACACCACCAAGCCCAGCTAATTTTTTTTAGTTTTAGTAAAGATGGGGTTTTACCATTTTGGCCAGGCTGATCTTGAACTCCTGACCTCAGATGATCCACCCACCTCAGCCTCCCAAAGTGCTGGGATTATAGGCATGAGCCACTGTGCCTGGCCATATTATCCCTTTTTTAAGGATGAGGGTGAAGCTTGGAGAAGGAAGTCACTTGTCCATGGTCACAGAGCTAATGAGTGGCACACCCAAACTTTGAACCTAGATGAAGCTTCCAGTGTCTCTGCTCAGCAATACAACCTGCCTTGAATATCATTAGTAATGTTCTAGAAAAGGCAACTGCTCAAGGCACAGAAACCTCACTGGGCTTGTAATCACAGCAAGTGGATTCCAGACCTGCCCCTGCCTCTGTCCCTTAATGACTGTTGCTTAATCTCTTTGAGCCTCAGCTTTCTCATCTGTAAAATGGGAACAAAATATGACTAGCTCATAGATTTGAAACAGTCACTAAATGGAAAACATTTGAGAAAATATCCATGACAGTTGTTGGTAAGTAGAAGTTAAACAAATGTCCATTGATTCTGACATTTGAGATCAATAGGGTATGCCTATATTTTCTTATATCTGACTTTGACAAGCAATAGGGGTTTGGCCATGTTTGTTAATTCCTATTTATTCTAGTTTAATATATGTCCGTTGTCACATTCAATACCATCATTTTTAGACTTTCCATCTGTAAAGGCATTTATCTTTTTCTCTCACAATAATATATACCAAATTCACTTTCCTTTATCAAAATGCTTTTTGTTTATAGAACCCTTTATAATCTGACACCATTCAGATATAAGAGCCATTTAATTACACGTGTAAAATAAACTAAAGGCTACTTTATTCACTCACCCATTTGAAAAGTGAGTGAATAAAGTAGCCTTTAGTTTATTTTGGGGGCCTCTCTGGAGAGCTTCGCCAGAGAAATGGAGGTCTATGCACTTCCTCAAGAATTCAGGTATTGCTGGGGTTTCTTAATTGTGTTCTTTTCTCACTGTGAACACATAAGATCCAATTGCATTTGCCTGGCCGTTGTCATTCTTTGACACACTGGCAGAGATGAGTATTTTCTCCACTGTGGTTGTTTTCCTGAGAACTTAAAAATATAGGAAGGAAATTGCTTTTTCTCTTCTACTTTATCTTTGCATAAGTATTCTTGGGCATCTCAGAGCAGCTTAGGAGATGACCTCTGCTTTATTGTCCCTGCAGAGCCAAGACAGAAATGCAAGCAGCAGAGAATAAAAGCACTTTTCTTGTGCATGCTGAGTCTTTCAACAACCCTGGCCTCTGTGACTGTGTCTGCCTGTAACTGTCAAGGTGATGATTGAAATGAATCTGCTGGTCAATTCCAGTTTAGTCCAATCCCTGATTTGAAAAGGCCCCCTCTACTGCAGCTGATTGAGCAATTGTTTTTCATGATTGATGGAGGTGACAGATTTATTTTAGAAAATGAGGTGATCCTGATGAGCCCAGGGAGATGGAGGAGGGCATATGTATGTGTGTGAGATTGCTTGAGGGAGGGAGGATACTGCCTTGTTAATAGCATCTGGCAGTGATTTGTGCAGAAACCTCAGTGGTGCAGAAGGTCAGTTAAGGAAGTAGTGGACAGGGTATTGGAGGTTGGTTGGGAAAACCTGGATTTCAAGTCCTGGTTCTGCTGTTTACTTGGACAAGTTTCTTAATCATTCTGTGCTTCATCACCTGTAAAAAAGGAGCCAAGTGGAAGAGACTGCTAACCAATATCTGTTTGTACCTTCTTACTTCCTGAGATGGGATTATTTTTTTCTGGCAATGATGTGAGTGCTAAAAGACTATGCCCCTCTTGCAGCTGAGTGTGGTCATGTGACCAAGTGTTAGCCAGTGAGATGTAAAGCAGAGTGGTGGAGGGTGGGGCCTTTTGGAGAGCTCTTTATAAGGGGACCACAGTTGGAGCAGGCTCTTACTGCCCTCCTTGTCTTCCCCTTGCCTGGATAACATAGACCTGAGGCAAGTAAGCCTTGCCTGCATCCAGGAGCTAAGGCAAGGCTCTGATTGGCTCTGTGCTGCAGATGCTTGAGTGCTATGCAAATGCAAAGAGGTTCTCTTGTTAACTGCACCTGGGTTGTCTCTCCAAACATGAGAGAGAAGTTGAGGGAGGGATATGTCTGCTCTCAACCAGCAAACACTTTTTGCAGTAAATCAAGCATAACTTAGGGGCTCTTTCAGGACCTTCCCATACTCCCCAGAGATGAGGGAGTTATTACTTTAACCAGCATTCATATCTTTTTCTCTGTGAGGAATCTATGGATACGTTTATAGAGATGGACTTTCACCACATAAATGTGTGCCTCCATGAACTTGGCTTATAGGATGTGGTGAGAACATGGAGTGTATGATTCTGAAATCAGACTGCCCCAGTTATAGGTGAGCAAAGAGAGAGATGAGTGTTCTGCATGGCCATCAAGGCATGTGATATGGTTTGGCTGTGTCCCCACCCAAATCTCATCTTGAATTGTAGCTCCCACAATTCCCACGTGTCATGGGAGGGATCCAGTGAGAGGTAATTGAATCGTGGGGGCAGGTCTTTCCTTTGCTGTTCTCATGATAGTGAATAAGCCTCACGAGATCTGATGGTTTTATAAAAAGGAGTTCCTTTGCACAAGCTCTCCCTCTTTGCCTGTCGCCATCCATGTAAGATGTAACTTGCTCCTCCTTGCCTTCTGACATAATTGTGAGGCCTCCCCAGCCACGTGGAACTGTGAGTCCATTAAACCTCTTTCCTTGGCCGGGCACAGTGGCTCAGGCCTGTAATCCTAGCACTTTGGGAGGCCGAGGTGGGCGGATCACAAGGTCATGAGATTGAGACCATCCTGGCTAACACGGTGAAACCCCATCTCTACTAAAAAATAGAAAAAATTAGCCAGGCATGGTGGCAGGTGCCTGTAGTCCCAGCTACTCGGGAGGCTGAGGCAGGAGAATGGCATGAACCCGGGAGGCAGAGCTTGCAGTGAGCTGAGATTACACCACTGCACTCCAGCCTGGGCGACAGAGCCAGACTCTGTCAAAAAAAAAAAAAAAAAACAACGACACCAAAAAAAAAAATCCCCTTTCCTTTAGAAATTACCCACTCTTAGGTATGTCTTTATCAGTAACATGAGAATGGACTGATACAGGATGTGCCCACCTGCAGGGCTGTGGCCTGGCCTCCCTCCAAGAAGCATGATTTACATAGCCTTCCACATGAATGGTACACCTTGGAGTCGAAGAGTACAGTGGCGCTAGACACGCAGGGGCCTCAGCACAGGCATGGAATTGCAGCTGTAGCGGCCTTCTTGGGCTGTGTTTTAGTCACATTCGGGGGCCTAGGGCAACTCTTCATGTGGGCAGCTTCTCACTTAATGATAGAACCTGCTGTTTCTCTTCTGAACCTTAGCAGCTGCCTTCTGATTATCTGTGTAGTGATTCAACACATTCCTTGAGAGCATCAGGCTGCTGAGGCCAACTGTGTTCCTGTGATGGCTTCTCTCTCTGCCGGGCTTGGTTTGCTGGGAGGACAGCAGTAGTCTTGCAGAGCTGAGAGGGGGATGTAGAGTAAGGACAAAGCACCCCAACAGCCCTTTTTGCTGTTAATGAAGCATGTTCGTGAAGGACCCCTTGATTGAAGTGATGGAGGAGTCTGTTCTTCTTGAGCCATTTTTTCCTTGGATGCATTTGTCTTCAATATGACAGCCAATAACCCAGTAAATTAAACAGCATGCCCCAAGGCCCAGGGTCTTTAGAAGAGCTCTGTAAAAACCCCAGACAACCTCAGGGGAGCCGTTTCCCCAGAGGATCAGGGGAAAGTGTTTTCACCTAAAGTCTAAGGAAAGACCCACTTCAGGGCCATTTCTAAGCTGCTATCTCCAAAGTGTCCTTGGTTGCCATCTTGAGTAGGGACGAGAAATTTCCAGCAAAGCTTACCTCAGAGAAGAAACTCCTGACTTTGTTATTACTTAATGATTTCTCTTAACCCTGACTGCTGTAGATTCGACTTGCAGCATCTTATGATAAAAGAAGAAGTCAGGATAACCAGACTGTTCTTTTAGTTCTGAAATCTGAGAGGAACAGGCTACTAGAGCCTTGGTTTAATGAGCGTCAGCCGGTATCACAGACGCTGTCCCTGTTAGCGGGTTTCTGAAGATGCAGACACATCCTCCAGCCTTGTGTCTCCCATGACTCCTTTCACAAGCGCTGAGGGTGGAATGCTCAAGTGCAGAGTCTGTGGAGGTGAGGTCATAGGGCTGAGAGTGGAGACCTAGGTGTGGAACTTCCTGAGGATCAGGCTGATTTTACAGCAGAGACTCAGGGGAACTTGCAAATTGGATGGTTTCATCTATTAGCTGTCACAGCTGGACTTCCGGGTAAAGTGAATGTCTGAGAAATTGAACCTGAAACGTGCAGTGGGAATGGATTAAGAGGAGCTCTGGGCTGTTGACGGGACACCAGGGGTACAGCATATGAGGGGACCATTTATTTACTTTATTTATTCATGTATTATTTACTGAATGCTGCTCTGTGACAGACACTGTAGTGGAGACTGGAGATTTAGAGGTGAACCTGGCATCCTCCCCTGTGTCTTAGTAGCCCACACTCTCATCACAAGAATGGCAAAGATATGAACCTGGGGATGCAATACAAGCATATCATAACTATCTTAGTCATTGGAGGCTGGGCATGGTGGTTCACACCTGTAATCCCAACACATTGGAGGCCAGGGTGGGAGGGGTCACTTGAGCCCAGGAGTTGGAGACCAGCCCTGACAACATAGTGAGACCCCATCTCTACAAAACAATTTTTAAAAAGTAGCTGGCCATGGTAACACACCCTGTAGTCCCAGCTACTCAGGAGGCTGAAGTGGAAGGATTGCTCGAGCCCAGTAGATTAAGGCTGCAGTGAACCACGTTCACGCCACTGCACTGCAGCCTGAGCGACAGAGCAAACTCCATCTCAAAAAAAAAAAAAAAAAAAAAAAAAAAAAAAGGCTGTCTTAGGTTGGGATCTCTAGATATAGAGCCTGAGATAGGAGAACAGGTACATGTGATTTATTGAGGGAGGAACCTGTTGAGGAGGGAGGGATGTGGGTGGGGTTGAGTCAGAATGTGGTCAGGTTAAGTATCCCCTTAGTTTTACCCAGAAGCTGAAGCCTATAGTGCAGCACCATCCAACAGAACTTCCTGTGAAGATGGCAGTGTTCTGTATCTGGGCTGATAGGAGAGTCACCAGCGACTCATGGCTACTGAGTACTCAAAATGTAATTTTTGGAGTTGAAGAACTGAAATATTAATTTTATTTAATTTTAATGAATTTAAATTGAAATATCCACATATGGCCAATGGCTACCATATTGGAAGTGCAGCTCTAGGGCTCGGTGGACAAGTTTCTTCCATCAAGGGCCAGAGTAAATACTTTAGATCTTGTGGCCCAGACGACCTCTGTTGCAATAACTCAACTTCTGTTGTAGCAGGAAAGCAGCCATGGACAATTCAAAAAGGAATGGGGTGGCTGTGTTCCAATAACAATTTACAAAAGCAAATGGAGAGCTGGATTTGGTCCATGGTCCATAAAGCACACTGAAGAGTTGCCCCTTCCACATACATTCTGCCAGGGGCCAGCCTTGCATAGCCTATGCCAGTTTGCCCTTGGCCGTGGGTCCCCTGGAGAAGAATGGTAGTTTCTGGGCAAAGTGACACCTACCAGTTGAGGGCATTGCCTGGAGCAAGGGAAGGGTGGGTGGGATGCTGTGATTCCTGGGCACCTGACCTCACAGCAATGGGGATGGGTATAGTGGCTGGGTAAGGAGAATCTAGGAGGTACACTACAGTGTCTACTACAATAATCAACAATTCTTTTTGTGTGTTCACTACAAGCCAGGAAGAGTGGTAGGTGCTTCACATGGATTCTTTTCATTCAGTTATCAAAATAGACCTATTGAGAAAGTAATTGAAGCATCTCCAGCACATTTCTATAAAACTCACTGAGTTTCATCACTTCAGTTTTGTTGGCTTGTAACCAATGACCAAGATATTTATTCTGCCTCTCTCTCTCTGTCACCCCTCCCTACACACACACACACACACACACACACACACACACACACATAAATACACATCCCATCTGAAACATACATATGGTGCTAGTGGCAGTCATGTCCTTTTTTCCTCTGGGTGGCTTTCCTCTATTCCCAGAGACCTCCGTGACCTGATCTATCTTTGTTGTAGCCGCCTGTACTTACTCTGACTCTCCGTGGTATTTTACAGCCCATATTTCCTTCTTCATAGGAAACCCATCTCTCCATGTGTTATGTTGGGTTCCCTCAAAAACAGATCCTGATTTGGGTGTAAGTCATTTCCTTCGGAGGTGATCCCTGAAAACACAGTGAAGGCTCAGGGAAGGGAATAAAGACCAATGAAGGGTGTGTTAATGGGCAGGTTACCATTGTGGCCAACTGTGGTTCATCCCCACTGGAGGCCCTGCTGGACACACATATACCTTAGAAAGTTAGGGTATTTATCCACCCATTCCCAGCCGACATTGGATGAGGGTCGCTCATGGAGTGTTAACTTCCTAACTCTTCCACACGACCCAGAGTTGAGCACATTCCCTCAGGGAGAGCCCCTTCCCCTCCATTCAGGGAGACTCAAAAAGCAGGCTGCCTGTGACCTCCAGGCTGCAGGTAGGGTTTTGTCAGCCTTTGTCACACTCCTCTGTCTTGACTTACTAGTAGTTCTCCAAACATGGACTTTTCTGACTTAGGGATCTATAGCCAAATTCTACAGTGCCATAGACTGCGTGACAAATTGCACTGTGAAGGAGAAGTTACAGACTTACTAACTTGGGGTGAGAAAATAAGGAAACCACTTCATGAGCCTTGGCTTGTACTTCTGATTGATGTAGCAAGGTTCTGAACTTCTCTAGGTCTCAGTTTCTTCCTCTGTATAATGGGAGTGATGGCAAGGCTTTTACTGTACCTTCAATGAGAAATGGAAGAGCACATACTTAGTAATCTGTGCAATACATATGAATATAAGTTATTGCTTAAGGACTAAGTGTTGTGATTAAGGCAATGTAAATGAATTGCTGATCATTATCCCAGGTCTTTACCTTAATGTGTATGAATCTGGAGCTCCTTACTCACAGCCTACCTCCCAGAAAGTCCCTGAGTGCTCCTGGGGCCAGGCTCTGGGGTTACACTGAAGACCACTTTGCTGAGTCTCTGGACTTTGAGGGCTCATGACCAGAGATGAGGAAGACCCAGGGTCATTACCCTCCATGCAAAACACCTTATTCTTCATTGCATCCTATAGCCCCTGTCCCCTGTATCTGTGCCCAAATACAAGATGCACAGGTAAGAGCCTAACCTAGTGATGAAGAGCATATTGATAAGAGAAGGGGCATGAACATAGACAAAGGAAAGCCCTGTACTCTGCTTTGGAAACATGAAGATCAGTGCCCAAGACCTGGAAGGCTGTACTGATAAATTGGGAGGGGACTTGGATGATGTTTTCAGGTATTTCATCTCAGGGACACATTGCAGAGCTTTAAGCAGAGAGTGACATGTGTTTTGGGAAGTCTCTCTGGTTTGGAGTGTAAGGCGGATTAGAAAAGGTGAGTCTGGAGGCTGCAGGCCCTAAGAGGAGGCTGTCACAAAGGTCCAGGTGACAGAGACAATGAGGCCTGGATGAGAACAGGGCTGTAAACCTGCACAGCCTGTTGAAGGCTCAGTTGCAGATTGGGATTCTTGGGACTTTACTGAGAAGTGGCAAGAGTGCAGTTAGGGCCCCCTTGGTTTTCTGCGGGTCTCTTCAGGCCCATCACACAGCCTGGATTTTAAGAGCACTGCATCATGAAGAGCACTTCACTCCTTCAATCTGTGGATCTTGTGTTTGCTAGAAGGCTTTCTTTCCTGATGGTGTTCTCTCTTCCCAGAGCACCTTGTCAAAGAAGGAGAAGGAGCCATAAGCTCAGAGAGGAAGGCAGCCAGCTCTTGATTCATGATGCCTGGCCTGGCTGAAAAGGGAGGTCCATAGAGGCATTATGCTCAGGCAAGGGGAGGGTTGCAACCAGTCGTATAAAGCAGCTTGGTATGAGGAGCTCTCTTATAGTGTGCACAAAGCAATGCATAGTGGTTGTGGCGGAGGCTCTGAAGCTGAGCTGCCCAGCTTGAAATGCTTGCCCATCACTAACTGTAAGCTTGGGTAAGGTATTTAAATTTTTGCACCTTATATTTTCATCTTGAAAGTGAAGGTAGCTGGGCATGGTGGCTCACACCTGTGATCCCAGTGCTTTAGGAGGCCAAGTTGGGAGGATTGCTTGAGCCCAGGAGCTTGAGACCAGCATGGGCAACGTAGCAAAACCTTGTCTCAATTAAAAAAAAATAGCTGAGTGTGGAGGCATGTACCTGTAGTCCTAGCTACTCAGGAGGCTGAGGACAGGAGAATCACTTGAACCTGGGAGGTTGAGGCTGCAGTGAGCTGTGATTGCACCACTGCACTCCAGCCTAGGTGACAGAACAAGACCCTCTCTCAAAAAATAAATAAATAAAATAAAGTAAGGGTAATAACAGCATGTACCTCATGGGTTTTTGTATAAGGAATAAATGATACAATCCATGTAGAATTTTGGCAAAATGCTTATTCACCAGGTGTTATCAGCATGTATGAAGAAAATAGTATGTGTGAAGTAATGGAACTGGTTGCATCAGTCAGCTATTGCCATAATAATGCTGCGTAACAATACTCAATGTGCATCTTGGATTAACTAGCAGGTCAGCTGGAACTAGATGGTCTCAGGTGGCTTCAGCTGGGTGACTCCACTTTGGTCCACCTGGTCTGACATTCAATAAGCTAGCCTGGCCTTGGGGTGTCTTCTCGTGGAAGAAGTAGGGATCCAAGAGAAGAAGCAGAAATGCACAAGCACTTTTTCAAGCATCCACTTGCCCACAGTTTGCTGTTGTCCCATTGGCCAAAACAAGTCATGTGGCCAAGCCCAGAGTCAAAGTGGGAGGAAACTACCCAATTACAAGTCAAATACAGATCCAAGGAGAGCACTAAATGTATTCATTAACACAATCAATATCACTTTGGTTTTTTACATTAACCTCCCAAAGTGGGGTTAATCCTTGAGGCAATACTCATTTCAACAATCCTGCTCTCCCACTAACTAATTAGGTTATTCTTCCTTGGGAATTATTGGTATTAAAGAGTGTAATACTAGTTACCACTCACTGGGTACCTCATTGATCTCAGGTATTTAATGTTCCTACCTCCGGAGGCTGTTATGAGGATTAGGTGGGATAATGTACATACAGTCCTTAGTTTAGCTCAGAGTGAGCACATTGTATTAACTCTACAGATTCACATTATTATTCACATTATTATCATTGTTGTCACCATCAAGATTATTACTATTCCCTATCTTACTCCAAATGTAGGCATTTTTATCTCCATTTAACAAATAAGTCACTGAGACTCAGGGAGGTCCATAACTCTGTCAACGTCCCACAACTAGTAAGGATCAGAGCTTTCTCAGTCAGTTGGAAAATAACTTGGAAATAGTTGGAAGTCATTCATATAGTGTGATGTGAAAGAATGATCATTAATATGCAGAAAATCTAATTCTGAGCCCACACCCAAGGCCCTCTAGCTTTGGCCCAATAACCTGAACTGCTCTGAAGGGTTTCCAGGAGTGTGTGAATCCTCTTCTTAGTGGCAGCCTTGCAGAAACAGACCATTTGGCACTCACTTGTCTCCCCAGGCTGAATTCCCAGACATATTCAATATTATCTGGACAGGCACACTGCTGGTGTAAACAGTCTGGTTGCTGAGTTGGATTTAATAACCTTGTAGTTCCCTGCATCTTTCAAAGCAAGCTCTATGCTCTCCCATCTCAGCTCCATGTTAGCCTGTGAGACAGGTATCTGGGTCCTCTTGGAAGAGGGCACTCTAAGACGCTTAGAAGTCAGTATGAGGCTGCATAGTCAAGATAGAGCTGGGACTGGAAACTGGGACTTCAGGCTCCAAGCATTGCTCCCTCTGTCGACACCAGGTCTTGCCTGGGCATGGAGGTATCATATCATGCCTCTCTAGCCTTTGCCTTGCCTCTCTTTACCACTCTTGGTCTCTGTGGCTGCTTATTCCAACTGCTTAGGTTCTTTTCCAGGGAATATCAGTCATAAATGGCTCATCCAAGCCATTTGCAAGTTCTCTGGGTCCACTGGAAAGAATTACATTCAGCCTTAATCTGGCTCCCAGTGATGGCAAAGCATACTCACAGTGTTTGTGTGGATCACAGACTTAGAGGGACTTTTCCAAAGTCTGTAGGCTTTGGTTTACAGAAAAGCTGATGCCTGACCTATGATAGAGACCCTCATTAATGACTCTGTAAATGATTTTCAGGCGAGGGAGCGAGGAGACAGAGAGAATGTATAAAGCCCCCATCAAAGACAATTCTTGCAGACCTATAATTCTTCAATATATCCTATACTCTCAGCTCTCACTGCTGCTTATTCATCCAGGGTTCCAGGCTGTTCTCAGTGCACACTTTATCAGTTCATGCAATTACCCTTAGGAAGGCCTCTCACACATCGCTAGTGACAGATTAGCACAGTCCTTTTGGAAGGAATAGGAAATGTGTATGAAAGGTCTTAAAAATGGCTCATGCTCTTTAAACCAGCAATCAATGCTGGAGAAATTATCCTAAAGAATTAATTCAAACCTAGGAAAATGCTATATGCAGGGCAATTTATGGTAGCAAAAATTGGAAGCAACCTAAATTCCCAACACTATGGTAATGGCTTAGTAAATCATGACCATCCACTTAGTGGAATATTATGCAGCAATTAAAATGGTAATTATAGATGCTATTGGGCAACCTTAAACATGCTTATGATATAATGCTAAATAAATAAGCCAGGAGACACCATTGAACATACACAATGATTAAAATCATGTAAAAATATGTGTTTGTGTTGTCATTAATGGTGGGGCCCGAGGAACAATCCACATTTCAAATTCCCAGATGGAGTAAGGGTGGTTTCCAGCTAGAAAGCAAAATCTGACTGACACAGAGGCAGCCCAGGCAAGCTGAATGGTGATCCTCAATGTAGATTTAAGTCTTCCACTAATTTCAAACATCTCTAGACATTTTTTTCCCAATGCTTATTTTCAATACTTGTGTTGATTAGAGAAGATTCTCGCTGGGTGGCATGGCAGGTAATCCTAGCACTTTGGGAGGCTGAGGCGGTGGTCAGGAGTTCGAGACCAGCCTGGCCAACATGGTGAAAACCTATCTCTGCTAAAAATAAAAAAATTAGCTGGGCATGGTAATGCACACCTCTAATCCCAGCTACTCGGGAACCTGAGGCACGAGAATCACTTGAATCCAAAGGTTGCAGTGAGCCAAGATCATGCCACTTCCATCCAGCCTGGGCGACAAAGCAAGACACTGTCTCAAAAAAATTTTTTTTTTTTAAAGAAGTCTCTATACTTAAAGATTGGTGCCCAGTGAATGAAGTTCCCAGTGAATGGTAACTAGTGTTACACTCTTTATACCAAACAATGTGACTAAAATGTAAGCAAAAATGTATAGACAAAGAATAGATTCATATAACTACCAATAAAAAAATAAATTTTACTGGTGCTTATGAAATCTCTAATATTCTAATGTGTGGGATTTACACTTCACGTTGGTTCAAGTAACACAAGGTGCAACATGCCCATTTGATTAAGAACTTGTTAGACTTGGTGAGGGCAGGTACAGAGGTGTGGTATGGGCAGAAACCAGATTGTAGCAGGTAAAGAATGAACTCCATCTGTGTAGACAACACTTTTATGATGTTTGGCTGTCAAAAGGAGATATCATATAGGTCCATAGCTGCTGACAGATGGCAGGTTAAAATTCCCAGCTTCATTCGGGTTGGGGGGAGAGGGATTTTCTGGTTATTTTGTAAAGCAGAAGCGGCGTAGACAATTTGAAATGCTGACGGACCATGGCCAGAGTAAAAAGACAGGTGCCTGGAAAGAATGGAGTAAGATTACCAGGAAGGTAGAAGAGAGGGATCTAATTAATGTCTAGATAATTTGTAAACACTGAATTATAATACCTAAAAGAGCATGTGAAATCTTTTGATTGGTTTGTGTCTCCTAGTGTCCTGAAATTTAGGAGCAATATAACAGACAGGGACATCAAGAAGAGAAAAAGTGGGAAAGCTTGGAAAGCCCAGAAGACTGTGGGCTAAGGAGGAGACTTTAGGGAAAGTTCTCTGGGTGCTTTTTAGTGAAATGCTGTAGGCTGTGCTAGGGGAATGTACCCTCCTGTGTCCCCTACAAAATGATTCGTGAAAGGAATATGCTTCCTTAGAGTTGAGACCCAAGGAATGCTCTGGGAATTGCGGAGAGAGCGGATTCAGGGCCAGAACAGAGGCTGCATGCAAAGGCAGTGGATGGCCAGGGCATAGGAGACTCAGGGCTCTGGTTTCAAATTCAAGTTTCTTACTTTACCACGAGGAAAACAGGGAATGAGGAAGTGCATTCGTCAGCTAAAATGGGTGATAAGACAGAACAGAGGCCCAAAGTTACAATTAAAGCAAGTGACTACCAGTGTTCCTTGTTCTATTATTTCTTAGCTTATTTAAAAAAAAATGTAAATGCCACTGTCAGGCTGCTACAGAGCACCTGTGAGTGGGTAAAATTGTATTGTGACTAAAATAGGCTCCTTGTAGAAGAGGTCAAGTGTGCATTTGGGCCTTTTTCTGAGCTGGTTCAGATTTAAAGGTCAACTTGTCCTTCTATTGGAGACATTAATAACTTAAAGAAACAAATGGGAAGGTTCTTTAAAATTTATGTTTGAGTTACAAAAATCTATCTGAAACCTTATAATTAATGTGCTATAGCAATCTCTGTTGCAAGAGATTTTTTTTCTAGTGTTTGTTTAAATATGTGGTATTTAAATTGGCTCTGCCATTTTAATTCTCCATTAATTCATGGGTTTATCTTAGACATCTTTCTAATGTGTGGGAAAACAGTTTATAAACAGAGAAGAAAATTGAAATTCAACCTATATATTATGGATTTTTTAATTGCAGAAACAATGTGACTAAAATTTAAGCAAAAATGTTTAGACAAAGAATAGATTTGTACAACTACCAACAAAAAAATAAAGAAATTTTACTGGTTCGGTGCTTATTCCATTCTGTCACTTGTGGCTTGAGTATGTATTTGATTTACTTGTGCTCAAACTTGGGTTTGTACTATTTTATATCCTGCTTTTAAAAAAGCACAGCATAGTCAGGATTCATTTAGTCATAAGTAAGACAGAGGGAGATTTTATGGACTTGTGTAACTGAAAATCCATTGTTGGGCCCAACTTTAGACTTGAATAATATGAGTCATATATTCTATCCATAGACTCAAGATTAGGATCAGTTTCCCCATAATACATGTAGAGCAGGAGCGAAGGGTGAGTATCTTCAAAAGCACACATCCCCATGTCCACCTGTTTTATGTTTCGACCGCTCAGGCAGGGCAAAGTAGATGTTCAGCCCCGCTAAATGGACATCCTGAAGTAAGATTTAGATAAGCTTCCCAGTCTATCCCAATCTGTTATACTGAGATGTCCCATTTTCCCTCCTTTAATTGGCAACAAACCTGTCTCACCTCTGGTCTGGGTGACAGGTACATGGGTGAGGCTATCAAACTGAGTAATGGAATGTGTTTATCTATGGATAGAATCAGTAGTGTGCTGATAAAAATAAGCCTTGAATTGTAATGTTTGCCAATTTCCTGGGTGTAAATATTCCTACTGTGACTGATTTCTCCCTATCAGTGTAAAGTTATTGAATATTGGGTTGGGAAGAGATGTGCACAATTGGCTCCTGTGAGTAGATACAATTCACCCTTCTTTATGTATAACAGAAATTCTCTCATATAGTGTACATTCTTATTTATAGAGTGTTTTCATAGATGCAAGTTTGATTTTTAAATCTCAGACCTTTACCCTCTTAGCTTTGTCAGTTTGGAGGCTGGCTAATATATTTGCAGTTGCTCTTTCTTAAAATTATTTATTCAATCAATTATTCATCCTTTTCTTTAACAAATTTGTATTGAATGCCTACTGTGTGTCAGATACTTTCTTATGCACTGGGAACTCAGCAGTGAATCAAACCAAGTCCCTGTTCTTAGAGGAGCTGACAATCGGTAAATAAATATTATTCTTCAGGTGAAAATGATATGAAAAATTTTCAGGGAAGGGACAGACAGTAATGAAAGGGGAACTGTGGAGAAGAGCGATTTTAAGTAGGATGGTTATGGAAAGCTTCTCTGCACAAAGAACTGAATGAAGTGAGATAGCAAGCCCTTTGAAGATCTGCAGGAACCCCATTCTGGGTTGAGGGAGCAAGCAGCAATTGCAAAGGATGTGAGGGGGGAACAAGCTTGGCATATGTAAGGATCAGCAAGGAGGACAATGAGCCTTGAGTGGTGCTAGCAACAAGGAGACTGGCAGGAGATGATGTCAGAAAGATTGTTAAGGCCCAGATCACATAGATCCTTGCTGGCAATGGTTAGGACTTTGGATTTTTAGCCCAGTGAGAAGGAGACAGTGGTGAACCATTCTGGCTTCTAAGTGAAACACGTAGACCAGTAATTCTCAAAGCATAGTTCCCTGACCAGCAGTGTCAGAATAACCTGATAACTTGTTGAAAATGCAAATTATTAGGTCCTCACTTAAACCTATGGAATCAGAAACTCTGGGGGTGGCATCCAGCAATCTAAATCTTAGGAAACCCTCTTGGTGATGCTGATGCATGATAGACTTGGAGACCTCGACTATGGCTGTGTGCTCTCTCTCCTCATTGTATCCCTCCAGAGTCAGAGGCACCATCTTCCATGAAGGTTTGAGTGCTATATTTCATCATATATATCAACACTGTTAGGTTCCTGTAAGAATATGATAGAATCCCTACAGTTGATACTTTCAAAAGCCATCAGATCCACACATGCTGGAACTTGCACATCTCACCATCACTTCCATCCTTCATCTCCATTTTATTTTAATTAATTGATTAATTAATTAATTATTTTTGAGTTGGAGTCTCACTCTGTCACCCAGGCTGGAGTGCAGTGGTGTGATCTCGGCTCACTGCAACCTCCACCTCCTGAATTCAAGCAATTCTCCTGCCTCAGCCTCCTGAGTAGCTAAGATTACAAGCATGCGTCACCATGCCCAGCTAATTTTTGTATTTTTAGTAGAGACAGTGTTTTACCGTGTTGGCCAGGCTGGTCTCAAACTCCTGATCTCAAGTGATGCCCCCACCTCAGCCTCCAAAGTGTTGGGATTACAGGTGTGAGCCACTGCATCTGGCCCATCTCCATTTTAAGATCCTCCCAATGGCATTCTTAAAGCCATTGGTGATTATATCACACTCTTCACCAAAGGTTTGCTTCTCCCTTGAACAGTTTTATGAAGTATATCCTCATTTTGGTAATTTTATTTTGTAAAATGATTCTATCTGTTTGAAGTATAGCAGGAAGAGCAGTTTGCAACACAGCATGAAGGTTATTTAACTTGTATGTAACGGGTGTGAATTGTTCCATGATACTAAGTTTAAATTATTAAGTATGGCTCAGTCCCTACCCACTTCAGACTTTTGCCCTCCCTTGAAACTGTAAAAGAATGCCAGGGCTTGGGCAACCTCCATGCAGCCATAATAAACAACCCTTCCCCAGGATTTCTGGATTGTTTTACCATGTATAAGAGTAATCAAGTTCGAGGTTACTGTAGCCTAATATTATTCAAATTGTCGGTCAACTCTATTAATTTCATAAGTACAATTTTTTAGAAATATATTCAGCATTAACTCGGTGACTTTCCTTAAAAGCCAAAGAAAGAGTCCTCACAGTCTAGTAGTTAATAATTAGTTCTTATGAGTTATATATAACTACACTGTATGCAAGTCCTTAAGATTCCAATGTGGACACTCAGCTTGCAGAATTCTTGGTGACGATATCAAGCTGGCAGTTTACAGATACTATTCAGCAGGTGTTTTGAACTCCATCTGGATCTCGTTCTACCAACTAGACCTAGAATTCCATTAGCTGAAAGTTGGATTTTTACTTGGTCTTAAAACAAAAAATAAAATAAAATCTAAGGCTTCAAAAAAGAGATGCCACAAACTGTATGTGTAATTCAGATTCTAGCATTTCCAAATATGAGAATTATTACCATGGTATTTGTTCAAATGTAATCATCTGAGCATATTACTACACATATCTGTGACTCCTATTACAAGCAGTTTTAGCAACAAAAATAATAACAATTTTTCAAGGATTATAAGTTCATGTAATTGCACATGGGAGAAAAATATGGATGTTAAAGCCTCTTAAATGTGGAAATGCAGCACATTGTTGCCTATTATATTTTTCAGGTTCTTGTTCACGAATTTCATCTTAACCTATATTCTTTTTTTTCTTCAATTTTGCCCTTTTGTGCATAGATTTCAGGAATATAATTAACCATTGCATGGAATTTAAAATATTTCTTGATACTGGAGTTCTCTTTGCTATCAAGTGGTTATTTCAAATTTTATTTACATAGTTATTATTTTTCATCTGGGGACACATTCATTTGTTTTCAATGTAGTTCTAAGTGTGACTTTCCAAAGTTTATCATCCATCCATTCATACTGATTTAAAATAAAATTAACTTGTTATGAAACCTCTCAGACCAAGAGGATGCTTGCCTTTCTGAAAAATATTTTTTTTCAGTATTTCTCCATCTAGTGTTCAAATTAGCTCTGAGAAACCACAAGCAAGATTAAAGGTAATTGACTTTAAACTTTCCTTTTCATTCAGTCATCCAAAGATTGTGGATACCTGCTGTGTTTCAGGCACTGTGCTTGGGGCTGAGGATTCAAAGATAAGTAAGAAATGGAAATGGCTTTGGAACTGGAAATAAAAAAGACTTACCTTAGATTTCACTTTAATGTTTGTTTTATAATCAAATTGAGGTATAATAAGTCAAGTTATAATGATTTGTTTAAATAATATGTTTAACTCCCAAAGCAGACTGCGTTGCATGTGAATTTACAGTCTGGTCATATATACATTTTGAAGCAAACTCATCTTTTTCATCTCTCTAAAATGCCAGCTATTAGACTATAATGCTTCACATAAGCAGGGGTTGGGGAAGAAAAAAGACATATTTTTCGTCTTTTTTAAGGTGCAAGGAATCTGAAATCTTTATTTTCCATTGACAATCCTTGATTAATTTTAAAATGAAATTAGCATGCCTGTACCTTCCTCTACTTGTCACTATAATGTAGTCTGTGCTGCAAAACAACCCTGAAGTTCAGAGATTCAACACAATAGAAGTTCATTTTATAATCATGTGAAGTCTCATGTGGGTCTGGTACCTCTCCTGGGAAGCTCTTCTTCAAACATTGGTGACTCAGGGATTTGGGCTGCTTTCATCTTATAGCTCTGTCATCTCTATCATGGAGCTTTCAAGGCCTCTGTGACAAAGAAAGAGAGAAATAGGGGGTAGTGCACCAACTCATACTTACCTCAACCCAGCAATGAACACACATCATTAACGTTCACAGTCGGTGGACCAGAAGCAGTCCTGTGGTCTACCAGACCAGTCATGTTTCATATTTCAGTTTTGTTCCTCATCTCAAGACTGAATTGGCAGTTATCAAGTAACCCATCAAACCATATATATAATATTATATATAATTATATATATAATATATTATATTATTATAATATATATATTATTATATTATATATATATTATATATATATTATATATTTATAATATATATATAATATATATAATATATATATTATATATATATTATATATATATAATATATATAATATAATATATAATATATTATAATATATTATATATAATTATATATTATATTATATTATTATAATATATTATATATAATTATATATTATATTATATATAATAATTATATTATAATATATTATAGATAATTATATATAATAAATTATATTATTATAATATATTAATATTTTATTATATATATATATATATATATATATATATATATATTTTCAGAGTCTTGCTGTGTTGCCCAGGCTGGAGGGCAGTGGTGTAATTACAGCTCACTGTGACCTCCACCTCCCAGGTACAAGCAATTCTCGTGCCTCAGCCACCAGAGTAGCTGGGATTACAGGCGTGTGCTACCACACTCAGCTAATTTTTGTATTTTAAGTAAAGACAATGAGGTTTTGCACTGTCTCGAACTCCTGGCCTCAAGTGATCTTCCTGCCTCAGCCTCCCAAAGTGCTGGGATTACAGGTGTGAGCCATAGCTCCTGGCCTGTCAAACCATATTCTAATAACCATTTTCTCCTACTGTCAACTTACAACGAAGTGTTAGATTGGGGTTTAAATGGACACTGCTATGCTATCTAGCTATGCAGTGTACATTTCTTAAAAACTATGATACCGTTCTCCAAGCACAGTCATGTGTTTTTCCAAAGATTGTTTGCTGTCATCATTCCAGAAGTTATCCATCTATTTGATCAAATTCCAGTACATAAAATATATTTCAAGTTGCTATATTTTAGCCAGTCTACTTCTGCTCTCTGGTGTTAATAGCATATACATTTTCCAATGAATCAATTTCAGATGGTTTCTATTGCCTTTGAAATGAGGATCTTCTCAAGGACCTAGAATGTTCAGTGTAAGCTAGAGGGGATAACCAGAGATTCTTTAAGAATAATTCAGAGTTTCTCCCCAAACTGAGAGGACTGTTTTCTCCATATGTATAGCAAATGAAGATAGATATTGGAATCATTCTCAAAAAGCACTCTTATTCCATGAGGCAGAGCTTGGCTGGGTACTTCCTAACTTCTACTTTGCCAAATAGATGTCCTATTTATGAATATTTCACTTGTTTCTAGCTTTTATAGGTACATACTGTGATGTGCCACCTGGCTATCCCTTCAAGAAAGGATTTGTTACCCTAGCTGCTGAGACTACAGCTAGCAGGCTGCTCTTAAGTGCTAGCCCTATGTCAGGGGTCCCTGAGACCATCCTTAGGCTTGATGATTTATAAAAGGACTCACAGAACTCAGGAAAGCTGCTATACTCATGTTCCAGTTTAATATAGTAAAAGATATATATTAATATAGTAAATATTAATAAATATAGTAAAATATAGTAAAATTAGTAATATTACATAAATTTAGTATAATATATAAAATTAGTAATACAGTAAAAATTAGTAAACATAGTAAATATAGATAATATAGTAAAAGAATACAGATTAACAGTGAACGGCTGGTTTTAAAAGAAGCATAGGATAGTGGCCGGGTGTGGTGGCTCACGCCTGTAACCCCAGCACTTTGGGAGGTCGAGGTGAGTGGATCACAAAGTCAGGAGTTCGAGACCAGCCTAACCAATATGGTGAAATCCCATCTCTACTAAAAATGCAAAAATTAGCCAGGCCTGTAATCCCAGCTATTAAGGAGGCTGAGGCAGGAGAATCGCTGGAATGCAGGAGGCAGAGATTGCAGTGAGCCAAGATCGCACCACTGCACTGCAGCCTGGGCGACAGAGTGAGACTCCGTCTCAAAAACAAAAAAACAAAACAACAACAACAACAAAAACAGCATAGGAGAAAGCATGTGTGATCTTGGGGTTGTGCCAGCAATGCTTCATCCTCTCAGCAACAGTGTGTGACAATGCATAGGAAGGATTGCCAACAAGGAAGCTCACCTGAGCTTTGGTCTCTAGGGTTTCTACTGGGGGCTAGTCACATAGGCCTGGGGTACCTCCATGACTGCTCAGTCTCCGGCGTCCAACCAATACAGCATGACCAGGGCCCCAGGTGAACAAAAACAGGCATTCACCATAAATCACATTGTTTGCATAAACTATCTGGCATATCCCAAGACCCCAGATACACAAAGACATTTGTATCAGGCTAGGTATTCCAAAGGCTTATAGGTTATCTCCCAGGATGGTCAAGGGGCCAGTCTTCTCTTTAAAATGTGCAGAGTTTGAGTACCCCAAGTCCACTGGGTTAACCTTGCACAAGCTTGCATTCATTCATTCATTCATTCATTTACACAAGCTTCTTCAAGAATCCCCTCAGCTTTAGAGAGTTGCCTTGCCCAAGATTGGGCTCCTTCCTGGGGCAGCCAATGTTCACTGACTCAGAGAATCAAGAGTTTAAATGTTTTACCATTTCATCCCCAAAACAGGACAACTCACATTCCAGCCTTAGAGCTCCCCAGCAGGTTAGCTGAAGATGTTATTGGGCCTACCTCACAGCTTGACTTCTATTTCTGCCCCATTCCTGCTAACTTCCCCTATTCTGCATAGCTGTTGACCCCACGGAAACCACTTAAAACATCTACATGCTAAACTCTCAGAGTCTGCTTCTCAGGGAACATAACATGTGGCAATATGTGAAGCTGAATTGAGTATTTTCATGTGTAGATCATTTTGTTACTTCTAAAAGATTATCTTGATTTAAGTCTTCAGGAACATTTTTAACTAATTACATATAGCTCTAAAATTAATATGGAAATTGAGTTTAGAAAAAAATGCTTTTTCATAGAATCCCAATGTATTTCATCACCAGGTGGTAGAGAAGTTCATCCATCTCACCCCACTCTCGCCAGTGTTAGACTTCATCCTATTGATTGTAGACCTTCTGTATAAGACAATTGGAGTTTTCTTCCTGTTTCCTCAGGTTATTAGCTTGACCTCTTTTGATACCATTGCAGATCTTGTCAATATGGCCATATATCTGAGAGTTTGTTCACTGGCACAATTTTATTAGGCGAGGATTTTTTTTTCTGTAATGGTTTCTTGGGTAAGAGTCTCATCACTTCATCATAAGTAAGCTTAGGAGGCCTGGGGACAAGATTACTTCCATGGTACCACTCACCATGGTAGAAGAGACTTCAATCACTCAGAGAATATCTGTGGTGCCAAACTCCACACATGGTTCTTTCCATAGTTCTGAGGTTATTGATACTTATCCAAGAGCAACGCTCTTGATAGTAACAACAGACATGATGTCATGATGGTCATTGTGAATTCACTTAGGCCTGCATGGCAATCGCTAATAACCCTTTGTTTCCATGCCACCTGTCCAGCAAATATTTCTGTTTCTTTCCCTGTGTATCAGGATTTGTGGATAAATAATGTATGATTTTAAATTAAATGCATTGGATGAATTAAGTTTTGAAATTAAGGAAATTTAAAAATTGTCTTTACCTTCTGAATCAAGCAACACCAGAGCTGAGAATTGGTGAATGAATTAGCAAGCTAGCCTGAAACCCATTCAGCTCTTTGTTGGGGACCTGAAGTCATGTGTTCATTTCAACTATTCCTCCCATGGTGAGAGGGTGGTGGTGTGTGGCTCTTTCCTTTACCCTCCCCCCAAGTCAGGGCTGTTGTATTAGTTTATCATTGCTGCTATAACAAATTACCATAGACATAGTGGCTTGAAACCACACAAATTTATTATCTTCTGGCCTTCTGGGAGTCAGATGTCTGAAATGGGTTTCACTGGGCTAAAATCAAGGTGTTGCCTGGATGTGTTGGTTCTAGAGGTTCTGGGACAGAATCTGTCGGCTGACTTTTTCTAGCTCCTAGAAGCTGTCTGCACTGCTTGGCTCATGGCCCCTTCCTCTATCTTCAAAGGTAGCAGTGTAGCATCTTGACATCTCTCTCTGACTCTGACCCTCTTACCTCCCACTTTCATTTACAAGGACACTTGTGATTACACTGAGCCCACCCAAAAAATGAAGAATAATCTCCCCATCTCAAGATCTTTAGCTTAATTATATCTGCAAAGTCCCTTTTGCTAAGTAAGGTAACATATTCACAGGTCTCAGGGGTTGGGATGCAGACTTCTATGGGGACACCCGGCAGTAGAAATCACAGCTGAGACTCTGTAGCAGTTGTGGACTCTAACGCTAAGAGTATCATTTTTCCCCCCATTGGTGTAGGTGTTCAGCAGTGGCTGTTTTGAATCATGCCTGGTTCCCATGTCGTTTGGATCCTTGGCCTATTGCCAGGTCAGTTCCCTTATTACTACTGCCTGGTTCTGGATTTGATCTTCTCCCTGTTCTTTAGAGGTAACGTGTCTGCTTTAAGTCATTGCTTCCTTCATAAGCTGCTTGCTTCTTGCAGGAGACATCTTTGCACTCTGAGTACCAAGCAGACCATCTTAGGACAACCCTCTCCCCCAGAAAAATTGAGTTCTACAAGTTTGGAGGAACACTCAGAATATATCTTCCCCCAACCAGGCAACATTAGAAAACAAGCAATTGTTGGGGCATTATGGTAGGAAAATGTGTTTGCCACCAGATCCCATTGTGTAGAAATTTCCATTTCCATTTAGCCACATTTTTCTCCTGTTTTCTTCTGGCTCACAGGTGCTCAATAGCACTCACCTAGTTGGTTTTGCACAAGATACTTTGCGGTATCTCTGCTTAGAATGTCACACCATAAATGCAGTTGACTGATCTTTGCATTCTTTGACAACTATAGTTCCATCTGCTCTATTTAGAAACTAATGTAATTACTTAAACTGGAGAAGACAGAACTACTTTTGCAGCAAAGTCAAAACATGCATCAACACTCGTCTCTATAATTACTTCACCAGGAAAAAAAAAAAAAGCATCCTCACTGGCTTTTCTTACAAATGAAGAGAGTCTTCCACAGTAATTGGCTACTTACTAAGTAATATATGTCAGATCTGTTCCTCTTACCATAAATCTAGCCTGGCCATCTCACCCTAGGTGTCAAGAAGTCATGTAGACAAAACTCACATACTTCTGTTGCATGACACAGCATTGAAGAATTATGGCCTTTTGAGTTAAATAGATCTGGGTTTGAATCTTTGACTCTGCTACTTTCTTGCTAAGTATTACTGGGCAAGAACAGGGGTTGGCAAACTTTTTCAGTTAAGGGCCAGTTAGTAAATATGTTAGCATTTGTGGACCAAATGGTCTCTGTTGTAACTACTCCACTCTGCTGAAATTGTGTCATACGTAAACAAATGGGCATGGATATGTTCCAACTAAACTTTATTTACAAAAATAGGTTGAATTTAGCCCATGGGCTGAATTTTGCTGAATCTTGGACAAGACACATAAACTCTCTAAACCTCATATAATATTCATAAAGAATATTAAGAGCTAACTTCCAGGGTATTGTTAAAATTTAATCAGATATTGTATATTAAGTGCTTGGAATAGTACCTGACACAAAGTAGATGGTCAACATACCTTCAGGTAAATGGATGGATAGATAGGTGGATGGATGAATAAGAAGGATGGAGAGAGGAAGAGAGGTAAAAAGAAAGAAAAGGAAGGATCAACCATATTAAGATTAAATATATTGAACAATGATTTGCCAGTTTATGGGAGAGAGCTCTCCCTAGCTATAGGGATAATGGACTGAATGAAACTAATTGAGCAGGTGACTCATGTTTTGTCACGTGGAATAGAGCAATAGCGCTATACAGGTGAGCTGCAGAGACTTGTGGCATCACAAAAAAAAAGGTGGTTGAAAGCTTCTCTGCTGTCATCTCCCCTGTCCCACTGAGGAGCTATTTTCTGTATCAGAACCATCCTACCTTCCCTCTGCCTCCTTATAACAACCCACTGTGACTCCAGGGAGATTATTAAAATCCCCCACGGAAGTGGAGGCCCAGAGTTGCCTATCTCCTGACTCCACTGCACTCCCATTTGCCTTCTTTCCCCACCCTGTGTGTCTTGTTAATGTCCAGATGGGGTGGGGGCTGTGATGGCTCCTAGGCCTTAGGGTTTTAGGTCTGTTTCTGCAAATGACTGACCTGTTCTCCCAGTTGTCCCAGCAGGCATTACGGATGGATGAAACCTTGCCTATAAAAGTGTGCATGTGCCCAAGAAAAGACAAGACTTCACAATATTTGAGCAAATGACAAGCATTCCCCATTCGTTACTGATCATCCTTAGAAACAAACTGCAGCGGCTCACACTGGAGCATCTGGCTGTAAAATTTTGTCTCTGAAACAGACTGTCTCAGATTGCAACTAAAATGTTGGAGAAGCTTTTTTTAAAAAAAAAATACGAAAGACAGGAAATAAAACTACTCCACAACACTGAAAACTAGGGCTAGAAATTGGAGCTTTCTTCCAAAAATAGGACATGGAATTGTTCTGTTGAAGCCTCCGTAGATGTGAGCTCAAATACAGGTAAAAGGACCGTTTTTGCCTTACCTTGCTAATTATTAGTTTAGAAACAGGACATGGGGCCAGGCATGGTGGCTCATGCCTGTAACCCCAGTGCTTTGGGAGGCCAAGGCAGAAAGATTGCTTGATGCCAGGAGTTCAAGACCAACCTAGGTAACACAGTGAGACCTCATCTCTACAAAAAAATTAAAAAAATTAGCTGGGTGTGGTAGCATATACCTGTAGTCCCAGCTACATGGGCATGGGAGGTTGAGGCAAGAGGGTTGTTTGATCCCAGGTGTGCGAGGCTGCAATAAGCTCTAGCCTAGGTGAAAGAGACCCTATCTCTTAAAAAAATAAAAAATAAAATAAAATAGAAAGAAAGAAAGAAACATGGAAAAACAGTCTGCCTACCACATTAGTGCTACTTTTCATGATAAACATATGATTAGGTAGTATGATTAAATGGATCCAGAATTTTATGAGACTTTAAGCATGAAGAAAATAAAATCGTACCAAAAATCTGAAACTCACACTTTTAGAATCTCCTAGATGTGCCCGGTCATCCCGGGCATTGCTTTCAGCAGTATGTTCATTATTCAGACAAAAAAAAGTAAAAGATACAGAAATTGATGACCCTTTACAGGAGATCAGAGAGGCCCAGTGTGATAAGGCTTCACGGTAATGTGTAGCTGTGATTTAAATGAATGACAGTGGTTCTCATCCAGGGAATTCTCATTAAGCTCATATTCTGAAGGCAGAGAGTTGAGGTTTTGGCCAAGGAACCTGAGAATTTCCTTCACTCTCACTGCTAGATTGGGGACCCAAGAAGTAACAGATCCTTAGTGGTCAAGTCGGGCCTTAGGAAGGCCTCCCATGGCCTGGGCTATTGTACAGATTCAACTCTCAGCCCTGATGCACCATGATGGATTCCACCTGACCCTCTGTGGCTACTCCCAGGGGGCCCGTTTCTCCGAGCTGGCTCAGGCCCTGTGAATGTAGGTCCTCTCTGACTTCTTGGAATCTTGCAACTAAAGAGGCCTAGCTGGGGCTGGTCAAGGCAGGATGAGAAGTCTAGAAGCTAAAAAGTGTAGAGGGCAATGTAGAAAAAAGGAGGGTAGCTTGCTGCATTTAGTAGTGTACTGAAGAACTGATTTTCTACGCTTGCAAAACAGTTCCCTTTGGTTGTTATTGAGCAAATTTTGGAAACATGCAACTGAATAGGGCAGACATCCTGTGGCCAGTGGGTTCTTAGTCTAATCAGAAACTCAGCTGTAGAGTGGTAAGTGTTAGAATGGAGATGTGTGCAAGTTCAAAGGGAACAGAGAGCAGAGACTTCTTACCTAAGCTTGAAGGTAAGGAGAATCATCTGAAAAATGGGAAGATCACCTGTCCAAGTAGCTTAATGCAGTGGCTGTATGACTCAGAATTTCCAAGAGATATTCAGTTTTTGATAGCTTTTTTTTCTTAAACTAGATGAGCCTCAAAATATATACAAGTAATTTGACTTTTATGTGAATTTTTTAAATGTTTGGCTTAGAAAAATACGGTCACTGAAAACACAAAAGCTCGATAGTTAGTCTCATGCTGTTAGCTGATATCGAAAAGTGTTTAGCATCAAGACAGCCAGTATTGCTGGCTCTATTCTGGTTTTGGATGGATTGCTGGCATCCATTCTGATTTTGATGAAAAGTTCCATTTTGTAGAAATGTTCTACAAAAGTTCCATTTCTACAAAATGGAACTTTTCATCAAAATCAGAATGGATTAGGTAAAGCATATTTGTGAACAAGCACTCAAGGTAGGAATATGTAAAATAAATGGACTCATTTCAGTATATGGCCCTTCCTTGTGAGTGTTCAACCATTATCAGATTATCAATCACTGATTACCTGATCTCCGAGTTGACTGTTTTTCTCTCTCATTGTGTTGGTTGATCCTGTGCCCATCACCACTTGTTGTTTCTAATAATGTTCCTCTGAGAATTATAGACTCACCCACCCATCCATCACTTGGGTCTCTTTACTTCTCTGTGCCCTGGTGTTCTGAGATTGAGATGTGGCATAGCCCCAGCTACCTCTGGAGTTGAGGTTGAAGAGAGTGGTAGGGGCAGAGGATGGGAGAGGGAAGACAGAGACTGACAAACAGCCACTCAGATGGAGGAACAGTCTGCTACCCAGACTCAATTTCACAGAAAGAATTAAAGAAAAAAAAAAACTAGAAAAGGTTCTGGTATGTTTCATATGCTAGGTGCTCTATATGTTTCAATTCACTTCATAGTACATACCTATTCATTCCTTTATTCGTTCTCCCTCTTTCATTTTTCTTCTTTCTGACACACGACTTAGCAAATTAAGTCTTTTTAAATCTCTGGTTTATGCATAATAAGAACGTGCCCCAGAGAAATTAAACATCTTCTCCAGGACCCTGGAGCTAGTAGAGGTTAAGCTGGACCTCACAGTGAGGACTTTCAGCTCCAGAACCCAACTCCTTTGCCATTGTCCCTTGTCCCATCCATTTTACTGCAGTTGCAGACCACTGATTCTGCAGTTATTTGTGGGGCCGCTGTGTCAGTGTTCAGCTTTTTACCTGCTTTGAAAGAAAGACATTTAACAGTGTCTTGTTAAAGAGAATGCTTGGACCTGACCCTGTCTCCTTTTCACTTTGGCTGCCAGGATGCCTCAAGCCAAATTTGGAACTTGACTGTGGTACCTCTGGAGTCCCTTAGGGCTGACAGATGTGTGCCCTTCTGGCCAAGGTGTTCCTCACCGTATATGCTAGTCCTGACTTTTTACGCTTGTTTGCATTTTGCCATTGTAGGCTGCCTCAAGCCCTTTGTGGAATGTGGCTGTGAATAAATAAATAAATAGCTAACTGAATACAAAATGTGTTATGCATGTATCCCTAATGATTGTTAATTAACTATGATTTGCAGCTGCTCCCATATTTCCCACCACTCCTGGCCCCTCAAATCTGGATTTCTGAACATGCCTGGCGTTTCTCCTTTACTCTCTTCAGAACATTCAGAACTGAGTTGGGTTATGGGGACCAAGACTCTTTCCCCATCCTCATTTCAACCTAAGCAGTTCTGAATAGTTTGTGCCTTTGACACACTTCTCCCAAAGTGCTACTTGAGGTCTAGCCTTTTACTTTTAAAAATCGTTAATTTTTTTCAATAGTTTGAGCACCTCAATAAATGCATTGGGCTACTTTCAATGTTAATAACTCATGCTGTTCTAACCTTATGTTCCTGATAAAGGAATTCTCTGCCGTTTAAGGCTCTGGGATGAATAACAGCTGAGTGTTTCTATTGTCCTCTTAAAATGGAGATTACTATATGTTGAATCACAACAGAACTACTTTTTTATAGACTGTGAATAGCATACAGGTCCATCATGTTGTTGCAGGCAGCGCCAACAGAATGGATAATGGCAAGCCAATTATTATAAATAATGCCTTGTTTCCCTTTGGCCCCTGTGCAAATTTCACAGAGCAGGATTCTATGAAAGGCTGGTAGGTTAAGTTAAATATGACAGTGTTCACCCCAGCACCTAGGACAGTGCCTGGTACAAGTCATGGCTTCATGCTAGCTGAATCAGAATCTGAGTTCAGCAGGGTTTTTTTTTTTTGTTTGTTTGTTTGTTTGTTGCTATTGTTTTGTTTTCCTTCGTGGGGCTGGGGCAGGTGTGGCAGGGTATGAGCTCAGGTGTATTGCAGAGCTCCTAGACAGATGAGCAGAATACTGTTTGGTGAGGCTGGTTGCAGTAGAACCAAAGGAGGAAGAAAACAGAAAGGGACATTCTAGCAGAGCAAATGGGGCTAAGGTTAGCCTGAGAGAAGAGCCAAGGCTGGGTGTGGGAACACAAGTCCAGGACTCAGAGTTCAGGAAAATCAGGAGTCTCCTGAAGTATGGGTATGGAGTTGGCTAAAACAAGGGGTCCCAGAAGAAGCACGTGGATGAAGTGAATATGCCAGAGTTTCTGCCGGGTGGGATGTTGACATGCTTTGCAAAAATTCCAATAACTCGAAGGCCCTAGCAGAATGATGCCATGTCCCTCAGGCCTCTCACATGGAGATGGAATAAGCACTGAATTCTATCACCATTTCATCCCATTCCGTAGAGTTTAACCTTGAGAAAGTGTAACTATTCTCTCTAAACCTTAGTATCCTTGTTTTAAAAATGAAGGTGCTGAAACAGGAGAGTTCCCTGCTTCCCCCACATGACATGTGACAGGGGTATGCCTCTCTGTTCAGCTGCCACAAGCTCAAACCCCTTACGGGAGGGGGAGCACACAGACAGGCAGGTTTAGGAGCCAGGGCAAGGACTTTGGCCTCTGGCCCCCTGGTTGTCTCTAAGGGTGGGTGTCTGCGACTCCTGAAGCCCAGCGGGCATGTTACAGCATGCTCTTTTGGCTTTGCAATCTGCAGACAGCTAAAGTTAACCAGCTCAGTGCCCTCTTGGCACCCGGGTTCTTGTTTGGAGTCTAGGAAGAATGAGGCTGCACATGGACTTAAAGAGTGAATGTGGGGGTCTTTTTGAGTGGTGGAGGTGGCTCTCCGTGGGATGGATGGGGAGCTAGAGGGGGAATGGAGTGGGAAGATGATTTTCCTTCTTTTCTCTTCTTCTCTGCTGCCCCATTTTGCCATTCGTCCGTGCATTTCTTTCTGGAGCCTGGGGTTCAGGGTTTATATGGATGCAAGATAGGGGGACATAGCAGGCCAAAAGGCAACTTTTTGGATGCAAAAACAGGAATGCCTGTTCTCACTGAGGGCTGTGGGTTTCTTGGCTTGAAGGTGGGGGGCCTTTGCCCGGGAACTGCCTTCTTCAAACCAGTATTTCCCTATCTCCTGTCCGTATCAGTGCTGGACTCCATGTTCTGTAAGATCCATGCAGTTTTTTTACCCCAGGCTAACATGCATTTTGAAGCCATGAACTTTTCTGTTTCTAATCTTGTTTTTTATTTCGACATCTATTGTTCTACACTGACTTCTATTTAACATCCAGCTACTGTACTAGCAATTGTAATTCCACCCAACAATGGAGCCAAAGACCAAGCTGAGTGGATTGTGGGAAGTATAATTTAATGTAAATGCCTCCCTTAAAATTTAAGTCTGGCCGGGCACGGTGGCTCATGCCTGTAATGCCAGCACTTTGGGAAGTCAAGGTGGGTGGAACAGGAGGTCAGGAGATTGAGACCATCCTGGCTAACAAGGTGAAACCCCGTCTCTACTAAAAATACAAAAAATTAGCCGGCATGTTGGCGGGTGCCTGTAGTCCCAGCTACTCGGGAGGCTGAGGCAGGAGAATGGCATGAACCCAGGAGGTGGAGCTTGCAGTGAGCCGAGATGGCGCCACTGCACTCCAGCCTGGGCAGCAGAGTGAGACTCCGTCTCAAAAAAAAAAAAAATTTAAGTCCATAGAGAAAAAGCTACATGTACTCCAAAGCTAGCATTACACAAATCAATGTCATACCCATGATTTTCAGTAGGCAGTCTCCATATGCCAGGACACTGGTAGAGGAACAATATATTTTCTAAGGTAGAGGCATATTCAAATTTAATTCATGTTAAGGAGAGCCCTGTCCTTTAGGATGTAGGTGTGCAGAACGGTTAGCAAAGTGTCAAGGAAATTTGAATCTGAGAGTACTTTTTAGAGAACTATGAAATACTTCAGGTGACTGTCCTGACCTCTCTCATTTCACCTCTGCTTTTCTTAACCCTGCCAAAGGGGTCTTTGCCCTTCCTAAGTCCATCACTCAGCCTACTGCTATTAGCTGTTCTCTTTCATAACTATTATTGGATGTAGGTCACCCATGGGAGATGTAATATTAGAGAGGAATGTGGGCATCTGCAATTTAGGAGAAAAAAGTAGACTGGAAGTAGACATTTGAGAGTCACCAGGATCTAGGTAGTAGTTTAATTCATAGTACTAGATGAGATCAGAAAGAGAAGGGAAAGAGCTTGAAAACAATGCCAAGAAATGCAACCATTGAACATCTAGGGAGTGGCCAGCACAGCAAATCCAGAAGGAAAACTGAGAGGCTATAGGATCACTCAGAAGCCAAGGAATTCCATATTTAAAGGAGGATGAGGTCAATGGCATTGTATGCTTGCCAAGCGGCCCCTTAAGAGGGCAATGGAGGAATCCATGGCAGGAGAATTTACAATCCACAGGTGATGGCAAGAGTCTGATAGAATGGGTTGAGGACAAGAAAAGTGGAGATAACTTATTTTTCTCTTTTGATGAATTTGGCTATGTGGTGGGGACAGGAGGTTGTTGGAGAGACCTGGAGATAAGAGCTATGGGTGTTCTTGAGGGAAAAGATTTGGACATGTTTAAATGCTAATGGAAAGGAGCCAGTGGAGATGGGGAGGTTGAAGACAGAAGCAAGAGGGTAATTGGTGTGGGCAAGGCCCGAGGAGCTGGAGGGCAGGCGATCTAGAGCCCAGGGGGAAGGATGCACCTTGCTTTAGGACAGGGCAGAGGGGGAAAGAAAGGAGGCAGGTGATATGGTTTGGCTCTTTGTCCCCACCCAAATCTCATCTTGCAGCTCCCATAATTCCCACTTGTTGAGGGAGGGACCTGGTGGGAGATGATTGAATCATGGGGGTGGGTCTTTCCCATGCTGTTCTCCTGATAGTGAATGGGTCTCATGAGATCTGATGGTTTTAAAAACGAAAGTTTCGGGGGAGGAGCCAAGATGGCCGAATAGGAACACCTCCGGTCTACAGCTCCCAGCGTGAGCGATGCAGAAGACGGGTGTTTTCTGCATTTCCATCTGAGGTACCGGGTTTATCTCACTAGGGAGTGCCAGACAGTGGGCGCAGGCCAGTGGGTGCGCGCACCGTGCGCAAGCCGAAGCAGGGCGAGGCATTGCCTCACTTGGGAAGTGCAAGGGGTCAGGGAGTTCCCTTTCGAAGTCAAAGAAAGGGGTGACTGACGCACCTGGAAAATTGGGTCACTCCCACCCGAATATTGCGCTTTTCAGACCGGCTTAAAAAACAGCAAACCACGAGATTATATCCCACACCTGGCTCGGAGGGTCCTACGCCCACGGAATCTCGCTGACTGCTAGCACAGCAGTCTGAGATCAAACTGCAAGGCGACAACGAGGCTGGGGGAGGGGCGCCCGCCATTGCCCAGGCTTGCTTAGGTAAACAAAGCAGCCAGGAAGCTCGAACTGGGTGGAGCCCACCACAGCTCTAGGAGGCCTGCCTGCCTCTGTAGGCTCCACCTCTGGGGGCAGGGCACAGACAAACAAAAAGACAGCAGTAACCTCTACAGACTTAAGTGTCCCTGTCTGACAGCTTTGAAGAGAGCAGTGGTTCTCCCAGCACGCAGCTGGAGATCTCAGAATAGGCAGACTGCCTCCTCAAGTGGGTCCCTGACCCCTGACCCCCGAGCAGCCTAACTGGGAGGCACCCCCCAGCAGGGGCACACTGACACCTCACAAGGCAGGGTATTCCAACAGACCTGCAGCTGAGGGTCCTGTCTGTTAGAAGGAAAACTAACAAACAGAAAGGACATCCACACCGAAAACCCATCTGTACATCACCATCATCAAAGACCAAAAGTAGATAAAACCACAAAGATGGGGAAAAAACAGAACAGAAAAACTGGAAATTCTAAAACGCAGAGCGCCTCTCCTCCTCCAAAGGAACGCAGTTCCTCACCAGCAACGGAACAAAGCTGGATGCAGAATGACTTTGACGAGCTGAGAGAAGAAGGCTTCAGATGATCAAATTACTCTGAGCTACGGGAGGACATTCAAACCAAAGGCAAAGAAGTTGAAAACTTTGAAAAAAATTTAGAAGAATGTATAACTAGAATAACCAATACAGAGAAGTGCTTAAAGGAGCTGATGGAGCTGAAAACCAAGGCTCGAGAACTACGTGAAGAATGCAGAAGCCTCAGGAGCCGATGTGATCAACTGGAAGAAAGGGCATCAGCAATGAAAGATGAAATGAATGAAATGAAGCGAGAAGGGAAGTTTAGAGAAAAAAGAATAAAAAGAAATGAGCAAAGCCTCCAAGAAATATGGGACTATGTGAAAAGACCAAATCTACGTCTGATTGGTGTACCTGAAAGTGACAGGGAGAATGGAACCAAGTTGGAAAACACTCTGCAGGATATTATCCAGGAGAACTTCCCCAATCTAGCAAGGCAGGCCAACGTTCAGATTCAGGAAATACAGAGAATGCCACAAAGATACTCCTCGAGAAGAGCAACTCCAAGACACATAATTGTCAGATTCACCAAAGTTGAAATGAAGGAAAAAATGTTAAGGGCAGCCAGAGAGAAAGGTCGGGTTACCCTCAAAGGGAAGCCCATCAGACTAACAGCGGATCTCTCAGCAGAAACCCTACAAGCCAGAAGAGAGTGGGGGCCAATATTCAACATTCTTAAAGAAAAGAATTTTCAACCCAGAATTTCATATCCAGCCAAACTAAGCTTCATAAGTGAAGGAGAAATTAAATACTTTACAGACAAGCAAATGCTGAGACATTTTGTCACCACCAGGCCTGCCCTAAAAGAGCTCCTGAAGGAAGCGCTAAACATGGAAAGGAGCAACCGGTACCAGCCGCTGCAAAATCATGCCAAAATGTAAAGACCATCGAGACTAGGAAGAAACTGCATCAACTTACGAGCAAAATCACCAGCTAACATCATAATGACAGGATCAAATTCACATATAAAAATACTAACTTTAAATGTAAATGGACTAAATTCTCCAATTAAAAGACACAGACTGGCAAGTTGGATAAAGAGTCAAGACCCATCAGTGTGCTGTATTCAGGAAACCCATCTCACGTGCAGAGACACACATAGGCTCAAAATAAAAGGATGGAGGAAGATCTACCAAGCAAATGGAAAACAAAAAAAGGCAGGGGTTGCAATCCTAGTCTCTGATAAAACAGACTTTAAACCAACAAAGATCAAAAGAGACAAAGAAGGCCATTACATAATGGTAAAGGGATCAATTCAACAAGAAGAGCTAACTATCCTAAATATATATGCACCCAATACAGGAGCACCCAGATTCATAAAGCAAGTCCTGAGTGACCTACAAAGAGACTTAGACTCCCACACATTAATAATGGGAGACTTTAACACCCCCCTGTCAACATTAGACAGATCAACGGACAGAAAGTCAACAAGGATACCCAGGAATTGAACTCAGCTCTGCACCAAGCGGACCTAATAGACATCTACAGAACTCTCCACCCCAAATCAACAGAATATACATTTTTTTCAGCACCACAACACACCTATTCCAAAATTGACCACATAGTTGGAAGTAAAGCACTCCTCAGCAAATGTAAAAGAACAGAAATTATAACAAACTATCTCTCAGACCACAGTGCAATCAAACTAGAACTCAGGATTAAGAATCTCACTCAAAGCCGCTCAACGACATGGAAACTGAACAACCTGCTCCTGAATGACTACTTGGGTACATAACGAAATGAAGGCAGAAATAAAGATGTTCTTTGAAACCAACGAGAACAAAGACACGACATACCAGAATCTCTGGGACGCATTCAAAGCAGTGTGTAGAGGGAAATTTCTAGCACTAAATGCCCACAAGAGAAAGCAGGAAAGATCCAAAATTGACACCCTAACATCACAATTAAAAGAACAAGAAAAGCAAGAGCAAACACATTCAAAAGCTAGCAGAAGGCAAGAAATAACTAAAATCAGAGCAGAACTGAAGGAAATAGAGATACAAAAAACCCTTCAAAAAATCAATGAATCCAGGAGCTGGTTTTTTGAAAGGATCAACAAAATTGATAGACCACTATCAAGACTAATAAAGAAAAAAAGAGAGAAGAATCAAATAGATGCAATAAAAAATGATAAAGGGGATATCACCACCAATCCCACAGAAATACAAACTACTATCAGAGAGTACTACAAACACCTCTACGCAAATAAACTAGAAAATCTAGAAGAAATGGATAAACTCCTCAACACATACACCCTCCCAAGACTAAACCAGGAAGAAGTTGAATCTCTGAATAGACCAATAACAGGATCTGAAATTGTGGCAATAATCAATAGTTTACCAACCAAAAAGAGTCCAGGACCAGATGGATTCACAGCTGAATTCTACCAGAGGTACAAGGAGGAACTGGTACCATTCCTTCTGAAGCTATTCCAATCAACAGAAAAAGAGGGAATCCTCCCTAACTCATTTTATGAGGCCAGCATCATTCTGATACCAAAGCCGGGCAGAGACACAACCAAAAAAGAGAATTTTAGACCAATATCCTTGATGAACATTGAGGCAAAAATCCTCAATAAAATACTGGCAAACCGAATCCAGCAGCACATCAAAAAGCTTATCCACCATGATCAAGTAGGCTTCATCCCTGGGATGCAAGGCTGGTTCAATATACGCAAATCAATAAATGTAATCCAGCATATAAACAGAGCCAAAGACAAAAACCACATGATTATCTCAATAGATGCGGAAAAAGCCTTTGACAAAATTCAACAACCCTTCATGCTAAAAACTCTCAATAAATTAGGTATTGATGGGAGGTATTTCAAAATAATAAGAGCTATCTATGACAAACCCACAGCCAATATCATACTGAATGGGCAAAAACTGGAAGCATTCCCTTGGAAAACTGGCACAAGACAGGGATGCCCTCTCTCACCACTCCTATTCAACATAGTGTTGGAAGTTCTGGCCAGGGCAATGAGGCAGGAGAAGGAAATAAAGGGTATTCAATTAGGAAAAGAGGAAGTCAAATTGTCCCTGTTTGCAGATGACATGATTGTATATCTAGAAAACCCCATTGTCTCAGCCCAAAATCTCCTTAAGCTGTTAAGCAACTTCAGCAAATTCTCAGGATACAAAATCAATGTACAAAAATCACAAGCATTCTTATACACCAACAACAGACAAACAGAGAGCCAAATCATGAGTGAACTCCCATTCACAATTGCTTCAAAGAGAATAAAATACCTAGGAATCCAACTTACAAGGGATGTGAAGGACCTCTTCAAGGAGAACTACAAACCACTGCTCAAGGAAATAAAAGAGGATACAAACAAATGGAAGAACATTCCATGCTCATGGGTAGGAAGAATCAATATTGTGAAAATGGCCATACTGCCCAAGGTAATTTACAGTTTCAATGCCATCCCCATCAAGCTACCAATGCCTTTCTTCACAGAATTGGAAAAAACTACTTTAAAGTTCATATGGAACCAAAAAAGAGCCCGCATCGCCAAGTCAATCCTAACCCAAAAGAACAAAGCTGGAGGCATCACACTACCTGACTTCAAACTATACTACAAGGCTACAGTAACCAAAACAGCATGGTACTGGTACCAAAACAGAGATATAGATCAATGGAACAGAACAGAGCCCTCAGAAATAACGCTGCATATCTACAACTATCTGATCTTTGACAAACCTGAGAAAAACAAGCAATGGGGAAAGGATTCCCTATTTAATAAATGGTGCTGGGAAAACTGGCTAGCCATATGTAGAAAGCTGAAACTGGATCCCTTCCTTATGCCTTATACAAAAATCAATTCAAGATGGATTAAAGATTTAAACGTTAGACCTAAAACCATAAAAACCCTAGGAGAAAACCTAGGCATTACCATTCAGGACATAGGCATGGGCAAGGACTTCATGTCCAAAACACCAAAAGCAATGGCAACAAAAGCCAAAATTCACAAATGGGATCTCATTAAACTAAAGAGCTTCTGCACAGCAAAAGAAACTACCATCAGAGTGAACAGGCAACCTACAAAATGGGAGAAAATTTTCGCAACCTACTCATCTGACAAAGGGCTAATATCCAGAATCTACAATGAACTCAAACAAATTTACAAGAAAAAAACAAACAACCCCATCAAAAAGTGGGCGAAGGACATGAACAGACACTTCTCAAAAGAAGACATTTATGCAGCCAAAAAACACATGAAAAAATGCTCATCATCACTGGCCATCAGAGAAATGCAAATCAAAACCACAATGAGATACCATCTCACACCAGTTAGAATGGCCATCATTAAAAAGTCAGGAAACAACAGGTGCTGGAGAGGATGTGGAGAAATAGGAACACTTTTACACTGTTGGTGGGACTGTAATCCAGTTCAACCATTGTAGAAGTCACTGTGGCGATTCCTCAGGGATGTAGAACTAGAAATACCATTTGACCCAGCCATCCCATTACTGGGTATATACCCAAATGACTATAAATCATGCTGCTATAAAGACACATGCACACATATGTTTATTGCAGCATTATTCACAATAGCAAAGACTTGGAACCAACCGAAATGTCCAACAATGATAGACTGGATTAAGAAATTGTGGCACATATACACCATGGAATACTATGCAGCCATAAAAAATGATGAGTTCGTGTCCTTTGTAGGGACATGGATGAAATTGGAAATCATCATTCTCAGTAAACTATCGCAAGAACAAAAAACCAAACACCGCATATTCTCACTCATAGGTGGGAATTGAACAATGAGATCACATGGACACAGGAAGGGGAATATCACACTCTGGGGACTGTGGTGGGGTGGGGGGAGGGGGGAGGGATAGCATTGGGAGATATACCTAATGCTAGATGACGAGTTAGTGGGTGCAGCACACCAGCATGGCACATGTATACATATGTAACTAACCTGCACAATGTGCACATGTACCCTAAAACTTAAAGTATAATTAAAAAAAAAATAGAAAAAAAAAAAAGAAAACAACAAAAAAAACCGAGAGTTCCTCTATACAAGCTCTCTCTTTGCCTGAGACCACCTATCCACGTAAGATGTGACTTGCTCTTCCTTGCCTTCTGCCATGATTGTGAGGCCTCCCCAGCCATGTGGAACTGTAAGTGCATTAAACCTCTTTCTTTTGTAAATTGCCCAGTCTCAGGTATGTCCTTATCAGCAGCATGAAAATGAACTAACACAGCAAGTAAAGGGAAATAATTCATTGCAGGGTGGTCAGAACATTCTTTTGGGATGGCCTCTGTTTGCTTCTGTGAAGTAGGAGGTAAGATCATTTCCTGAAGTTGAGGGAATAGAGGAGCATGGTGAAAGTTGAAAAA
The DNA here is from genome assembly GCF_000001405.40 of Homo sapiens. NCBI lineage: Eukaryota > Metazoa > Chordata > Mammalia > Primates > Hominidae > Homo > Homo sapiens. Next base: position 42,614,567 of record NC_000020.11, on the reverse strand, counting down.
AGCTGCAGTGGGGAATAGAAGGGGGTGGTGACAAAGGAGTGTTAGCTCGGCTGACACTGGAACCCACGCTATCACTTGGAGATTGTACAGTTTTCTCCAGCAGTGCTCAGGACCCTGATTGGGGCATAGGTTCAAAGAAAGTTGTGGTTGGATTGGTACAAGGTACTATGGACCTGAATTATATGTTGAAGTCCTAACCCTCTGATCTCAGAATATGACCTTATTTGGAAATACGGTCATTGTGCATGCAGTTAAATTAAGATAAGGTCATTAGGTGTGTGTGTTGGGGGTGTTCAAATCCATTGTGACAGGTGTCCTTACAAAAAGGGGAAGTTTAGACAGAGCCATGCACTTGGGGAGAATGCTATGTGAAATTGAATGCAGAGATCAGGGTGATGCTTCTGCAAGCCAAGAAACACCAGAGATTGCCAGCAAACCACCAGAAGCTAGGAGAGAGGCATGGAACAGATTCTTTCACAGCCCTTCAAAGGAATCCACCCTGCTGACACCTTGATCTTGGACTTTCAGTTTCTAGAACAATAGGATGATAAATTCCTATTGTTAAGCCCCCACCCCCCACCCAGTCTATGGTACTTTGTTATAGCAGCTCTAGCAAACTCATACACAAGGGATGTATATTTTTTTGTCCTTTTCCTTCTTTTCCCCTTCAAGTGGTTGTGAAGGACTGAAAGCAAACGTTTTGAAAGCACATTCTAAAAGTATTATTAAAGAGATAGCTCAAGAAATATTCAAGGTGGGTAGGAAAGGAGATAAAACAGAAGAGACTGAATAGAAAGGAAAAGGAAAGACTAAGGGATTTAGTGTTGAAATTTTCTTTCAGCTTAGACAGTTGTAATTGTGAGTAGCTCATAGAATCTGTCTCTTGGGAAGTCTCAACCCTATTCAGGATTTCCCTGTAAAGGGTAATCTTAGCCTCCAGGTCTGTGCTAAAGTGATCACTCTGCTACTCCTCAAATTAGATCTGCAACTTAGATCATAGCCAAGGTATTTGCAAATAATCATTTCTTGTTAGGCATTGACTTACATTTACATATGATAACCAGAGATCTTATATATTCTCAGAGGGAAGTTTCAAGTTACCTAAGCTGTGTGTGTCTTCAAAGAGCTGCATAACTAGTATGGATTTAACGGGCTATTCGCCCAGTGATTCAGCATTTGCTAGGTTCCAGTTCTCAGAGAATTTGCTCATTAGCTTCAAAAGACAGCTTTTTAATGGAACAAAATAAGGGGCACTGCAAGTTGTGGTTTCAAAAGTTACTGTGATTAAAATCATATGGACAGCTGCTGTTCAGTATGGCATCACCTGGTGTGAATGAAAAAGTGCTCACTGCCAGAAAGCCATTGGGCTGTAAATTATGTTTACTGTACAACTGGCCGCAGTCTGCCAAGTTTAAAGTTTTTGGAATGGTCCATGAATAGACTGTTGAGCAGAAACAACTTTTTCAAAAAAAGTTTTTGCTTCATGGAAGAAAATGTGGAAAATACATGAAAATAAAAATCTTTTTAAAAAGCAGATAATCTCTTGAGTGTTAACATTTAGGGTGTCTATCCATCTGGTCTTTTTTCCCCCTATGCATAAATATACATACATACATTTACTAAATGGGAATCATACTGTAAATACAGTTTTGAAACTTGCTTTAGTTAACATATCCTAACCACATTCCCACACCACAGAAACACTCTTTCCATGGTGGACCATGGTCCATTTTGGGGGTTATCATAATTTATTTAATCGATTGTCTCTCTTTGGAAATTTTGGTTGGTTTTAGTTTTTTTTTTTCTGTTAAAGATGATTCAGTGTATATTTTCAATATATAATGTCTTAAAAGCTTGAGGCTTCTGGGTTTGCATGATAATCTGTTGCATGTCAGCCAGGGAAGCTGGCTGGCATCTGTGGAGCAGACAGCTGTCTACTACTGAGTCCCTCTAGGAGACTTTTTTGAGCTTGAAATACAAGGTCTTTTAGGAGGAGGGCACTGTCTAATATTTACTTTTACACCATGGGGAGGGATTTGATGGAAACAGAAATGCATTCAGAAATGGCTGCATGGAAAATGGGCTTAAATGCAAAGAGTGATGACGTGTAATGTAACAGGGGAGTCTCAGCTGCTGCCTGGGCTTCTGTCAAGTTGAGGCTGTGACTCACAGAAGGGGTTGGGGTGGGGGGTGTTTCTCCCCTCTTCCCCATTCTTTCAGAATCTCCATGACAGAAAATTTGTAAACTGTTCTTGCTGACAGTTGTGCAAAATGAAAAGCTCGGTGGATGTGTGGAGAATACATTTTCCTGACTGCTGTTAAGCATTTGACAAATTGGGAGTTTTGTCATATATCGAAGAACAATGGTGGGAGAGTAGGGAACTGTGTGCGTCACATAAATACAACACACCTGACACTGATGCTCCCTGCATCAGTTGTCTTCCTGTGTGGTGGGGAAGGGGAAGAGTCAGGAGATGGGTGGGTCCAGCAGGTGCTGACCTCATTCAGCAGGAGGCTGAATGATGCAACTCACGACCAAGGGCCCATGTCAGCATGGGTCTTAGGAGGTGCTAGGTTGTTTAGGGTCCTGTTCATTACGATTTTTTGAACCAAAGGGAGATTTCCTGGAAGTCTGATGTGGGAGATCCCTGAAGCCATTGATGGACCAGGCAAGAGCCTCATGTGCTCCAAGAGGTGGGTGAAATAGCTATGGAGCCAGGTGGAGCCTAGTGGGGCTGGATCTGGGCACTGATGGAGGGGTTGGGGAAGAGAAGCATGTTGGTTTATTTCATGGCAGTCTGGGCTGGCTCTCACCCTTGACAGAAGGAATGCCCACAGCCAGGAGGGGATGGTTCCATCTCAAGGCTCAGGGAAGGAAGGTGAGTTTGGATAGAAAGTTCAGTCGCTGTCATTCCTGACCATCTCAGCAATGAGTCACACGTGGAACACAAAGATAAACACATGGAGAGGGCTATGCAGGTGGCGTGACGGGCCTGAGAGTGGACTGGGATACAGGGAAGTGGGAGAGGTGTCAGGCAAACCTGACAACACATCTTTATGCCTCTTTACCAGCTTTGCAACCTTGACAGGCTCAACCTCTTGGAGCCTCACTATTGTGATCTGTACATTGGGATGGTAGTGCCTGCCCTTATGGCAGCGTTCTGAAGATGAAATGAGATAACATAAAAGAAGCACCTCCCCACCCAGTAGGATGGCCACCATGAAAAAGACAGATAATAACAAGTGTTGGAGAGAATGTGAAAAAATTGGATCCTCATACACTGTTGTTGTGAGTGTAACATGGTCAGCCTCTTTGAAAAGCAGTTTGGGAGTTCCTCAAGAAGTTAAATGTACAGTTCCATGCTCAGCAATTCCACTGCTAAGTCCATATCCAAGATAAATGAAGACATACATCCACAGGAAACCTTGTACATGAATGCTCATAGCAGTAGTATTCATGATCACCCCAAAATAGAAACCGCCCACATGCCCATCAGCTGATGATCGGATAAATTAAATATAGCATATCCATACAGTGAACACTTTTTCCACAATAAAAAGGAATGAAGGCATACATGCTGCAACATAGACAAACCTTGAAATAACATGATAAGGGAAAGAAGTCAGACACGAAAGACTAGTGTATTGCAATGTTCAGAATAGGTAAGTCTATAGACACGGAAAGAAGATTAGTGGTTGCCTAGGCAAAGAGTTTGTGTGGAAGTGAAGGGTATGGAATTTCTTTTTGGGGTAATGAACATTTTCTAAAATTGACTTACAATGATGGCTGCATAACTATGTGAATATACGATAATTCACTGCATTATACACTTTAAATGGATGAATTGTATAATTGTATGGTTGTGAGTTTTATCTCACAAAGGGTGTTATCCCCCACAACAACAACAGAAAAAGAAAAAATGTGCCTGACACACAAGCAGGTGACTTATTTATATAATTCTAAACCCCTTCCTGTCTCACAGATTAGTTTGGAAAAGGTTACAGGGCTTCAGTTCTCAGGTTTTCAAGTTCAAATCTACATATTTCAGGTCAGGCATGGTGGCTCACGCCTGTAATCCCAGCCCTTTGGGAGGCCAAGATGGGAGGATTGCTTGAGGCCAGAAGTTCGAGACCAGACTGGTCAACATAGTGAGACCCCATCTCAAAAAAAAAAACAAAAAAAAAAAACAAAACAAGTAAACCCGCAGATCTACATATTTATGTCCTTAACATGTTGTCTGCTCTCCAAAAAGAGACACTGAGCCTTCATTTAAGCCAAAAGTGCTCACAAGGGTGACACCCTTTGTGGAATGAGTGTATTGCAGAAAATCTGGGAGTCTGAGCTAAAAGTCTAAGTTTCTATCAACCAGGTTTTTTTCCCCCCATTTCTACAGAGAGCACTTTTATTCACGTGAAAGTGTCTATGTTGAGTCTGTGTATCACATTGCAAAATAGTCGCTGAAAAAAGCTGGTGTTCCAGAGAAGGAAAGTTCTTCCCATTGTCTAACTTGAGTCTTCCTGCAGTAATTGAAGCCTGCTTCCCGCCACCCATCTGAATTCTGCCATCTGTTGAGGTTGGATGCTTGGAGTCAAATGAAATAAGTGCCTCCTTGGAGAACAGCTCCTGGAGGCCACAGCACATTTGTCACATGTCACTGGGATCTGCATATGGAGGTGAAATGTATATTTTAAAATGTGCTCACGCTCGGCTGCACATTCATCCTGTTCTGAATGTGTTTATCCAATTGCCCATCATAGACCCGCCCTGGGGGGAGTGGGGGTCAGCTGATCTGCTCTTATTTGTCTGCCAGCCTACAGCCTCCCTAGACAGCACACATCCCTGGGCCGCCCTGTTCCTTGCCCTTCTCCTAGAGGAAGAGAAGCTGGAAGGCTCTGGTTTGCAGCTGGTTACTCAGCTCTAAAGATGGATTCCATATCTTGGTAGAAAGAACGAGGCAGCCCAGCTGCTATAGCAGCCAGACCTGGGAGCAAAGAGTCAGTGTTGGATTTGGAGTCAGCAGCCTCCTTTTGAACACTGGCTGTGACACTTAGCAGACATGTGACATTGGCCATAACAAGTGTCCTCTCGTGGCTTCAGTTTTGTCATCAATAAATAAAGGCAAGGACCTAGGTTCCTTAAGGACCCTAAAACTTATGCCTCAAGGATGAAAATGGTTTAATTCAAAGTGTTGGGGGCTGGGTGCGGTGGCTCAAGTCTGCAATCCCAGCACTTTGGGAGGCTGAGGCGGGCGGATCGTTTGCGGTCAGGAGTTCGAGACCAGCCTGGCCCACATAGTGAAATCCTGTCTCCTCTAAAAATACAAAAATTAGCCCGGCATGGTCATGTGTGTCTGTAGTACCAGCTACTTAGGAGGCTGAGGCAGGAGAATCACTTGAACCCAGGAGGTGGAGGTTGCAGTGAGCCAAGATCACGCCACTTCACTCCAACCTGGGTGACAGAAGGAGACTCTGTCTCAAAAATGAAAAGAAAAAAAAGTGTTGGAGTGTTCTGTATTATCTTCCTCATAGAGACGGGGTGGGTGTCTGGGACTAGGGTATTCAAACTCAATCCTATACCAAACCCTGACGTCCTTCCCTGTGATGGCTTTAAAACATGGCCCCCAAATCTTTGACACTCTTCCCATCAAGAATGTCTCTGATCCCTTCCCTTGGGTCTGGGCTGGCTAAAACTGTACCTTCCCCTTGAGAAAAGTTGGAACCACATGGCATTTGAGGGTGGTCTCTTAGGACACTTGTTCCCTTGAAGATCTTCTCCTTCAGAACTCACTCTGTATGCGGTGAGAAGCCTGGACCCCATGGCAAGACCCTAAGTCCGTGCTCCAGGTGACAGTGCCAGCTGGGCTGACCTTCAGCCATCCAGCCCAAGCACGAGGCGTGTGAGAAATCTAGTTGGAAATCAATTCCTTCAGCTCCAGCAGCTCCAGATCTCAGGCATCCAAATCTCCCCTGGCTGTTCCAGTCTTCCCATTTGATATCCCAGACAATATTGAGAAAAGCACGCCATCTCTGCTGGATCCTGTGTGCAAATCCTGCTATGTTGGAACATCCCAGCATTGTTTATCCCCCAGACAGAGTCTCCTTCCTCCTGCCCTGCCCCAAATCAAAGCTATTATCCAAGGACAATGGAGGGATTTTGGTGCTTTTCATTCTGCAACAGAGAGGCAGCTTTGACAGCACGGGTATTTACATCACGTTCTGGGTTTCCAGAGACCTCATATTCATTAATGAATTAATCCTTTCTGGCAACGGTCCTCTTTATAGAGTGGCATCATGATGTGTGTTCATCAGACAAGGGGACTGGGGCAGGGGCTGTGGCTGCCCATGATGCATGAGGCACCTCAGCTGTGGCTATTGAGTACTTATTCCGGAGACATGAGACCATGAGGTGCCAGATGCAGAGTTTGGGCCTTGGAGCCTGGAGTCTGGATGCAAGTCTACCCTCTGGTTATTCCTTGGACAGACAGCTTTACTGGTCTGAGTCTCAGTTTCATCATCTGTAAAATGAGTGGAGATAGTACTCCCACCAGGGCATAGATGATTGGGTGGCACATGAAGATGCTCTGTAAGCTGTGACACACGGCCAGTGTCATTGCTTCTGGTCCACATGAGGATGCCCTTATGAGCTGGTGTTTCAGGGAGGATCAGCAGTTGCACCTGGGATAAGGGTAAGGCTGTGGGCACTGTGAGACCCTCTCAGATTCCCCGGGCCCATGATAATGAAGAAGACCCGGAAGCAAAAGCAAGCGCCCACAGGTCCCTCTGCCTGCTCATTCAGGCTCCCCCGCTGTGCACTCCCAGCCCCATGCAATCCGCCCATGCCCACACCCTCATGCTCATCACCCTCACATCCTGGCTTTCTTGGTTCAGGCATGTTCAGGGCTTGTTTTGTTCTTTATTTTGTTGTTTTATTTTCTTGTGTTCAGGAAGCATTTCATTGTTGCTCCAAGTTTAAGAATTTTCACTGATGAGTGATAAGGAATCAACACTTCAAAGCAATGTCTTGCGTATCCCTGCTCAGCCTCTGAATCTTGGGTTTGGCTGACATATTAATATATTTCTGTGCAGTCCCAGTGGTCATTCCGTTCATGATTGGTGGCTCAGTCCTAACTTCCAGTTCCAAGATCTGGCCTTTACACAGGAAGCTGCTTAGAATCTCTTCCTCCACCTCCCATTTTTTTAAATTGTGGTAAAATACAGGTAACATAAAATATACCATCTTAATCATTTTTAAATGTAGAGTTGAGTAGCGTTAAATACATTGATAATGTGCAACCTTCACACCATCCATCTCCAAAACTCTTTTTCTTGCAAAATGGAGACTCTGTGTCCATTAAATACGAACTCTTCATTTCCCTCTTCTCCCACCCCCTGGTAGCCACCATTCTACTTCCTGTCTCTATGATTTTGACTACTCTTAAGTGTCTCATGTAAGTAGAATTATATAATATTTCTCTTTTTGCGATTGACTTATTTCAATTAGCTTAAGGCTAATCTATGTAGTAGCATGTGTAAGAATTTCCTTCCTTTTTAAGGCTAAATAATATTTTATTCTATGTATGTGCCACATTTTAATTATTCATTCATTCATCCATGAGCACTTGGGTTGCTTCCACATTTTAGCTGTGATGAAAATTTAGCTATGATGAATAGCTGCTGTGAGCATGGGCATACTCAGTGCCACTTGTAGTTCAGGATGAGTGGCCCCATCTAATGGAAATTCAGTGGCAACTGGACACAATGCTTCTCCATGCTGGACAGTCATCATGGCAGAAAAGGCAGAAAAAAATGTCGGGGGTAATGCTCAAATGACCATGTAGAGCAAATAAATTAATCACATTGAGTGTGAGGGAAGAAAGCCAAAAAAGTGGGGATCCCAGCTCAAAAGCTATTTTTAAATCTTGGACAAGTAACTCAGTTTCTTGGAGCCTCAGTTTCATCATCTGTAAAATGGGGATCATGCTTTCTATATCACAGGCTCATTTCTCTGTCGTATGTGCAGTTCACTGACAGAATGGAGTGAACATGTTTTATCAACCAAAAGGTATTATATGAATGGCGGCTGTCATTCCCCCAGGGCCTGGCACATAGCAGGTGCTCAAAAAGTATTGGCAGAATTAATTATTGCTGTTTTCTTTGCTGAAATCTGTGAGCAGTTGGCAAGGCTGTAGCCCCCATACTTTTTCTGTTCTCATTCTCTTGCCCTCAGATTGGCTTTGCTGAGGTCCCAGATCTGCTGGGCTGGCCCTACCACATCAGCCTTGGTAGGTGCCTGTGTGTGTGTACATGTCTCCCTGCAAGAGTGTGTGGCCCAGAAGGTCAGTTCTATTTATCTTGGGGTGGAAGGGGTCCCTCAGGGAATTAGAGGTGAGTGAAGTGGAGTCACAAAACACAGCCAGAGAAAAATCTGGGCCCAGAGAAGAGCCAACGGGGCTCACAATGTGGTCTAAGCCAGCATTTCTCAACATCGTGCACAAGAATCACTGGCGATTCTGTTAAAGGCAGATTCTGATCCTGTAGCCTGAAATTCTTCATTTCTGTTCTACTGCCTGCAGTCCACCAACCACACTTTGAGCAGCAAGGCTCTGAGACCATGCCTCCATCAGGCTCATGAAGGATCGTGGCCACATGACATTTCTGGGTCTTGCGCCACATCTATAGAATCTGACTCTAGGGCCAGGGCCCTGGAACCTGCATGTTGACACATTCTCCAGGTAATTCTGATGCATCCTGAAACCTGTGACCCTCTAATCGGTGGACTGAGGTAGGAGGCTCTGGGCTCCTGTAGGAGGGGGAGAGAGCCCGTTTCCTGGTATCCACATTCCTCCCCACAGCAGCATCCAATGGTTGGTTCCTGTGCAGATCGGTCTTTGCTCACATTCTTTTTTATGCCAGTTTCTGAAAGCCACAACCACTTAAATCAATCATTTGCAAACTTCACCAGGAACACCCTTTCCTCCAAGGTATGAAGCATATTTGGATAAGATAGTGAGACATTTGTGAAAATTGAGGTCGAGAATCGATGGCTGAGGCTGAGGCATTAGCTCAGCCATGATTACTCATCTAGCCCTTGACCTTTCTGCGGAGACGTCTAAGAAGTGAGTAAATTAACACCAGCAGGGAGTGACAAGGGCCTGAAGACCTGCAGCTTTTCTCACTCAGGGACTGATGAGCAGAACTGAGCCTGGGATGTCAGTGTTACCAGGCCCCCCTTGGCTTTTGAATCTCTTTGCCTGCCCCTAAGCAAGGGCAGTGAGCTCCCCTACTGCAGGCTGTGTCCTGGGGTCAGTCCTGGCCTGAGCAGAAAGTGGCTGAATGGATTCAGCCATGGGTCCAGCTCTGACCACGTGACCCACCTTCACCTGCTCCGGGGCAGGTCTAACTGGATTCTGAATGGACTCCTCAGGCATTCATAGAGGCCTGTGCCTTGCATGTGCCTCTCCCTGTAGTGCTTGGGTCACGCCTCACTCCATGAGTTCTACTTTCATCTCTGCCCTCTCCAACCGACAGAGACTCTGAGATGCTTTTCCTCCTTTGACCTTGGAGTCTCACAGCCTATATCAGACACCCCTGCTGATAGCTTGCCTGCTGTCAGCAACACAAACCCCTGGACTGGGTTTCTTGTCAATGCCTGAAACAGGAGTCACCCTCTCAGCACACACCAAGCCTCAAGGGGGGCCTGGGTCAACTGGGCAGGCCCCTATCATGTTTCATGAGCCATGCCAGTGCAGGCCATGCCAGGCAAAGTATGGTACAATTATGGAACTCAATGTCTTCGGGGTATAGAAGAGAGATATAGAACATCACTGGGCCTCAGTTCCCCCAACTCTAAACCCTTAGGAAGGCTTATTGATTCCAATGAGTGGCTGGGCCCAGAGCTCTTGGGGTGCAAGCATCTCCACCTAGCTCCCTAGTGGATGTGTGCATGAGAAGAATATGAAAATGAGAGAACCTCTTCCTAGCATGTTCTTCTCTCACCATAGCCACCCACATTAGTGCTAGGTAAAAAGGAACACAATCAGGAGAAAAAAAAAAGAGAACTAAATCTGCTACTGAGGCATTGTTCTGGGATATTATGGACTCTCTTCTTTAAGAGCCAAAAGCCTAACTCACAGTATTCATGAGCTCCTGGGGATCCAAATAAACCAGATTCCTGTCTCCAGAGGGATCGCATGGCCCCACCATCTCATGCCCAACATCAGTAATTCAGATGAGTATCAAATGTGACAGGCATTTATTTTAACAGAGAGGAAGGGGAAGACAAAATATCATAAAATGTGTGGGTTTTCCCCAGATGACTCTGTTGAAAAAACCAGGAAATGCAGAGCGGGGGGACAAATGGAGGAGAGATATTAACTAGAACATTGCTGACTCAAGGCCGTCCAGCTTCAGTGGGAGTTCTGATTAGGCCCCATGTCTGCCTGATGCCACCTGCAACATGGGCTCCGCATGTGCCAAGACACTGAGAACTGTTTGCCGACACTTGGTGTATTTGTCAGTGATCTTACTTTTCAGTGTATTTATGTGCTAATCTTTTATTATTGGATTTGCTTCTACAAATATGTTTTTACCATAAGACAAAGGGAAAAGGAAGATGTTGGCTCTGTGGCAATTGTTTTGTCTGGATTTTCTAAGGGAGCCCCAGGTTGAGAAGAGCTGGATATGCATGGAGGAGGGAGTCTGGAAGGTGGGTGGAGAGTGATGACTCACTGTTTGCGCCAATATCCTCTCCTGGATGTCTTGGGAAACACATCTACGGGGATAAAGAAGAAATGTCATTCTTGTCCGTCTATGGAGTGAAGCTTTGAGGTCTAACATTTATCACAATCTCCAGGTTCCACTTCTAAATGTATTCCACTCCTTTTATCCATTCTTCACTTCTTATCGAGATTGAGCTTCTGAAAACATAAATCACATCATGCCAGTTCCCTACTTAAAATGCCCTAAGAGCTTCCTATTGCACTTACAATGAAATCCGAACTCCTTGTTTATATGGCCCACAAGGCCCAGCAAGATCTAGTCGCACCAGCCTCTCAAAGCTCATCTCCTTCTATTCTCCTGGCCATGCACTATGCTCCAGCCGTACTGGCCTTATTTGGTTTCCTAGAACCCTCTAAGTTTTTTGCCTGTTTGCGTTTTGCACTTGTCATTTCCTTTGTCTAAATCGTTTGTCCCCTCTCCACCCCACCCCTAGCCCCCTGGATCTTCACTTGGCTGGCTGATGCTGCTCATTTGCTCATTTTAGTCTCGGCTCAAATATCTCCCAGGCCAGTCTAAAGCAGTTCTCTCCCTCACACCCTCCTCCCCAGCATACCATTACTACATCACTCGTATCTCCTGTTTATTGTCTTCTTGCGCTGATTGTCTCTGAAATTGTGTGTGCCATTGGTGTATTTGCCTTTTAACTTCTGTCACTCATCACTAGACTGTAAGCTCCGTGAGAACAGGAACCTTCCCAGGACCCCAGGCAATGCACGGTATGTGGTTGGTGCTCATTAAAGAATTGTTGGGTAAGTGAATAAATGAATAAATGAATGAGGAGTGAAGGGAACAGAGCACCCCTCTGTTCTGCCTTGGGACTTCCCATTTCAGAGCATGCAGGACATTTACTGACTCTTAAGTCTTAAGTGTTTGCCAAGGTACTGTGAAATGTTTATCATTTCCATTTTACAAATGAGGAAGTTAAGATTTAAAGAGGTTATTCAATTTGCCCACAATCATATAAGTAATTTGGCACAGCCAGGGGTGGAAATCAGTTCTAACTGACTGTGAAGCCCCTGCTCCTTGTTCTGTCACCATCTAGTATTTAGCATTGTTTGTGGGGTGGCCAGGAAGGCTTCATGAAAGAGGAGCATATGTAGCTATAGGAGAAAAAAAGAACATAGTGGTAAGAGTATTTGCTCTGGAATCATGCTGCCTGGGTTCCAAGCTTGGCTTTGCCCATTCCTAATAATGTGACCTGTAGAGTGTCCTAATGTCACTATGCCTCAGATCTCCCCTCTGAAACATAGAGATATTGACAGCATTTCCCTCACAGAGTTGTCAGGAGAGTTAAATGAAAGGATATATAGAAAGCCGTTTGACCAGTGTCCGGCAGAAAGTAAGCACTATCAAATAGGCGTTTATTACCCTTATGATTATTATCCCATTCTACAAGTCACTTTGCATGTTGCTGAATCTTCTGAGGGGTTCCTAAGAACAATCTAGTAGCATGAGGGTCTTAATGGAAATGCTCCAGTCTCTCCCAAGACTTGCAGGAGCTTTTAGGAGTTTCTCTGTTGCCTGTGACTTTGCAGGAAAGTGGTGATGTGCTGCCTGTTGTGCACAAAGGAACATAAACTTTAAAAGCAGAGAAGAAAATGAATGTGTTAGTGGCCCAGAGTTGTGGGAAAAGCCACCCACTAAATTACATTTCTGTACCAAAAATGGACTTCAGGCAAAGTGGGAATGAACGACATTGGGATGGCAAAGACATTGAGAAGCAGAGCCGGTAACAAGGCATGGAGCCCTGTATTATTTCTGGTATCAAGGAATGTGTGGTTTCATTATTATTTTCATAAATGGTCTCAGTTCAGTTTTTGTTGCTTGTTATTCACACCCAGGGCACCTGGTGTTCACCATGCCTGCATCCTGCCCGGCACAGACCTCCGCCTGACAGTCAGTCTGCTAGCCAGAAATTGATAGCTAGAGACAAAAGAGTGCCAGAGATGTTCTTGGGAACCAGCACACCTAAACATGCTCGTTTACAGATGAGAAAACTAAGGTCATGATGCAAAGGGACATTTATTTATTCATTAATTTAGTAATGATTTATTGAGATGTATTCATTAATTTAGTAATGATTTATTGATTTATTGATTTGTTGTGCTGCGTCCCAAACTAGGCACTGGAGAAAAACAAAAGGATCCTTTTCTTGTAGAGTAAACCATCCCTAACGAACTCTTATAGTAGACTATTTAATGGAGGTAACATGTAAAAAGACCAAGTCTGAGAATTACAAGTCTTGATTTGCAGTCTAAACTTTGTATCTGACTAGATTAATTTACTGAGCCTCATGTTTCTTGTGTGTAAAATGTGGAAGATGGTTTCTGGCCTTCAAATCTCACAAGGATTTTATGAGCACCCAGATAATCGTGACATGTGCTGATGCTTGATGGCCTACAAAGCGATTTGTAGATAATGCTTTTGTGACGGGTGAGATGGTAATTTGCAATCACTTGCATCCACTGGAATAATATAATGGGAAAATGAAAGGGGTGATGGTGCAGGTAGAAGGCAGATTGTATGTTGGAGATGCAGCAGAGAAGAGCCAAAGGTGACCCTCAAATTTCATTCTGAAAGGGGGTCTTTTGCACTGTTTGGAATCAATGGGAAAGAATTTTCCACTATGGAGAGTAGCTCATTCTATCAGGCGGGAGCTACCACTCACTAGTACATAACATGGTAGATGTGGGGATGGAGCTGAGCATGGTACTGAGACAAGGCACAGCAACCTACGAACTCAGAGTAGTGTGAGAGATGCAGAATCATAAACAGAAAGGTTCAATGCAGTGCCTTGACATTGACTCAGGACAGAGGGATCCAAACCCACCCTGTTAGAAAGGGGTTGAAGATTGCCAGGAGGTGTACTCACATATTCCTTGTGGTATTATTCACAATAGCAAAATCATGAAACCAACCTTAGTGTCCGTTAACAGAGGACTGGATAAAGAAAATGTGTTGCATATATACCATGGAACTCTATTCGGCCATAAAAGAATAAAAGTATGTATTTTGCAACAACATGGTTGGAACTGGAGGCAATTGTTTTAAATGAAATGACTCAGGCACATAAAGTCAAAAATGCTCTCACTTATAACTGGTAGCTAAATAACGGGTTCACACAGGCGTACAGAGTGGAATAAGAGACATTGGAAACCCTAAAAGGTAGGAGGGTGGGAGCAGGGTCAGAGATGAAATACTACCTATCGGCGCAATGTACACTATCCGGTGATATGGACGCTAAAAGCCAACTTCACTACTGTACAATATATCCATTTAACACAACTACAATTGTACCTTTAAATCTATAAAATTAAAAATGTAAAAAATAATAATAATAAAAAATCCCAGCCAGGTGTGGTAGCTCACACCTGTAATCCCAGCACTTTGGGAGGCCAATGCAGGCAGATCACTTGAAGTCAGGAGTTCAAGACCAGCTTCGCCAACGCGGTGAAACCCCGTCTCTACTAAAAATACAAAAATTAGCCAGACTTTATGGCGCACACCTGTAGTCCCAGCTATTCAGGAGGCTGAGGAAAGGGAATTGCATGAACCTGAGAGGCAGAGGTTACAGTGAGTTGAGATAGTGCCACTGAACTCCAGTGGGGGTGACAGAGTGAGACTCCATCTCAAAACAAAACAAAACAAAAAAATAACAACAACAACAAAAACCAAAATAAGTAAAATTTTAAAAAATAAAAATGAAAGATCCCCCAGGACAGATGATGACTGAGCTAGGTTTTGAAGGCTGCAGAGGGCTGAACTAGTTAGGTTACATCTGGAAGGGCAATCAAGGCTGAGAGGACAACACAAAGAGTGATGTAGTAAGCTTAGGAAACTGGATGTGGCTCCATGGAGAGGCCTGGGGCATAAGTGGGCACGGTGGTAGGGACCATTTTGCAGATAATTTGAGTGCCAGGCAGAACCTGAGCTGTGCAAGGGGTGGTGTTTGTGGAAGGCTGTCTTGCAATGGTAGCTTGGTGGCATTTGATTAAGATCCCCTGATTACAAATGTAAAATTAATGCCCAGAGTCAGTCTTCTCCCCATTGTACATGCTCTTTGACATCACTCATGGCTTTATGAAATGTGCGGCCAGTTCTGTGTAAAGAGTTTTCAGAGTGGGGATGCAGGCAGCCTGCATCATCCAGGGAAGGCAAATGAAGGACAAAATCATCCCACTGCAGAGGGAACCAATGCAAATGAGCATCTTCCCAGATAGCAGAGTAGCAGACCCTGGAGCTCCTTAGCCTATGCAGTGCCTGACACTGTAACTCAACCCTCCCATTGCACCCCATCTCTCTGGGCTTGAGGAAGTCACAGAATCCTAAGGCAGGGGGCATTTCATCCCTGAGGAGGGATAGATGAATTTTACTCAGAAGACATGCATCAATTAAGCTCCGGTGGTTTGCAGAATCAACCCTGTGTGTGGTGACAGCTGGGAGGATGACATAAGGAGCTCCTTGTGGCACCTCCCAGATGTCTCTGCTCATCAAACCCTGTGTGTTCAAACCTGAAGTTGTCATGTTTTCTCTCTCAAAAGCTTTTGCTCCATATTCAGGCAAATGTCACCACCCAGTTGTCCAAGCCAGAGTATGGGCATTACCCTCAATGCTTGGCTGCTGTGGACACTTACTCCCATTATTCCCTGAATTCTGTCCTTTCCACTTCCGGTGCATCTGCACTGCTGCTCCCTTGCCACCAGGTCCTCAATATCTTACTCCTAATAAACCAGGGCATCTTGTCTCCCTGCCTCCAGTTTGCTCCCTCAACTCCATCCTTCACCATTGCAAATAAGATGATTGTTGGAACACTTTGATTTGCTTACAAGGTTCTAGCCTGCCAGTATCTTCTTCATTCGTTTATTTAGCCGCCGTGAAGTACTCTGTGGCAGGCCCTGTGACAGGCACTGGAGGTGCAGAGGTGAACGAGGGGTGCTGCCATCAGTACCCTTACAGCCTGATGGGCGAGGCAGCCACAATAGAAGGCACTGTTAAGCCATGGGAGGAAGCTGTGGTCAGTGAGTGCTCAGATGTTGGAGGCCATCTCTGCCTGGAGACCAGGGAAGTGAGACTGCATTTGGCTATTTTTTTTTTCCCTATGTATGGTTCCTTTTCTACACTTAAAAAAAAGATAGCAGGAATTGGTTTGAAAAACTATGAAAATAATGTACATGTTGTATTGGAAAAATGCAGAAAACAGCTAAAATAGAACCTCAAGACATCCCATAATACCAACGTCTATCTAGCCTCTATTAAAATTTTGTGTCTTCCCTAACAAGTTTTCTTCTTCTCATCTATATTTTACAAAACATAAGATGCCCTTGAGTATACTATTTTGTACACTACTCATTTTACAAACCAATACTCTCGCATTTAAAAAACAGCTCTTTTGTTGTGTCTTGTTATAAAAGGAATACACAGCTATTTCAAAAAGTTTCACACCATAAAAACTACACAGAAAATAAAGATTGCCATCTATTCCCATACCTGAAGATACTGTCTGCTAATAGCTGTATGTTATTTTACAATTTTAGGTTCATTTTCACAGTTATATATAAATATAAGTGTAGATGGACTTAAACTTGCTATTTCCTCTTAATACATCATAGCACTCTTTTTACTTAAATACCTTTTGATCACTTGTGTTTTTTTTTAACAGCTATACGATAGGCCATGTGCATATATCATAAATTATTTGAACTCATTTTTATGGATATTGGGGTTGCTACTATAGTATATATATTCATGATTTCAAATAGCAGAATGATGAAAAGGCTTCTGTGGGCATATATATGTTCTAGTCCACTTAATTCTTTGGGATATAGTCCTACAAGTGAGATTACTATGGCAAAGATTGTAAACATTTTAAGTTTTGGTCTATATATGCTGTTGGCAGAATTATAAGATGATCTCTGATGATCTGTGTCTTTCTTTAATCCCCTCCCTTTGGGCATGGGTGGAACTTGTGACTTGCTTCTAACCCATATGCATTACTCTGTTCTCACCCTGCTATAAAGAAATACCTGAGACTGGGTAATTTATAAAGAAAAGAGGTTCGATTGCCTCACTGTTCCACAGGCTGTACAGGAAGCATGGCAGCATCAGTCTGGCTTCTGAGGAGATCTCAGGAAACTTAAAATTATGGCGGAATTAAGGGGAAGCATGCAAATCTTACATGGCCAGAGCAGGAGAAAGAGAGGTTGGAGGAGGTGCTAGACACTTCTAAACAATCAGGTCTTGTGAGAACTCACTCACTATGCAGTACCAAGGGAAGATGATGTTAAACCATTCATGAGAACTCTGCCTCCATGATCCAGTCACCTCCCACTGGGTCTGCTTCCAACATTGGGATTACAAGTAAACATGAGATTTGGGCGGGGACACAGATCCAAACCATATCGCCATAGAATATGGCAAAGGCAATGGGTGTCAATCCTGTGAATATGTTTCAATATATGGTAAAAGTGAGGGGATTTTGGGATAAAACTAAGGTTTCTAATCAGATGACTTTAATCAACAGAGTTAATTTTGAGTGGTCCTGACCTAATCAACTGAGACATTTTAAAAGAGTCTGGAAGTCAGAGACCCTCTTTCCTGCTAGCCTGGAAGAAGCAAGCCTCAAAAAGTCTGCAGCTGCAAGGAAATGAATTTTGCCAATAATTATGTGCGCTTGGAAGAAGACTCAGCCTAAGATGAGATCTAAGCCCTGGCTGACACCTCCATTGCAGCTTTGTGGGACCTTGAGCGGAGAACCCAGTTAAGTTCTGCCTGGACTCCTGACCCACTAAAACTGTGAGAAAATGAATGTGTGTTGTTTTAAGCCACTAAATTTATAGTTATTTGTTATGTAGCAGTAGAAAACAAACACAATGTAGGAAAATTGCCTTTGATAAATTATACACCAATTTACACTTCCAACCATTATGAGAGCTCCCATTTTTGTGAATTTTTGTCAACACCTGCTGTTGCCAACCTCTTACATTTTTGCTAATCTAAGAGGTTAAAATATACTTGTTTAATTTGTGGCCCTCAATTAGAAGTAAGGTTGCACATTTCTCATATTTGTATTTTTCGTTTTAAAAATTCATTTTTGGTATTTGCTTAATCATGGCCTTTGCCTATTTTTGGCATTTTCTTACTGATTTGTGAGAGTTCTTCACATATGTGGAAGCCAGGAGAGAGTCAGAAATATAGATATTAGGTTTTCTGTTACAAACATTGCAAGTGTTTTTGTTTCTTCCACGTGACAATTTTGTTTTTATTTTCAAACATTGTTTATGGTATTTGGTGAGGAGGGATATGAGCGTTTTCTCATTCTGTTGGGTTTTACAAAGACCGCCGTGGTATTCCGTATGGAAGTGGGAAGGAAAGGCATGAGAAAGCAATTACATTAGTTCAGAGGAACAAACGAAGATGATACCTGAACTATTAATACGTTAGGAACTGCAAAGATGGAGGGATCTGAGCCAGGAGATATTTCAGAAGTAGAATTGGCAAAGTTTTGGTATTGTCAGGACTGATTTTTACCAGGTGGGACATGGAGACAGAGGGATGAAGTGAGCAGCACATATTCCTTCCTGGATCAGTAGGCACTAAGTTTACCAAGGAAGCTTCTCCTTGATAGATCTATACCACTGGACACTCTGGGCCTTGCAAATCCCCTGAGACCAAGAAGTCTGTATCTCCTCTCTTGTGATCACAGCCCTGCCTTTATTACCAGTGGATGAATGAATAAATTATTGTTGGAGGCTCTTCTTCTCTTCCTACTAAGGGATAAAGACTTTACTCTTTGTTGTAGTTTATTTGAAGCCCCCTCACCAGGAAGACCTATGGTTTTAAAAATGAACAAGTAGGCAGGGGTATTTGCTCAAAGAAAAAATTCACTTGGACAGGCCTGGCACAGTACTGATTTCCCTTTAAACAGCCTGGGCAGCCTTGTCTCTAGGCAGGTGTGGGGGTGAGGTGCCAGGAGAAGTGTTTGTCCTTGCAACAAGCAAACTCCAGTGACATGTTCAATGTCGCACTGAAATTCCTGGCAAGAGGAGAGAAGGCAGCCTGCTCTGTTCCTAAACTCTGGAAGATTCTATCTGAAATGAAGAAATGCTGCCCACAGCCTGTAATGGAATAAATGAAGATCTGTTAGGTAGGGGCTGCAGCATGCTTGGGGTCTCCAGTCGGTGGGCTTATAGGAGAGATGTCAGACTAACAAAGCTGAGGTCCTGCAAGTATCTCTCTGGCACCACTTAGCTCAGGTGTGGATTATTCAAAACTTCACTCATGGTCCCTTGAATAATTCACTGCAGTAGTTCTTAACCAGGGGCCATTTTGCTACCCTCTCACCAGAGGACATTTGACCGTATCTGGACCCATTTCTGCTTGTCACAACCGGGACAGTACTACTGGCATCTTCTGGGTAGAGGCCAGGGATGCTTCTAAACATCCTACAGTGCACTGAGCAGTTCCACAAGAAAAGAATTTTCTGGCCCAAAATGTCAATGGTGGTGAGGCTGAGAAATCCTGGTTTAGTAGGCACAAGAGGGATGGTGTGAATTAATGATATGTCTGAGTTAGAGGTGCATGCAGTATCTCCCACGCACTACACCAGGTTCTTTGAATAATGACCCCCGTGCCCAAGATTCTTTTCTCTTTCCCTGGGGTCTCATCTGGGTACAGTTTGGCCTCTGCGATGCTGAGGACAGGAGTGACAACGCAGCCCCAAGTGGTACGAGCCCCTAGGTTCACCCCCAGAGTTCTGACCAACATTACTTGTCCTGAAACAGGAGACATATTAAAAAGCAAGTCCATTTGTGAAGTACAGCAAGATCTTTCCTTGCAGACCTGAGATCTAACATTTATAAACATTCATTTCTGTTTGTCAGGGTTCCCACGTCATACACCAACCCACAGTACCACTGACGTCAGCTTTGATTCTGGTGATCCACTCATTTCTCCCAGTTTGAGGCTGAATTTCTGCCAGAGGAGGTCAGCTGCAGGAGGAGACAGAAAGCTGGATTTTTGAAAATCTGGGAGTGGATAAATATTTGATATGTCTTGGCTTGAGCTGGACATTCTGTACCTGAGAGTCAGAGGAAACTAATTCAGAATCTCAATTCTAGGGACGCTACCCTTCTAAAGCAGTCTGGAGAAAAGGTGGAACCAAATAAATTGGCATTAAATACTGTGCACATCTCTCAGGCAAAATCTGATTTCCCTATTGTACATAGAGGTGTATGTATATTATATACAGATGTTAAGAATTTTTTTAAAGGTTGATTCCAGATGGAACAAGATTATATTTGATTTTATTAATGTTTATTCATTGATATTGGCAACATTCTTTTCTGTCCCGAGAGAAAGAGAACGAACATTACAAAGTGTAAATATTGGCCCTAAATTGTCACTCATAAAGGATATTAATGCCTGTAGTCTGTTTCACGAACCAATTTTACAGAAAGAGGGTTTTTTTTCATGTCTTGAGTCTGTTTCTCAGAAATGGTCGTGGTGGGACAGGATCTGGATTGACAGCGGCAAATGAGATTTGCATGGAGGCAGCGTCTCCAACCAACAGCCCTGCAGAAAGTTCTTAGAACTCCTTGTTCTTAATCCCCTTTGGCAGGAGTTGCCACCTCTTCCACATGTCTCTCACTTCTTTCCCTTCACGTTGGTCTCCGGATACTCCTGCTTTGGCTGTCTTGACTGTTTCTATTCTAGCTTGTTCTCTAGGACAGCTCCCCACTTCCCTTCTCCTCCGGTACTCTCTGGTACTGCAATTTCATTAATTCCCAAGGCCTCAACCAAGAGACTCTACAGATAATTCTGAAATCCCTGTCTCCAGCTTCAACCTCTCTCTGAACCATAGACCTGCTGGCCAATGAGATGGAAACATATTGAGAAGCCTAAACTCGTCTCCTCCCAATATTTTCTCCTACTTAACAAAGGGGCTATTTACCTATTTATTCAAGGTTTAAAAAATGCAAAGTGGTGTTTGATCTATCTTTATCCCACAGATTAGGAAACAGTTCCAAGATAGCTTAAAATGTGTCCCTTCCTGGTACTGGATTCTTTGTGCAATCGGGACTGCCATTGTGAGTGGGAGAGTTGCTATATTTGCAGTTGTCATTATCTCTATTGTCATTATTAATCTTAATGTGATTCCAAGCAACAACTTCCCACTCTTCGATGAGAGTTTAAGGTTGTCAGCAAATGTGGAAATATTGAGGTCCTCACTTTCCACCAAATCTGGTTTTAACAGATTAGATAAATGAGCTCGCCAGCTCAGTCTAAATGGCAATAAGTAAGCTACATGACATCACAGTCAGAACCTCCATGCCTGGGTCAGCACCTAACACATCTATTAAGAAGGCAAAGTCAGACAAGGTATTAGAGAGTGACTGAGAGGGCAGACAGGGAAGGTTTCTTCAGGGAGGTGAAATAGGAGTGGGTGTCTGAGTGGTGAACACAGCTTCCCTTCTTAATATTTCAGAGTAGAGTTTCAAGCCTGGAGGCTATCAGAGGCTGGGTGACCACTAGATGAAGATGTGCGGAGGATTTTGGCATCCAATAGCGATCACAGAGATGGGTTTTGGGGGATCCTGCTCCTCCAGTGATTCTGAGATTCCATGATGATTACTGTGCCGGTGTTGAGACCAAAGTCATGCAAAGGCTCATGAACTAGATGCTACAATTCGGTTTTTGCCTCTGCCTTTCTGTGCATTCACTACCCTATTACTTAGTCGGAAGATTCCCCAGCTCTTTGGTTTGAGTCATTACTGGCTTAATCGACCCCATGATGTTCCAATGGCTGAGTTTTTCATATGCTTGAAACTTACCATTTCACTACACTGGAAAGGGAAGAAAAGTTTGGGTTATTCCCCCATGTGACTTTCACTGACAAAGGATACAGAAGACTCTTGAAAGCTGCCTCTCCTGTCAGCTAAATGGAGAGGCTGCCTTTCAGATCCTTGATTTAAAGTGGCAGGGACTGGATAACATGGTTAGGTGGAGTCCTCAGAGGCCTCATGATGGAAACCAGGAAGCAGAAACTGACAGGCAGACACCCCAAACTTGAGCTTTGTAAGGTCTACACAAATAGTAAACTCCAGGGAGTCGGTCAGCACCTTCAGAGGGGCTAGCCTTGTGTTTTCTAAGCATGACATACCTCCACGTCTTTTTTTCTCTACCTTGTTCTGAAAAATGCTTGATCCATTTAATGCCTCCCAAGCTTCACTGTGTTTAGGGAGGAATGAGAAACAAAACCCCAGCTTTAACAGCTCCTTATCTCTCAGCCTGAAATCATGAGAGTGGGGCCTATGGCCCAGTATCCTGAGTAGCAGGTCAGGGTGTTCTTGATGCTTTCATTTTGTTCCTGTGCATCTTTGGTAATGTGTTCTGTTCATCTATGCAATGTACCTTAAAGGCAAGAAACTCCTCCAGACAGAGAAGCACAAGTGGAGGTTGCCTATTTATCCAGTCGGCGCCTGGCCTACATATTTATCGTAATAGAATCTCCAGCAAAGCTGGGTGCGGTGGCTCATGCCTGTAATCCCAGCACTTTGGGAGGCTGAGGCGGGAGGATCACGAGGTCAGGAGATCGAGAACATCCTGGCTAACACGGTGAAACCCGTCTCAAAAAAAAAAAAAAATTAGCTGGGTGTGGTTGTGGGTGCCTGTAGTCCCAGCTACTCGGGAGGCTGAGGCAGGAGAATGGCGTGAACCCAGGAGGCAGAGCTTGCAGTGAGCTGAGATCGTGCCACTGCACTCCAGCCTGGGCAACAGAGTGAGACTCCATGTCAAAAAAAAAAAAAAAAAAAAAAGAATCTCCAGCAAACTGACCATGACCATAATGACTCTGGTGGCCACAGAGACTAAGAACGAAGTTTGTGCTATATCCTCCACCAGTGCTCGGTCTCTTATATACATTATTCTCATTTAAATGCTCAACTGGTTTCTGAAGCCATGGTCATTGTGCCCATTTTACTGTACTGATGGGAAAATTGAGGTTCAGCAAGATGCAGCCAGATCCTGACTTTTGAAGAAGTGAGCCTCAGGTTAGGGGAACAGTGAGATCCATAGAACAATGCCTGATTCTTGGGCTTGCTTTAATGCTGCCTCTGTGGCCTTGCCTGGCAGTCTTGATCACTGCGTCAATGTATTACCTTGAAAGTGGTGATGTGTTTTTTCCAGGAATGAGGTGGTAGGGCAGTAGGGAAGCAATCACCTGCTCTACTTCCCCCCAGTGCATGGAACACATGTGTGTGCACATACCCATTTATGTTCCAGGTCACATAACTGAGTCAAGATTAAACCAGAACTTCCATCTTAGTGAGAGTTTCTGTAACAGGATCATGCAATATATCTTATTAAACATCTACTCTGTTTCAGGCCCTCTGTAAGAGGTTCAAGAAGCTATAGATATCTTAGGATTGCTAAGGAGAAGCTGCAGTTTTTCAGGTTGACATTGTACCTATCTTCAACCTTCATAGAAGTCTTTGTTTTTAGACTTAGCTTAAGGCTTCTCTTTCCCTCTCTTTTTCTTTTGGCATTACACAATTTTTTTTTATCATGTAGTCAAATTTATCAATCTTTCCCTTAATATTTCTGGATTTTGATTTAAAAAAGACTTTAGATACTTCCAAAGTTATACAAAATTATTTTCTTTCTAAAATTCTATTTTTCTGTATTTTCTTCTAAAATTTCAGTGGATTGGGATTTCTTTTTGCATTTAAAATCTTGACCCATTTGGATATTATCTTGGTGTATATAGCATGCAGTACAATGCATTTCTGGAAAAGTCCCTCTTTGGAATGCCCCATTACACACACACACACACACACACACACACACACACACACACACACACACGCTAAATCTCTGTAACATTTAGATCTATTTCTGCACTTTTTGATGTTTCATTAGTCAAATGGTCTGTCAATAAGCCAATCAATTATCGAGGTTTTAATTATTAATGTATTGATTATTGAGGTTTTATAATATGTTTTTAAGTGAGCAGGCTTTCTCATAGTTTTTTCTATCTATTTTTGCTACATTATTTTCCCAAAATTCCTTAGAATGAATGAAAAGCTCTGTTTTCCTTCATCTAATTGACACTGACTCCTTCTGAAGACTCAATTAAACAATCTTCTCCTCTGAGGATGCTTCCCTGATGTCCTCAGGCCTTGTTACATTCCCGAAGCCTGGTTTGTTCCCAAAGTATCTTGCATGCCCCTCTGTCACCTGTTCATACAGTGCAGGCTTGTGATTGGTTACTTTTTTATGTCCCCACTAAGCTATGGTCTCCTTAAGGTCAGGGACAAAGTCTGCTTCAACTGTTGTTAAAGCAGATTGCACAATGCCTGGCACATAGTAGGTGCTTGCTCCAGTTATCTATTGCTGCATGCTAAGTCACCAGAACCTTAGTGGCATAAGACAGTAATGTATTTTTCATTATGTCTTATTTTTTTGATGAACCATAACTAGCTCAGGTAGGTGGCTTCATTTGGGGGCTCCTTCCTGTGGTTGCATAAGACAGTGGCTAGAGCTGGAGTTATATATAAGCCAGACTCCTCACTCACAAGTCTGGAGGTTAATGCTGGCTGCCACCTGGGGGCCTCAACTGGGGCTGTTAGCTGGAACACCTATCTCTGACCTCTTCATGTGGCTTGGGCTTCCTCCCAGCATAGTGGCTGGGCTCCAAGAGCAAAAGCTTTTCTCTTTCATGACTTGTTGTAACTTTTATGTTTAGCTTCAGAAGTCACATAGAAGCCTGTTCTCCATACTCCATTGGTCCAGCCCATCACAAAGGTCCACGCAGGTCCCAGAGGAGGGGACATAAACTCCACCTCCTGGTGGGGAGTGACAAGATCACATTGTAAGAACTTGTGGGATAAGTGGCGTGGTCATGACCATCTTTGGAAAATATAATCTGCCACAGTGCTCAATATGTATTTGCCAGATATTTGTAAATGCATGATTTAAGATAAAAAAGATGGTTATATTCTGGGTTTAGACTTGAACTAGGACTTCTGGCTGATCAAAACAGATCAGGAGCTGGAGTGAGTGTGCATCCTACCCCCAGAGCCTAGCTGGGTGTGAAGTCGAGTTGCAAGGCTCCTAGGAAAGTTTTCTCATCTCAGGAGCAGTTTCAGGAGCTGAAGGGGGATGTGTGCAGCCATGTCAATAAAGCATTTTGAGTTCTTTATCATAAAGTTCCCATCTCCCATTCAAAGTACAGGTTATTAGAGTTTGTTTTTCCTTCTCTACTTTCTAAAGTAAGTGCTTTGAAGAAGATGGATGCAGGAGAAATGACACATTAAGTATTTCTGCTGAAATGTGGGATTTCTGCTCAAATGGAAGTTGCTGTGTTTATGACTGGCACACAAATTGAAGAACGGAACTTGCTTTTTGAACAATTGAGTTTATCATTTTTGCTCTCAGAGGTACCTCTTGCTAATGGAGAAAGCTAAAAAGGTTTGAAGGAGCTGTCCTCTTTGATTCTCCAGATAAAGATAACTTGGCATATGTCTGAGAAATGCACAAGATTAAATGAGAGAACTCCCCCACCTCCATAAAGACCCTGTTGAGTGCCAACCAGTCTGATGGGCAGTGAAGTGCCTAGCAATGTGGGTAGGTAAGAGCTTGGAGAGTGGGGTTCGCTGCTGCCCATGTCTCAATGACAGCATTTAATTGATCCAGGGCATGTTTCTTCCCTGTGGGTGACTCATTTGTAGGAAGCACTTTACTGAGGCAGCCTTTAATGAATGTGTCATTTCCTCTAGGACATAGGTTCTGGATCCAGGTGTTGTGGACTCAAATCCTATTTCTGCCTTTTACTGGCTCTTTACCTTGGACCATATAACTTTACGTCTTGGTGCCTCAGTTGTGCCATCTCAATAATGGGGACAGTAGTAGGGCCTACCTTCAGAGGTTGCTGTGAGGACTTAAGTGTTTAGTGCCGTGCCCAGCACACAATAAACACTTAGTTAGGTATTAATTTTACTGTTGCTCTTGTTTCTGTTTTAACTGTCTTTATTACCCATGAACTGCTCTTCCCAGACCTCTGGACCTGCAAACCATATATGTAATTTAAAATTTTCTAGTAGCTATATTTTTAAAAATAGGAACCAGGTGCAATTAATTCTAGTAGTATATTTTATTTGATCTAATATATTTCAAATATTATTTAAATGCATAATCATTAAAAACTTATTAATGATACATTTTACATTCTTTTTCTTATTCTGAATTTTTTTGTCTTTGAAATATGGTGTGTTCCTTATAGCAGAGCTCAGTTTGCACCAGCCACATTTCATTTTTCTGGTTGGTTGATTTATTTGCTTTTTTTTTGGGGACAGTTTGGCTCTGTTGCCCAGGCTGGGTATAGTGGCACAAAACAGTCTCAGCTGACTGCAACCTTCACCTCCCAGGTTCAGGTGATTCTCCTGCCTCAGCCTCCTGAGTAGCTGGGATTACTGGCGTGCACCACCACGCCTGGCTAATTTTTGTATTTTTAGTAGAGACGGCATTTCACCGTGTTGACCAGACTGGTCTTAAGCTCCTAACCTCAAGTGATCCACCCACCTTAGCCTCCCACAGTGCTGGGATTACAGGCATGAGCCACTGTGCCCGGCTGTACCAGCCACATTTCAATTGTTTAAAATAGCCCCATATGGTTGGTGGCCACAGTATAGGACAGCACAGCTCTGGAGGGCTTGTTCCTATACCAATAATTCAGCTGCAGCTGACAAGATGCCTACTGGGGAAAGGGATGAACTCTATCTACTGTGAGCTGGGTACTTTACAATCATATAATTTAATCATGACCATCATGACAGCAGGTATTTTGTGCCCATTTTATAAATGGTTTCTTCAGAAGGCATCTAATTTGATGGACTAGAAGTAATTTGCCCAAAGTCACCCAGCTAAACAGTGGCAGAATTTGAACTCAGGTCTGTGGGACTGAGATTTCTTCCCCATGGCAAGATACTAGATGCTCGTGATAGGCAGTAGATCATAAGCACCATCCAGAGCCGAGGCAGGGCTCACACAGAGCCATCTGCCTACTGTGCCAAGTACCTCCTGTGTGACCGCATTTGAAGATAGCCAGCTGGGCTCAGTCACAGCCAAGGTGAGGGCTGAGTCTGGGCCCAGGGTTAGGGCTCAGGATAAGTCTGGGGCTTGGAGCTGTGTCTGTGATCTGGGTCATGACTCAGCGTGAGTCTGAGGGTCGGGTTGCAGTCCGTGGCCCAAGTCAGGGCTCAGGCCGTGCAAGGGTCAGAGTTGAGTCTGACCAGGGTCAGGGCTTGCTCTGTGGTGAGACAAAAGTTTGATCTGATGCTGATGTCAGGGCTCTGCCTTGGGTCAAGATATGAGTTTATCTTATGACCAAAGGGCAGAGTGCAGCTAGTTCATAAAGGGCTCATACCTTTCGGTGGATTCTGGCAGAGCCAGACCCCATGCTGGGCAATGTGTCTGTAAATGCTGGGATGCTGTCCTTCCTCTGCCTTGTTGCAGTAGCAAGTGACCCAGCCCACCGTGGGAAACAATGCAATTGCATGTTTGGGACCTCAGTTGCAGTATGGGCTAGAGTTTGTCATGAGTGGGAACTTATCTGAAGAACACTGGGGCACAAAATGGTTGCTGACTCCTCTGCCATGTCCACCCTGGATGAAACAAGGATTCCAGCAGCTGTACTGGATCTTGCATTGGTGCTGAAATGTGGTTGAGGATGGTGAGGCAGAAGATGGGATTTCCTTGGCTCTCAGGCAAGGTAGGCTAAGCTTACAGGGACCCAGCCAGTGTGGCTGGACCATGGGGTCCATCAGGGCATTCAGGGAGCCAGGACTCACATACCACTCACTCCCAATGACTGCGCTGACTTGGTGGCATGACCAGCTTGGTGCATGAAGGTTCTGTTTGTTAGACCAAGCCAAGTGCCAGGCAGTGGGCCACAAAAGGTCACCCTGTCTCGGGTTATATACATGGGGTATAGCCATCCAGCAAACTATTATTCAGCTGTAGAAATGAATGACAAACCATTTTCAAATAAATCATTAAGAGAAAAGCAAGGTGGGAACAGGATGTATAGCATGCTCTCTTTGACATAAGAAGATATAGGAATAAAAATATAAATGCCAATGCCAACGGATGTACAAGATACCAATAAAATGTTATTATTACCTTGAGGTTGTGTAGGAGGATGCTCTTTATCTGGATCACATGTTGAGGTCGAAGTCCTTCTCTGAGTGTGGCAAAAAGTGGAAAATGCAGGCTCTGGTGGAGGAGTCCCCACTTTGGGAGCTAGATGAGTCGTAACCTACTGGAAGCTATTTTCTTGTGATCCCTTCCCCACAGCAGGGGTAGAAATGTACTTTGTGAACCTGACCATAAACTGCTTGCTGTCATTAGTTTCAACTGAAATCAAAATGGTTTTGCAAGAAACCCAAAGCAGTGAAAAATGATGGAGCTAAACATCCTTGTATTGTAGATATTTCCTTTGGGGTGAAACAGGCTTGTGTGTGTTATTATTGTGGCTGCCAAAGTTCTGAAGCAAACTGTTTCCAAAAAGTATTGTGCATTTATAATGCAATTTGGAGGCGCTTATGTTTTTATTTGACAGGTGCATATTTCATGAGAACAACATTGAACGTGCCTTTAATCAGGATTTGTAGGGAATCGCTGGTAATCCTTTTATGTTTCTTCTTTATATTTCTATTTTATAAATTTGATTCACTGAACACACCACAAAAATTACTAAACAACTAAAAAGGACCGACAGTACAAGTGAGCTGAGTAAGAATACCAGCAAATGCTATATAGTGTGTGATTGTGTTCATGTACATATGTTTGTATGTATGTATACATATGTCTATTCATACATATATATATGTCAATATGTTACAGACATGTTACATATTGTTACAATAAACTGTGTTGGAGCACTTGACAATTAATTGGGAAAAAATAATTAGACCCTCACTTCTCCATGGAGTAACCCAATAGATTTCTATTATTACATAATAATCACAAATATAAAAACTGAAATCATAAAGCAATCTACAGGTAAATTTATATAAAATCTTGTACAGGAGATGATTGATTTCATAGCTCATTGCCTCAGTTTCTTTATATGATTAGATAATGATAGTGTCTACCTTATAGGATTGCTGTAGGAATTTAATAAACAATGTATGTAAAATCCTCAGAAAAGTGCCTGGCATGTGGGAAGTGCTATACAGTGTTAACTATTATGACTGTAGCTAAACATGGTACCAAATAGAGGAACTAAAATAAAATGATAGATGTAACTACATAAAATGCTAGAATTTCTGAATGTCAAAAAATAGCATATACAAAATAGAGTGCAAATGACACATTAAAAATTCAACCTAGATGACAGTAAAATATTCTATATGCATGGAGTTATTTCAAGTCAGTAAGAAAAAAGAGACAGACTTCTCAGAGGACACATGAGTCAATAGCCTTTCAATAACAAAAGAAAACATCTATATTAATTCATTCTTTCTACAAATATTTATCATGTATCTCTTATATCCTAGACTCTATCTGGGATGCTGGGATAGCAGTGAGCAAATCTAAACCCCTGCTGTCAAGGAACTTACTTTGTAGTGGCCAATAAGCACGTGGAACAAGGAGTTCAGTTCACACAGGATCAAGAAAGTTAAGTTAAAATAAAGGGTAACCATTTTTTTCCATGTATCCACGTAGCAAATATTTTTGAGTGACTTTATCCTATATTGGTGATGATGCAAGGAAATTAGCACTCTTACACATCCCTAGCAGGATGGGTAAGCACCAGTGCAGCCTGTCTGTAGGGAATTTTAGCCAATATGTGCTAAAAGATTTTGAAATGTGTTATTCCTACACCTCCACAACTTAACTCATAGGAACTTATTTTGAGGAATAATTAGAAATGAATAGAGAGATTTCTATCCAAGAACGTGTGCTAATTAATTCATTCATTCATTTACAAATATTTATTGATCAGTCCTACACCCAGGACACTGTTTTAGGTCCTGGGAATACAGCAATGATAAAAGCAGACAACGTTTCTGTTTGCGGAGAATTCGTACTAAAGAATGTGCATTTATTTGTGGGGAGGAGAGGAGGTCTAAATAGACAATAAACATATAAATATTAATATTGTGAAAGTGGTATGAAGAAAAATAAAGCATGATAAGGAGAGAGAGGTGTTCCCTGGCTCTCCAGAGGGCTGAGGTGGAAGAAAAGGACTCCTGTTTTAGGTAAGATATCAGAGAAGACCTCTCTGATTGACTGAAATGTATGCAAAGGCCTGCATGAAGCCAGGGACCATGCCGTGCTGACATCTGGGGGAGGATTATCCTCACAGAGGGGAAAGGAAGTGCAAATGCCGTGAGGTGGGAGGACCATGTTTGGTATGTTCAGGGAGGAACAGGGAGGCCAGTGGGGCTGGAGCAGGTTCAGCCATGGGAAGGCCAAAGATGAGATCAAAGAGAATAGTGGGAGATCACGTAGAGATTTATGGGCCATTGTGAGGATTGTGGCAGCATTGAGAAGACTGGTTGATGCTTAAAACAACAGCCATTTTATTTAATATCTCATGATTTTGTGGTCAGGAATGTGGACAGAGCTCAGCTGGGAGATTGTTCCACTCCATGTAGCATCAGAAGACAGGTCTCTTGGTGATATTCAGCTGGAGAATAAGTTAATATGCAGAGTTCAAGATGGTTTCACTCACATTGACACCTTGGCAGGGATGGCTGGAGGGCTGGGCTCAGCCAGATCAGTTAACTGGCGTGCCTGCATATGCACTCTCCACCATGGTGGTCTCTAGAATTGACTCAAATCTAGAATTGGCTGGAAGACATAGTGGGAGAAATAAACTTAGCAGCCACATTTAGTCTACCACATGGAGTAAGAGAGAAAGAAAGGAGTCAAAGGGGCCTAGTTTATTTCAATGTGATTTAAAATTGTGACAACATAGAAATAACCAAAATATCCAACTGAGAAAATGGCTAAATATATTATATAGGTTTACATTCACATAATAGAATAGATTTACATTTACATAATAGAATATTTGTGAATGTAAATCTGTGTAATAAGCCATTTGAGAATATCGATGAATGAGAGAAGATAATGCATGATATGCCTCTGTGTGTGTCCATGTATGTGTGTGTGTGGGGGAGTGCATGTTTGTATTTGTGTACCCATGAACATAGTTTTTACTCTTTTTAAAAGCTGTAGGCACTGGAAGGTCAGTGTTCAGCCATGACAGTGGAAGGTCAGTGTTCAGCCATGACAAGGCCCAATGTCATGGGCCCTCTGTCATCATCCTCTGTCCGTAGTGATCCCCAGACACTTTTGCATGGCTGTTTAGACAGAATTTTCCTGCAGCTCTTTTGGGAGTAGCTCTTGAAAGTTTAACCCCTGACAGTTAATGAAGAACAGTGAGGCTTAGGAGGCAGGTAGGCCTTTGAGCAAATAACTCTGAGCAACTGGTTGCCATTGTCAGTTCTCCTACCAAGTATGCGTTTGATTTTTAAAAGGATTCCCCAAAGTTCTATTTAGGACTACAGAGTCTCTAAGAATGTATTTCTGTTGTCAAGGTCAGGAGCAAGATCATCTCTGTGGACCTGTCGGTTTGAAGGAGTTGCAAGATATTCTCATCATTCATTGATTTATATACTCAAAAAACATATATTTGCATGTGCCAGGAAAAGGTAAGGAAAGGGAGCCTTCATGTGCCAGCCCCTGTGCTGAGCCCTGGAGCTGTAGAGATGAGTGAGGTGGATTTTTTGTCTGTAAAGAGTTTGCCGATGGGACCAAGTCTGTCATCTCTCTTTCCTGGCCTGACCGAGGACAAGCACTTCTTAGTAACCCTGTGAATACCTGGATGAACGAAATGAACGAATCAGTAGGAGAACCATTTGGGGATTAATTTGGGGCTCAAATCTGTAGCTCAAATTTGGATTGGGAAAAGGAAGCCTGAAATGTTCCATAGGTTTCTCTATAGGTCCAGTTTTTTGGGCGAGCTCTGAGAAGATCAGAGTTAATTTCTTCCAGTTCCTGCAGCTTCTCTTGACCAGAGCATGCCTGACTCTACAAAACAAACCACTAAAGGGTGATCACAGATAACCACAGTTGCCAGAGTTTGGGGAGTCTCTGTGCAAATTTTGAAAAGGTAACCTCTTTTTGTGAACAGATTGCAAAAAGATGTCCCTCCCTCTGAACTGGCTCAACCCACGTGAGGGATAGTGGCCCCTAGGCTAATTTAATTTCAGGCGGACTCACCCCCTTGACCTGTGGTTTTGTGCACAACTATAGGTGGCAGCCCAGGTGGCTTGGATTTTTCCAGTTCGTTGGTGACCTGCTGTGATCCTGTCTCTGTCCATCTGAATTCTGGACAGTGTGTTCCAGCCTGTGATTCCACCTCTAGCCTCAGAGCTTCGTCTGGCCAACCCTGAGTTTGAGGTTCATTCTCTTCTCCCCAGGGGCCTCCACCCCAGGCCTTGCCTTTGGGACCAGCCCTCCACACCAAGCCTGCAGGAGCTCCTTCACACCCCAGGAAAGGGAGCCTGCAGACAAGACCAAGACAGGTGCTTCCCTCCTCTCTTCTCTCCACAGAACAGACCAGATTCAGATCCATCTACTGGGACCCAGGAGGGAAAGAGGGCTGCGCTGACACTCTCCCCACAAAGCCACCATTATTATAATCATCACAGCACTTAGCAAGTAACCTGGAGTGCTGGTTTCACTGGGGTGAACAAGCCAGTCAAAGCCAGCATTCCAGCCCCTTTTTTGTTCCAAGTGCCGATTTGTTTCCCTGTGCTGTTGTGCATTCATTTCAGTTATTCCTTTAGACCAGAATTTAAGTTGCTTATTGATTTGGCCTGTCAATTGCCCAGTAATGCTTTAGGCAGGAGCCCAGATAAGAAAGAATTCCACTGCATCTTGCAGCACCCTCCCCCTTCAACCTCTGAGTTATTTCTACCTACAATTGCGATGTTTTAAACATCTTTGCTTTTAAATATTACTTTCCTTTTCCTACTTAAAGGCAATGCAATTTTCTCTTCCCAAGAACTCCTTTCATAGTCTCATTCCATGTTTTATTTCCTTCTCTATGCAAACTCATTTGTCAAAATTACACATTCAGCTCCTTCTGTGGAAGACTTAGGGATGGAGTAATGTTTAAAAAAATGACTTTGTGACTTAGAAAAATTTCCTCTCCTGTGAGTTTAAGCCTTTTTTTTTTTTTTTTATGCAGCCACCAATTAGAGAGATAGTGCAATTCAATAGATATTCATTGAGCACCTGCCATGTGTCAGCTGCTTACTAGGTTTGGATGCACCAATAAACAAAAGAAACAAATCGTTTCCGTCATGGTGCTTACATTTTCATGTGGGAGACAGAAAATAACCAATTAGCATAATAAATGAGTAGAGTTCATGGTATGCTAAAAGGTAGTAAGAGAAAACGCAGCAGAGAGAATGCAGATTGGAAATTCTTGCAGTAGAAGTGGTTAATAATTTTAAAGAGTAGGCCTCATTGAGGAAGTGATATATTGACAAAGACTTGAAAGAGATGAGAGAGATTTAGTCGCGTGGATCATGAAGGGTGGAGGAAGAAGGGAGGAGGGAAGACTTTCTAGTATACGGCCAGCCATTGCAAAGGCCCTGAGGCAGGAGCATGCTTGTAATGTTCAAAGAACAGCAAGGAAGCTAGGGGGCCTAGAGCTGAGTGTGTGAAGGAGAAAATGGGAGGAGAGTAAGTCAGGAATGTACCTGGAGACAAGAACTTGCAAGACTCGGCACAAGACAGGGATGCCCTCTCTCACCACTCCTATTCAACATAGTGTTGGAAGTTCTGGCCAGGGCAATCAGGCAGGAGAAGGAAATAAAGGGTATTCAATTAGGAAAAGAGGAAGTCAAATTGTCCCTGTTTGCAGATGACATGATTGTATATCTAGAAAACCCCATCGTCTCAGCCCAAAATCTCCTTTAGTTGATAAGCAACTTCAGCAAAGTCTCAGGATACAAAATCAATGGGCAAAAATCCCAAGCATTCTTATACATCAATAACAGACAAACAGAGAGCCAAATCATGAGTGAATTCCCATTCACAATTGCTTCAAAGAGAATAAAATACCTAGGAATCCAACTTACAAAGGATGTGAAGGACCTCTTCAAGGAGAACTACAAACCACTGCTCAATGAAATAAAAGAGGATACAAACAAATGGAAGAACATTCCATGCTCATGGATAGGAAGAATCAATATCGTGAAAATGGCCATACTGCCCAAGGTAATTTACAGATTCAATGCCATCCCCATCAAGCTACCAATGACTTTCCTCACAGAATTGGAAAAAACTACTTTAAAGTTCATATGGAACCAAAAAAGAGCCCGCATCACCAAGTCAATCCTAAGCCAAAAGAACAAAGCTGGAGGCATCACGCTACCTGACTTCAAACTATACTACAAGGCTACAGTAACCAAAACAGCATGGTACTGGTACCAAAACAGAGATATAGACCAATGGAACAGAACAGAGACCTCAGCAATAATGCCATATATCTACAACTATCTGATCTTTGACAAACCTGAGAAAAACAAGCAATGGGGAAAGGATTCCCTATTTAATAGATGGTGCTGGGAAAACTGGCTAGCCATATGTAGAAAGCTGAAACTGGATCCCTTCCTTACACCTAATAGAAAAATTAATTCAAGATGGATTAAAGACTTACATGTTAGACCTAAAGCCATAAAAACCCTAGGAGAAAACCTAGGCATTACCATTCAGGACATAGGCATGGGCAAGGACTTCATGACTAAAACACCAAAAGCAACGGCAACAAAAGCCAAAATTGAGAAATGGGATCTAATTAAACTAAAGAGCTTCTGCATAGCAAAAGAAACTACCATCAGAGTGAACAGGCAACCTACAGAATGGGAGAAAATTTTTGTAATCTACTCATCTGACAAAAGGCTAATATCGAGAATTTACAATGAACTCAAATTTACAAGAAAAAACAAACAACCCCATCAACAAGTGGGCAAACGATATGAACAGACACTTCTTAAAAGAAGACATTTTTGCAGCCAAAAGACATGAAAAAAATGCTCATCATCACTGGCCATCAGAGAAATGCAAATCAAAACCTCAATGAGATACCATCTCACACCAGTTAGAATGGCCATCATTAAAAAGTCAGGAAACAACAGGTGCTGGAGAGGATGTGGAGAAATAGGAACACTTTTTCACTGTTGGTGGGACTGTAAACTAGTTCAACCATTGTGGAAGACAGTGTGGTGATTCCTCAGGGATCTAGAACTGGAAATACCATTTGACCCAGCCATGCCATTACTGGGTATTTACCCAAAGGATTATAAATCATGCTGCTATAAAGACACATGCACACGCATGTTTATTGCAGCACTATTCACAATAGCAAAGACTTGGAACCAACCCAAATGTCCAACAATGATAGACTGGATTAAGAAAATGTGGCCCATATACACCATGGAATACTATGCAGTCATAAAAAATGATGAGTTCATGTCCTTTGTAGGGACATGGATGAAGCTGGAAACCATCATTCTCAGCAAACTCTCACAAGGACAAAAAACCAAACACCGCATATTCTCACTCATAGGTGGGAATTGATCAATGAGAACACATGGACACAGGAAGGGGAACATCACACACCAGGGCCTGTTGTGGGGTGGGGGGAGGGGGGAGGGATAGCATTAAAAGATATACCTAATGTTAAATGACGAGTTAATGGGTGCAGCACACCAACATGGCACATGTATACATATGTAACAAACGTGCACATTGTGCACATGTACCCTAAAACTTAAAGTATAATAAAAACCGACCCCCCCCCAAAAAAAAAAAACTTGCAAGACTCAAAGGCCATTGTAAGGGCTTAGGCTTTGGCTCTGCATGAAATGGGAAGCTGTTGCAGGGTTCTGAACAGAGAGTAAGATGAGTTGCTTGCATAAGAAGAAGATCACTCCAGCTACAGAGCTGAGAATAGACTGTAGGAGGCGATTGCAGATCCGAGATAGGGCAGATGGTGACATCTGCAAAGGGAGAGCTGGTTGAAATGGTTTGATTCTGGATATATTTTAAGATCCAGCCAACAGATTTGCTGGTGGATTGGTAGTGGAAGTGAGAAAAAGAGAGGAGTCTAGGCCTGGGCAACTGGAAGGATGAGATTGCTGCCAAGTGAGATGGGGAAGAATGTCGATGGAGCAGGTTTATTGGGGAAGATCAGCAGTTCAGTTTCAAACATGTTAAGTTTGAAACATTTGCTGGCTATCTATTAGACAACATGAGACAGTGGAAAGGCTTTGGAGTTAAACAGGCCTTCATTGCAATCACATCTGCACCATGATTAGTTCTGTGACCCTCAGAAAAATACTTACTGTCTCTGAGCCTCAGCTTTTATACTCTTAACATGGAGATAATTTTCTCCATTTACCCTGCACTGGGAGATTGAGATGAGGATTAAATAATAGAGTGTGTCCTGGAAGCAAAAGGAGTGAATCCCTGGTTAGTGTGCTTCCAGAAAGGCCAGGGATCAATCCTAATCTCAACTCGTAGACTCTCCTGGTTGACTCGAGGTAACTCCTTTTCCCACTCTGGGCCTGTTTTCCCATCCCTAAAACAAGAGAGTTGACACAATCAACCATTCAGTTTGTCTTGGCATTAAGGTTGCATGAGTGTGAGGATCTCAGGGTCAGATGGGCTCTGCCTTCCAGTTTGCTAGCGTCCCACCTCCTAATGGGAATTCACACACATGTGGGTATGCCTACACACACACACACACACACACACACACACACACACACACACACACAGCCTCGCTCAGGTCTGAAGGTTTTTCTCTTGTTTGGTTAGACTGGGTATGCCTGTACACACACACACACACACACACACACACACAGCCTTGCTCAGGTCTGAAGGTTTTTCTCTTGTTTGGTTAGACTGCTTCTCCCTGAGCATGCCAGTGCCTGCATCTGGCCAGACCATTTTTAATTTGAGACACACACATCTCCGTGCTGTTGATCTCCTTCCTCCCTGGCCGGTAGTCTGGGTAGCCCTGACCCTCTGTGGTGGCCGAACTAGATGGAGAAAGCAGTCTAGGCAGTCACCGTTAGCCCAGTTTAACCACAATCACTGCCAAGGGAATACTCCCCCGACCTCTTTGAAGCAGTTTCATTAAGAGAGGAGCTAAACATCCCCAGTCTGCAGTATCATCTTATTTACTCTGTTGCATCCAGGTCAGGAGAGAAACAACAGGTTTCACTCCTTCCAGTGTTCTCAAACCTGCATGCCTGGGTCTCCGTCTGTGTCCCCTTAGCCCCTCCCTTGGAAGAGCCTGCAGCACAGCCTGGTGGTCCTTTCATGCTGGCTTCTGCGATGTATCCCTCCCACCAGGTTTGCTCATCCGCCTTGTGCAGAGGTGTGGCCAAAACTGGCACCTGCATGGCCATTTTGGGGGAGTGAATCTTTTTAATGCTAGTTGATTTCCTTGCAAACCATATTATGCTTCTGTGATCCAATTTTGTAAAGAGCCTGATGTTTCTTTACTGTTCTGTTATAGCGATTGTTGACATTAACCTGACCTATCTACTTTTATTTTTAACTGCCTCTATATACTCTTCCTTGGTAATGGCCTGTTTTCTTTTCAGCTTGTTAAGTCTACTTGTTTCTAAAATACTGCTTGACCTGAACTTTCTTGTGTACTTTATTGTCATTTTTACTCTCCCTCATTTTACTCCCTGACATTGTCCCTGACCATTCATTTATGATAGCATTTGCCACACTGTATCAAAATGGACTGTCTTCCTCATCTGACGGTAAGGCAAGAATTGGGTACCAGCCATCTCTGTGGATGAAGCAGCTAGTTGAGGGGCAGAAACCCCTTGGGAGCTCAGGGGACACTTGTAGAATGAATAAATAAGTGAAGAAATTAATAAATGAATAATCATACTAAAGAAAAGATGATTGAGAATTTACTTATGCTTTTACCCAGGAAAATGTGTAAACGTATTAGTTCCTTTGTGTCTTTCTAAACCTTAGTCCACCTTATAATACACAGAAGATTCTGAAAGCCAGGTTCTTTTTCTGACACAGATAACTCCTGGGTCAGAAAACTCCAGACTTGCAAGTTCCAGAGAACTCTGGGGCAGAAAGCCATCCCAACCAGGGCAGGCAAAGCCCCAGGGAACTCAAGCCACAGCATTTTCTGGCCTCTGGGGAAGGATGGCCAATTGGATATTCTCTGAGCTTCATCCTCCTATTGTGAGAGAGAGTTAATTGATTGACTCACCGATGCATCCCGTCAGTCAGCAGCTGTTTACGGAACACCAGCTGCAGGCCAGGCACCGTGCTGCAAGGCGTAGATATGTTGCTGAACACGACTCCCTTCCAGATGTTCAGGATTTAACAGGCAAGTAAACAGAGGGTCCAGAGAAGGCACTCAGCACTGCCTCATGACATCAGGGAGGATTGCTCAGAGGAAGTGATGCCTAAACTGAGATGAGTCAAAATGAGGAGAGGGAAGGGTGGAATTGTTAATGGAGAGAAAGTGCGCCCCTGCCAGATTATCTAGGGACAAAGGCCCAGGAGGGAGAACTCATGCAGATGCTCCAACAGGCACTTACCCCAGCTGGATCGTAGTGTAATGGATAGAGGGGTAAACAAGAGCTGATTTCCTAGCGGTCCTGAGTCTCGACAGGTTGCCACGTCAGGAGTATTGATCTTTTTCTGGAAGCGATGGTGAACCTCTGAAGAGTTTTAAGCAGAGAGGTGACAGGATCAGAACTGCATTTTATATGCTCACTCTGGCTGCTGGGTAGAGGAGACAAAAGTGAAAGCAGAATGGAGGAGGCAGGCGGGGAGGGAGCTGCTGGGGTCATCTAGGCAACAGAAGATTGTGGCTGGACTAGTGTGGCGAGGGTGTGGGCGCTGGAGAAAAGTGGGCAGGTTCAGGAGATCTTTAGAAGGTAACATCGACAGGCCTTGGCAATCTGTTACATCAGGGGTTGGCAAGCAGTTTTCTATGCATCAAATGTGGCCCACTGCCTAGTGTTGTAAGTTTTCTCGGAACATTCACGCTACAACGGTAGAGTTGAGTAGGGTGAATGTTCCAATAAACAGAGCCTGCAAAGCCTAAAATGTTTACTGTCTGGTCCTTTACAGAAAATATTTGTCTGCCCCTGGGTTAGGTGCAAAGCACTGTGGGAAGTGAGGTTACAGAAAGATTTGAGGTTGCCACCTAGATTGTGGAGGTTGGTGCGTGTTGCTGAGATGGAAACCCAGGAAGTGGAGAAGGGGATAACCCAGTCTTTGCAGCCATGCCTCAGCCTGCCATTCTACCGGTTTTTAACTGAGCCCTGCCACTTTGCCTGGCTGGCTCTTCACAGCCTTCTCCTCTGGGAAAATGGCCCCTCTTCTTCCTTCTCTGTCCAGCTGTAGCTCTGCTAACACTTGACGGTCCTTCCAAAACCTTGACCTTGCTTTCACCGGGCCACAGGATCACTTGCTGCCCCCCATCACCTTGACCAAGGGACGGGTCTCTTGGCTGGGACCCACCTTCCTGCGTCTTTCTATGTGTGTGTTACCCCCATCTGGGACTCCAGAACCGGATGCAGTCATTTTATCAGCTTTGCACCAGTCGGTCCTTTTTCCCTGTGTATTAGACCATTCTCACGCTACTATAAACATACTACCAGAGACAGGGTAATTTATAAAGAAAAGAGGTTTAATTGACTCACAGTTCTGCATGGCTGGGGAGGCCTCAGGAAACTTACAATCATGGCAGAAGATGAAGGGGAATCAAGGCACGTCTTACATGATGGCATGATGGCAGGATGGCAGGAGAGAGAGAGAACAAACGAGGAGCTGCCAAACACTTATAAACCCATCAGATCTCTTGAGAACTCACTATCATGAGAACAGCAAGGGGGAAACTGCCCCCATTATGCAATCACCTTCCAACAGGTCCCTCCCTCGACATGTGGGGATTACCATTCGAGATGAGATTTGAGTGGGGACACAGAGCCAAACCATATCACCTTTCTTCGCCCAACCCCTACCCCCACCCCAGCTTTGTTGCTGAAGCCCTAGAAGCCTTTCTGTCCACCCGAGCCTGCTCCAGTGGGCTGAGTAGCACCTGGGCTGCCACTGCCCTTTGTTCTTCCTCTCCCTCCCTCCATCCCCTGGAGCAATGGTAACTTGCAGGGACATTGGGTGCACTGTCTCTTTTGGAGGCCAGGAAACAATCCCTGCTGTCTCTTTCTAAGCAGGTCACCTTTGGTGGGTGTGTAAATCCACTTTTCTGCTTGCCAAAGTGACATTTTCATGATACCCAAAGTTATTAAGTGGCATCTTTGGACACTTTCTTTTTAACCAAAGTGGAGTAGGCTGGGAAATGTCAATAGTGATAATGTACAGTTACGTCTCCAATACCCTTTTGATTGAACACATGATTGAAATAGTGCAAACTGCAGAGCCCTTTGCAGGGAATTGCCAGTTAAAGAATTTGTTCAGACTCACGGGTTTTTGACTGTAAACTCTGAGTGTTTTAAATAAAATACTGGCTGCCATGGCCCTCCAACCGGAAATGTCAAATGCTCTGCCTGGCTCTGCAACCCACATAGGCAGGCTCAATGCTTCTCCAACTTGGGAGCCCAAACTGCCCTCAGTCAGAAGCATAGAAAGAGTCTATCTTGCTGGGTGCGGTGGCTCACGCCTGTAATCCCAGCACTTTGGGAGGCCGAGGTGGTGGATCACGAGGTCAGTAGTTCAAGACCAGCCTGGCCAAGATGGTGAAACCCCGTCTCTACTAAAAATACAAAAAATTAACCGGGCGTGGTGGCACGGGCCTGTAATCCCAGCTACTCCAGAGGCTGAGGCAGAGAAGTGCTTAAACCTGGAGGGGCGGAGCATGCAGTGAGCTGAGATTGCGCCACTGCACTCCAGCCTGGGTGACAGAGTGAGACTCCATCTCAAAAAAAAAAAAAAAAAGAAAGAAAGAAAGGGTCCGTCTTGCCATTTTGAGACCACTGTGCTGATAACGGGGTTGTATCATCCCCCACATAGGAGAACCTGCTCTGATAAGTGTGGACAGAAGTTTGAATGGAAGGAAGGAGGGAAAGTAGGGAGGCAAGCAGGATCTGGTGAAATCAGAACTTAGATCATGGGGTAGTCACCCAGTCAGTGTCCTTCAATTCAAACTTGGGCTACAGGCTACAATTTCTCCCAGTCTGAGACCAACAGATGCCAGCTTATTCTCACCACAACACTGTCTAATGCCCCCTCTTTATTGCCAAGGACAATCCCTCTCTGGAGCTCAACAGCTTGTGTCCTTCCAGAAAAGCTCCTATCTATGGAGGAAGGGTATCTTATCCAGACCATCATGGGCAGGGAGTTGGAGGTTGGGTGGGTGGGGGGTGGACTCATGCCACTGTGGAAGGCCCCTAGTGGCCAGGGTGCTTGCCTTGCCCAGTGCAGGCTGGGCTTGTGCAGCCAGGGGCATTCCTTTGACCTTCCTGCTGGCCCCTCCTTGGCTAGATGCACCTTGTTTCTCTTACTTCCATCTTCCTGTGGGCACCCTGCTCACTGTACCTCCTACACCTTGTTGCCCAATTCCTACAACATTAATTAGTTGTTAATTAATTCATTCTGTAATTTGACAAATATTTGTTGAGCTAAGGTGCTGGACATTGGGAATAGGATGGCAAACAAAACAGACATGGGTCCTGCTCTTATGGAGCTTATATTTTAATGGAGACATATATGCCAAAAAAAAAAAAGGCTATCAATTGTGTTTAGATGTTAAAAAAAAAAAAAAACAAAAACTTATCTCTAGTGTTAGAGGTCAAGGTAGGCATTGCCTTAGGGGACTTAGTAACTGGAAGAGGTATGGGTGAGCTTCTGGGATGCCCGAGAAGGCAGAGAATGTTTTATTGCTCCAGGTGGTGTTTACACAGGTGTGTTCAGTTTGTGAAAGTTCATAGAGATTGTGCTATGTGCAAGTTCCTGGATAGATACCAAACTTTGATTAAAAGCTAAACAACTAATTAAAAAGTTAATTAATTGTAATCATGATGAGTGCTATGAAGGAGAAGAATACAGTATGGGAATGCATGAGAAGTGGACCTTGCCTGAGAGGTGAAGGGGGCTTTCCTGAGAAAGGTGCATTTTATATGGGCTCGAAAGGACAAGGGAGAGATGTTGGGGCCAACAAGAATGTGAGGAGAGCATTCCAGGCATGTGCCAGGGCCCTGGAGTAAATGAGAGCATGGCCTGTGGGTGGAAGCTGGGGGAAGACCCATGTGGCCACAGCAGAGAAGGTAAGGGGTGAGGGTTCTTGGTGGGTGGTGAGGCCAGAGGGTGGCCAGCAGAGGCCAGGGCAGGGATAGTTTTCTTTATGCAAAGAGTAATGGGAAAACAATGAAGGATGTGCTATGGTCTGAACGTTTGTGTCCACCCCAAAGTTCATATCTTGAAACTTAAACCCCATGGTGATGGTATTAAGAGGTGGGACCTTTAGGAAGCAATTATGTCAGGAGGATCCCACCCCCATGAACGGGATTAGTGCCCATGTAAAAGAGGTTTGAGGGAGCCCCCGGCCTCTTCTGCCCTGTGAGCATGCATAAAGTCACCATCTATGAGGAACAGACCCTCGCCAGACATCATATATTCTGGAGTCTCAGTCTTGGACTTCCCAGTCCCCAGAACTGTGAGCAATGAATTTCTGTTGCTAATAAATTACCCTGTCTATGGTATGTGGTTATAACAGCTCAAACGAATACAGGAGAGCACCAGGCTCTAACTCAGGTGTTAATGAGATTCTCCTGGCTGATATGTGGGACACAAGCTGTGGCTGCCAAGAGGCGAAGTGGGAAGACCAGTGAAGGGGCTGGGGCATTCTTTCCAGGGGAGGTGAGGGCATGGCTTGGACAAGGGTGTGGGAAACTAAGATGGAAAGAAGTGAATGACTGCCCCGGGGCAGTGGGGGTTGGGGTCCTCTTCCTGGATCATCTACCAAAGTTGCCCCTCAGCCTTCTTGGATAGCAGTTTGGCAACATCTAGTCAAGAGCTCTCAAAACAGTCACATCCTCTGATCCAGTAATTCCACTTCTAGAGATCTGTTGTAATAGAAATCTGAACTACGTGAACAGTTTCATTCACAAGGGCACTTGGATTAGTTTTCTCTTGCTGCTGTAGCAAATTACCACAAACGTAGTGGTTTGAAATCATACAAATTTATTATCTTACAATTCTGGAGATCAGAAGTCTGAAATGCATCCTACTGGGCTAAAATTGATGTGTTGGCAGGATGCATTCTGTAGTATCTAGAGGCGAATCCATTTCCTTGCCTTTTCCAGCTTCTGGAAGCTGTACGCATTCCTTGGCTCATGGCCTCTTCCTCGAGCAATGCAGCATCTTCAACTCTCTTCCTCTTCTCTATCCTTCTTTCCTATTTAGAAAAATGCAGACAGAAACAAATAAGTGTACATGATTCAACTACCAAGTACAATAAATAGGAATTATTATTTCCCTGTCATCTTATTTGTTCATCATTGTTCATGCTTTTTACACTTGTTATGCAAAGCGTAATACTTTTGAAATTTGCCCAGCTTTCTACCAAATATTACAGCATCAGCATGGGCCATGTTCTAAGAGTTCTTTATAAGCATTTTAATGGCAGCACATGCAATGTGTGGGGAGAGATTATTTAACCATTTTCTTCTGTGGGGGGCTTAGGTTGTTGCAGTGCTGAACATTAGGGTGGGCAGAATAACCCACCCCCACCCCCGATAAAAAATGTCTATGTCCGTGTTCTAATCCCCAGAATCTGTGAATATGTTGCCTTACACTGCAAAAAAGGACTTTATAGATTAAGTTAATTAAGTTAATTAAAGCAATTAAGTTAAAGATCTTGTGATGGGAAGATTAGCTTGGATTATTCAGGTGGGCCCAATGTATCACAAGGGTCTTTATAAATGAAAAATAGAGTCAGGAGGAAGAGGGGAAATCTTCTCTCTCCTCTTCCTGTCTCTTTTTTTCCCTCTCCCTCTCATATTTAGTTGTAGGCAGAAAAGTTTAGAAACCAATGAGATAGGTGACCAATTCAGGTACCAAGAGATATAAAGATGACAAATAATGTGAATTTCCTTGGAAAATCTTTGGCTACATTTTCTGGAGACATCTAAATGTAGGAGTAAATGGCTTATTAATTATGAGCCTCTCACCTTGGTAATTAAGCAATAAAGACCCATCAGGCAGTGCATTTGTGGGCGATTAGATCTGTGTTTGGTGGAGTCAGAAACTTGCAGCTGAAGATTAAGTGGTTTTCACTACCTGAGAGATGCATTAATCACCTGGAGCTCCCCTGGCTGGTGGATTTGGTTGCTGATTTGGAATGGCATTTACACATTAAAGTGAGGAATATCCTTATGTGCCGAGGAGAGCTCTGGAGTGAAGGGTAGTTACTCAGCAGGGACACGGCGGGTTTCCAGGTGTGACATCCTGACTCAGTACAGCATCTGTCCAAGGGTCACCTTTGTGCTACTGTCAAGGAGGTACAGATGGGAGAGATGCCCCAGACACTGACGACACACACTGGCGACACACACTGGCTGTCCTGCCAGGTATAAGGACTGGATGTCCTTCCAAAGGACAGAGGGAGCCATGTGGGGTAGCAGAAGCCTGTCTGCTTTAGAGACAGACCTAAATTTATATACTAGCTTCATTCTTTCTATAAAATGTTGGGCAAGTTACTTAAACCTTCTGGTCTTCAGTGTCTTCTTCTGTAACATAGACTTAGTAGT
Source organism: Homo sapiens (assembly GCF_000001405.40). Taxonomy (NCBI): domain Eukaryota; kingdom Metazoa; phylum Chordata; class Mammalia; order Primates; family Hominidae; genus Homo; species Homo sapiens. The sequence continues at coordinate 42,569,937 of NC_000020.11, read as the reverse complement.
TTGCAATAGTCAGCTATTGCTATGTAAGGAACCGAGCACAAAATATCAGTGACATACAACATGAATACACAAATAAATAAATGAACATTTATTTAGCTCATAAATGTGGCTAAATGATGATAAACGTCTTCTTGGGGGAACTTTTGAGACCTTGAACACAAGTCATGCTAACTGAGGGCCAAGTGATCTTGTGTGAAAGAATCAGGCTAAGAGCCCTCTGCCTCTTTCTGCCTGGAGCATAGCATGGCTCTGGTGCAGAGAGCTCTGAATGGAACCCATTCTCATTTGGCATCTAGGAGTTCTGCCTCCCTGGGTGCTCTCAGAAAGTGCATGGACTGGTGAGGGTGAGGCTGGTGGAGAGGAGCAGGCAGGAGTGAGTTTATAGACAGGGTGCAGACTCAGGCATTTGGCTGATATTCACGTGATAGCAACAATCATTAGTTGATTCATTACAGGCCTTCCAGAGATTCTGTGGCTCCCCAAATTTTGTATGACTTTTATCATTTCATGCCTTTATTCAACAATTATTTATTATGCAGCTACTGCGTGCAGGACTCTGTGATGTACACTTTAGATACGAAGAAGAATAAGGCAGGACTGTCCCTGCCCTCAAATGGCTTGCAGTCTATTGGGAAAGGAGACATTGAGCATCTAATTTCATAGTGAAGTATTTACTCACAGTAACTTTTGACTAACATTTCTGAGCCTATTTTATCATCTTTGAAATTGGAATCATAGTAGTCTCCTCCTAGGGTTGTAAGGGTTGGGTGAGCTATGCTGTGTAAAATACTTAGAGCAGTACTGGCATGGCATGAAAGTTGAAATTATATATATATATATATATATATATATATATTTTTTTTTTTTTTTTTTTTTTTTTTTTTTTTTTTGAGATGGAGTCTTGCTCTGTCGCCCAGGCTGGAGTGCAGTGGCACGATCTCGGCTCACTGCAACCTCCACCTCCCGGGTTCAAGCGATTCTTCTGCTCAGCTTCCCAAGTAGCTGGGACTACAGACATCTGCTATCACTCCTGGGGAGTTTTTGTATTTTTTAATAGAGACAGGGTTTTGCCATATTGGCCAGGCTGGTCTTGAACTCCTGACCTCGTGATCCACCCACCTCAGCCTCTCAAAGTTCTGGGATTACAGGCATGAGCCACCGTGCCTAGCCGAAATAATTCTTATTCCCAGATGAATCCAGGACAGTTGAAGCATCCTGGGTTTAGCAGCTCAGACAGCTCTCTGTAGGCCAGGAGGGTCACCTCTGACCCCAAGTCCCAGCTTCAACAACTGGACTTCAGTTTATGGAAGTTTGTTTGAGTTCTGGCATTCAGCTTTTATTTGAGAGCCAACCCAGAGGGGCATGGAAGAAATTGAATTTATTTTTATGACAGTTCTTAGCACAGCCTGGCGATCAATCATATGTCAAGATGCTGTTTTGAAAAGAAGCAGGTTATAGGTGGACTTCGGAGACCTAGCTCCACTTACGAAGTGAGCAGTGGTAAACACATCACTTGTTCTCTCTGCTCCTCAATTTTCTCACCTGTAAAGTGGAGGATAATAATACCAACGTTGGAGTATTTCACTACTGGGATTCAGTGAAATAATAGGAGTGAAAGCCCCCAACACATGTTTGCCTGGCAGCCAGTAGGCATTCAAGAAACGCAAACTCAGCCGGGCGCGGTGGCTCACGCCTGTAATCCCAGCACTTTGGGAGGCAGAGGCAGGTAGATCACAAGGTCAGGAGTTCAAAACCAGCTTGCCCAAGATGGTGAAACACTGTCTTTACTAAAAATACAAAAATTAGCCGGGCATGGTGGTGGGTGCATGTAATCCCAGCTACTCGGGAGCCTGAGGCAGGGAATTGCTTGAACCCAGGAGGCGGCGGTTGCAGTGAGCCAAGATCGTGTCACTGCACTCCAGCCTGGGTGACAGAGCAAGACTCCGTCTCCAAAAAAAAAAAAAGCAAAAAAAAGCAAACCCACACCTATAATGTCTTTGGTCTTTGGGTGTTCAACAGATGGCATTGAATTGACTATTTAAGCCATTTTGCCTCATCAATACTAATTAAGACAGTCAGAATCATGAGACCAAGTGCCATGTATCAATGCATACACTCCAGGCCACCAGGAAAATATATCACAATTATAAAACAGGTCTGTTGTTCAATAAATACTTTGCAACTGATTAATCATCCCCTACATCTGTGCAGTGCTTCAGAGTTAATGAAGCAGTTTTATTCTGGTTGGTATAGTGAATGTTCACAACAAATAGGTGAGGCTGGCATTAACTCATTGGACAAATATTTCTGAACACCATGAGGAATGTTGTAGCTGTGAAGCAGACAAGGCTTCTGACTCAAGGAAGACTTCAATGTGGCTTGGGAAATAGGCAGTTCTATGAGTTACTTCTCTTGGGTGTGATCGAGGAAGAAAGTGTACAGTACCTCACCCCCTGGTAATCACAGGAAGCTTCTTAATGGAGATAATGTCAAAGCCAAGTCTTAAAATGTGACTAGGAGCTTTACAGGTGAAGAGAAGTGCATTTGTTAGGGTAGGCGTGGCTGCAGTAATAAATAGACCCAAAGGCACAATGGCTCAATACAGCTATTTTAAAAATCGTTTTTTTTCTCTCTCTCTCTCTCTCTTTTATTTTTTTTTGTTTGAGATGGAGTTTCACTCTTGTTGCCCAGGCTGGAAGTACATTGGCACCATCTTGGTTCACTGCAGCCTCCACCTCCTGGGTTCAAGTGATTCTCCTGCCTCAGCCTCTTGAGTAGCTGGGATTACAGGCACCTGCCACCATGCCCGGCTAATTTTTTGTATTTTTAGTGGAGATGGGGTTTCACCATATTGGCCAGGCTGGTCTCGAACTCCTGACATCAGGTGATCCACCTGCCTCGGCCTCCCAAAGTGCTGGGGTTACAGGTGTGAGCCACCACACCCTGCCTAAAAATTATTCTTAATAAACATTTACTTTTGGAATAAATTTAGATTCATGGAAAAGTTACGAAGATAATATAGAGAGTCCCCATCTACTCTTTATTCAGTTTTACCAAATAGTAACAACTTACATTGCCATGGCACATTTGTGGGTTACTGTTAACACCAGATTTTGTTGAGGTTTAATCAGTTGTGTTTTTTTCCTACTTACATGCTTTTTCTGTTCCAGGATGCAATCAAAGATACCTCATTGCATTCAGTGTGGTATGTTGGATTGGCAACAGGAGCAATAGTCCTTTACTTGGTCACTCGGTCACCTAGGTGGACAGCAGCCCTGACTTACATCCTCAGTGCATGGCTTCCAAGTTTGTCCTGCTCATTTCCACCCCAGCAAGCTGAAAGAGAGAATGTGCCTGGAGGAACACCTGCAAGGCACTTTAGGGCAGGGCCTGGGAGTCACAGCCATCACTTCTGTTCCCATTTCATTGGTGAAAACTAGTCTTGAGGTTCTGAATCTTCTGCTCAGTTTTGCTGTGAACCTAAAGCTCCTCTTAAAAACGTTAAAGTCAGCTGGCTGCGGTGCCTGTAATCCCAGAACTTTGGGTGGCCAAGGCAAGAGGATCACTTGAGCCCAGGAGTTCAGGACCAGCCTGAGCAACAAAGGGAGAACCCGTGTCTATGAAAAATACAAAAATTAGCTGGGCATGGTGCTGCACACACGTAATCCCAGCTACTTGGGAGGCTGAGGTGGTAGGATCACTTCAGCCCGAGAGGTTGAGGTTGCAGTGAGCCATGATTGTACCACAGACCTCCAGCCTGGGTGACAGAGTGAGACTCTGTCTCAAAAGAGAAAATAAATAAATAAAATTGAATCTATTTTTTTTTAATTATACTTTAAGTTTTAGGGTACATGTGCACAATGTAAAAAAGCCTTGTCTTGAAGCCACACATAGCCAACATAGGGTAGGAAATATACTCTCTAGCTGAGTAGCTGCTTCCTAGCTACAGCCCTGTGTGATGGAAGGTGAGAGTGAATTTGGGAGAGAGCAAGTCGTCTCTGCCATAAGGAGGATGTAGGAGTGTATATGAAGCAGAGAAAATTGCATTAATAAAAGCAGGGAGGAAGGGCAAGTGGTAATATTGCCCTTTGGAAGGCAGGAAGGTTACAGGACCCAGCTGGGACTGCACAGCTGTTAAGCAGTGCTGCAGGAGCTCAAACCCCACTCCCTGCCCCGGCTCCCACACCAATGCGCTCATCCCCTTGATCCAAAGGCCTTCAGACCCACAGGCTGATCTGCAGGAGAAGCCATAGAGATGTGTTTAATCTCATAAATTTCTTTAATGGCATTTTTATCAGAAGTTTTACAACTGTTTAATTTAAAAGTTAGGCTTTTCCCCAAATTCGTTCATTCTACCTGAAAAGAGCAAGTGGTGAGAGAGCTTACGAGATCCTCTAAGGGCCCTCATTGATTTGCTTTTCCCACCAGGCTCTGGGCTGCATCTGTGCCCAGAGGCTCAGTCACAGCTGGGCATGAGAAAAACGTGTGTGCATCAGAGGCAGTGTGTCTGCCTGTCATCTCCTGTGTGATGCTGGTGTCTGTTTATTTCTGGCCGGATGGAATATAATTGCTCCCTGGGCTGACAGTGACAAATGGTGGTGTGGGGAGTATTCCTCTGAGTGGTGGGATGCACTTGTGCACCTAGGCGGACAGAAGCAGGCCCTGTCACACAGCAACGTGGGGTTTGCTTCTCAGTTTGAGGCCTCCCAGGCATGGAGAAAGTTCCAGGTGGGTGGGCTGTGAGCTGCCTTGGGGACTAGTGTCTGTGTCTTTTGAGATGTGAAGGGCAGCCAGGGATATTTCAGGCCCCCTTCTTCTCGGGTGCTGTCTTCATGTCCCAGCTCTAACACGAAGGACCCGGGGCGCCAGAACACCAGGGCACTAATTGCAGCTTGATTTACAGTGGAGGACTGTCTGATTCCTCTGCAAAGCCATCAGAATGGAAATACGGTTGACCCTCAGTATCCTCAGGAGATTGGTTCCGGCACCCTCCTTGGATACTAAAATTCTTGGATGCTCAAGTTCTTCATATAAAATGAGGTCGTATTTGCATGTAATTTATACACATCCTCCTGTATACTTTAAATCATCTCTAGGTTACTTACAACACCCAGTGCAATACAAATGCTATGTAAATAGTTGTTTTACTGTATTTCTTTATTTGTATTATTATTATTTTTATTTTGCTTTAAGTTCTGAGATACATGTGCAGAACGTGCAGGTTTGTTACATAGATATACATGTGCCATGGTGGTTTCCTGCACCCATCAACCCGTCATCTAGGTTTTGAGCCCTTCATGCATTAGGTATTTGTCTTAATGCCTTAATGCTCTCCCTTCCCTTGTCCCCCCAACAACCTCCTGACAGGCCCCAGTGTGTGATGTTACCCTCCCTGTGTCCATGTGTTCTCATTGTTCAACCCCCACTTATGAGTGAAAACATGCGGTGTTTGGTTTTCTGTTCCTGTGTTAGTTTGCTGGTATTTTACTGTTGTATTGTTATTTCTAATTGTTTTTTCTTCAAATATTTTCAGTCCATGATTGGTTGAATCTGCAGATGCAGAACCTGCAAATATGGAAGGCTGGCAATAGCTGTATTGGGCTTTTCTGCTCTTATTCTAAAAGTAGCCCACATCTTTTGGGAAAAGTCTGGGCAATGTGGAAGAGTGAAAGGAGAAAGCAAAGTTGATCCCAAATATTTCTAGCCAGACCTAATCATGTTAGAATTTTGCTGTTTCTTTCTGTGAAGGAGACTAGGCGGTTGCTGGGTATACAGCAAGGCTACACCTCTCAGCCCCTTTGCAGTTAGGGGTTACCCTGTGGTTATGTTTTAGTGGTATTTGGGAAGAAATGAGTCACCTCCAGCCCTGGCCCTGTAAACACCCCACCCCCACTGTTTCTTCCCTCTTCTGATGGTGAGATACAGAGGGTCCAGAGGGGGACTTCAAGACTCTTTGGGACAGTGGAGCCACCGATAGAAGGAGCCTGGGCTTTTCAATGACAAAGTGAAGCAGAGCCACCCTGCAGATTCATTTTTGACTGTGACACGAGCGAAAAAGAAATCTTTCTTGTGTTAAATCTTTGAGGTTACTGAGGTTCACTTACCCTGAATAGAACACCTTCCAAACACTTGCCGTGGGCATGTGTGTGCACACACGCACATGCACAATAATGGAATCATATCTTGACTTATTTTTTGCAACCTACTTCAGTCTCTCAAAAAGGATATGAACAGCTCTCCATGATAAAGACATATTTATCCAATCACCTTAATGGCTGCATATAATTCCATTATATGTATGTACCCTACTTTACTTCATGATTTTCCTATTTCTGGGCATTTGGGTTGTTTCAGGTTTTAAATTTTTATGCACTTCTGTTATGAACAGGCTGGTACATATCTTTGTGTATATATACAACCATTTCCTTGGGACATCTTCCTAGAAATTGAATTACTTGGCCACATTTATATGGTGTTTGATCATCATAGGAATATCTTCTTGGAAAAGAGGTATTGATTTATAATTCTACCAAGAGCATATGAGAGGTCTAATTTCCCAAAACCATCAATTGTCTGAAAACTAATCTGATTAGTAAAAAATAATAGCTTGTTTTAATGTGTTATTCTTTGTTGATTGATTATGTTGAGCAACTTTTTCTTGCTTATTGGACCTTTATATTACCAGTTGCTACTTCTTTATGCATTTTTTTCTTTGGGGAGCTTTACACATCTCTTATTATTTTGCAAGAGCCCTTTGCGTATTAAGGATAATATGTGTTTTTCGACACATTAGTAGTAAAGAATAAACTAAATAAATTTATTTAGTTTTTAACAGATTTGTCTTCTTTATACTCTTTTTATATAGAGATGTTTTTAATTTTTATTTCAGTCTTTCTTCCTTGCTTTTAACCTTATTACACTTTTAGGCAACCAAAGCAAGAATATGAAAAGATACTTCAGATTTTCTTCTAGCACTTTTATTGTTTTGTTTTGTTTTGCCTTCGAGTTTTTAATCTTTCTAGAATATATTTCTGTATAAAGGGGATGTAATCATCTGACTTTAATTTATTCTGAAGGCCAGGAAGATAGAAGGAGAATAAGGCATATTCAAAGCACTAGAAGCTGAGGATGGCTGGCCTGTAGCCCTGGAGGAGATGTTTAGCCCTGAGCCTGGAGGGATTGTCAGGGCTGAGTGATGAGGGTGATGGACTCCATGTAGAACCTGCTGAGCCTCAGGTGCCTCTGGGCATCAAAATGTGCTGATGAGGAACTTAAGTGTGGAATGAATTTTGGTGCTTAAATCCCTGGTACTGGACCATGGAATAAACGCAGGAGAAATGAATGCATATTTCTATAAACATTCCCACATAAGAATGTTGGTAATAGCTTTATTTGTAATAGTCTCCAAATGAAAACAACCCAAATGACATCCAAAGTAGAATGGATACATTGTTGTATTGTACTGCTACAGTGGAATACTATTTATCAACAGAAAGGGACTGGCTATCTGTACACTCCATAATGTGAATTAACCTCAAAACTTATATGTTGAACAAACAAAGCTGGACGCAAACAGTATATACTGTAGGATTCCATATATATGACATTCACAAACAGGCAAAACTACTCATGTTGATGAACTCCAAAACAGTGGTTCCCTATGGGGGTGTGGCATTACCTAGGTTAGGGAACAAGATAATTCTGGAGGGCTGGAAATGTATTCTCTATATTGGGTTGGATGACAGGTATGTGAATGTATAGAAATTCATTAGGCTGTACACTTAAGATTTGTTTATTTTACTGAATGCAAATTACAGCTCAGAAGAAAATAGTGGGAAAGGATTAAAATATTCAACATTAGTTTACAGACGAAGCAACTGAAACCCAGAAGGTGAGGTGACTGGCTCTGAGTTAATGTTTTAGACCAAGGCTGCCTGATTTCAACGCTGGAGCCAGGGGAGAATAAAACTGTGATTTCCTCCATCACCAATCGGATGGAGGTACAGCTAGCTCTAGGTTCCATCCCTGAGAGGGTTTTGGGGGGAACAACAGCCAGTATGAGGGTTACAGTCAATGAGGCAGCAGTCCCAACAGAAATCTAGCACAAATGTGGAAACTGAGGCAGAAACTCCATTTTATAGTTTTATGCTCTTCAGCGGTGCGTGTCAGTGTGAACTGGCAGCACCTGCTTACTGGGGGCCAGGAACAGAGTTCTCCTGATCCCTCACTCCTTTAGCACATCTAGCTTGGCAAAGGCAAGCAGCATGACCAAGTGTGGAGATCAGCATTCTAAGCCCACACCCTGACTCCATGAAAAACCAGACCTGGCAAGAACCAAACAGCAGTACACACAGTTCCATAACTGGAGAAGCCATGCCAGGATCTAAATATAATCTAGGAGAACTTTAAACACAGCTTCACAGGGACACACCTATGGGATCATTTATGCCAGTTTTTTCCTTAAGATGTCCCCAAGGCTTGCATGGGGCACTGATAGTGACAGCAGAGCAGTGTCATTGGTATTAAATATGCATCAATGACACTTGCAATCCAGAAACAACTCAGACCCAACACACCTCCCTGCTGCCTTCTAGAGTCCCGGCCCAGCCTCTGCCCTTGGCCTCAGCCCTATGCAGGGACTTAGGAAAATGGGCAATGATTGCAGGTTTGTGCTTTCCTCTTGAGTTTGTGGAAGGAGGCTAGTACCTTCTCATGGTAGCCTCTAAGGAAACTGGCACAGACGTTTACTGAATCAAGAGCAGTTCATCTCTAAGGTTATATTTCCAAGGGAGAAAAAGCAATTGTTACAGTCCTTAAATGTAGCAAAGGCAGACCTCATTTAGAGGTGATTGCTGCATCCTAGGGACCAGCAGCTTTTGCTGCCAGACACAAGTTAACCACAGGGCGCTGGTGCCAATTCAGAGGCCTCCTAGACCTTCTGTTCCCCAGGAGGAAGTAGCCCACAGACAGGAAGAGTCATTATAAAAAGAGGCTGGGGGTGGAGAGTGGAGGGAGCAGTGTCCCTGTGTATTCTGCTTCCACTGAGGAGGAATCCAGGAAAGAGAGAGTTTCACTAAAGCCCCTGGGATTCTAGCAGCACCTAGAAGTGTTTCCTTCCAGTGGCCACATTGTGCTTGAAGCCTCCTGGGTGGGGTGTGCTTTATGCGGGAGCCCTAGTCACTGCCCTCAGAAGGCTTGCAGTCTGCTAAAGGACACAGCACCTCCAATTACATACAAAGAGAATCCATATTGAGGACCACATATACTAGTATTCACTTACCTTGGGGTCCCAGCTACTTGCAGAGAGCATTGTGAATGGGTTAGCAGTGGGAATTAAATGAAAGGGCCGTCTATAGAGATGTACCCTGAGGCAATTTTGCTCCCTATGAGAAATTGGCAATATTCCCCCAGAGGACATTTTTGGTCACATTTTGGTCACAACCTGGCGAGTGTGCTACTGGCACACAGTGAGTAGATGCCAGGAATGCTTTGAAATATCCAACAACACACAAGACAAGATGACCCTCCATCACAAACAGTTGTTTGGCCTCAAATACCAATAGAACTGAGGTTGAGAAATGCTGCTGTAGGAGAATGTAGCCACTGTACAAACCATGGAAAAGCAGGGAGAGAATCACTGCCCAACCTCGCCATCCTCCTATTCTCCAATCCCATGCCTGTACCTCCTATTGGCTGAATATAACCAGAAGTTCGAAACCAAGAGCCCATTGAGGCAACCTGTAGAAGTCGGCTTCCAGAACATCAGTCATTGATACCCTTAGAGGTTGAGCGAACCAGACTCAACCCAGAGTTCCCAGTGAGCCTGGTCCTCCTCAGACAACAGGATGGGTGCTCAGCAACCCTGTGTTGTTCTTTTTTCATCTGTGCTTCTGCCGATGCTCTTTTAATGTTTGCTGTCAAAATGAGGGCAGGCCATGGAAGTGGGAGATTTCTCTGGGTTCAGGGAAGAGAAAATGTGCAGGATGCTGAAAGAGAGCTCGGTAATGCTGCTGAAATATGGATTTTCATACAGTTCAAAAACTTCTCACCTCCCACCCGGCTTGGATGAGAACGTAAGAATTAAGGAGCTGCAACATTTTTCTAGCACAATGAACTTTAAAAATGGAATTGCTGTGCAAAGCAATGACTGATATTTCAGCAAACAGGCTAAGTACAATTGCATTATGGTTATTTCAGCTTTGACATTTCTTTGCATTTAGAATAGCATCAGCAGAGATGTTTGGAGACCAAGTTGTTCTCCCTTCTCAGAGCCCAGCTTCTTCAAGTCAGGGGTCAAAGAGCATCAATGGAAGAGACTATAATGTCATGCCGTGCCCTGTAGACTCTAGATTAATCATTCCATTCTCTTGCTGGTCACTTACTGTCCCTCCTTTAATAGTAATGGCATGCCTTTAGACATCGTGAGGCAGAAACTTGGAATGTATTAGAAATCTATCAAATGAACTTCTTGGAAAACAAAAGTATGGCATAGAGACAAGAAAACAGGTTTGCTGCTCACCTAGTGGGTGCCAGGACTCTACTAGCTGCTTTGCATAAGTTACATATGTTGCTAAGACGAGAAGCTTCCCCCATCTAGCCTTGCTTCCCTGTAACTATGGTCTCTGGGGCCACAAAAAGAAAGACGATGAAGACAAATTCCAGGGTGGTTTGCAGATTTTCAGGTGAATGGTATAACTTGGAATCCTTGTATACATCACAGATCAGGCAGCATGGAATTAAACATTAAATCCTGCTCAAAGGGCAGAATTTTGCAGAAATTTATATAGATTTAAGCCTCTACAATGTTCTATTCCATCAGCATAATCACCCATAGTTCATAATAAGCACTAAGGATATTATTAGGACTGTGGAAAGACCGTGCAGGAACATCTGGCCTTTGGCCTCATTTTGGGGTGTTTGTCCTCATGGAGTTCACCCAGAAAACTCACACAGCCTTGATGGGGACCATCCAGTCGACACATGAAAGCTTCCATCTTGGTCACAGTGTGTCCAACTCCTTCACATGGAGAATTCTGTTCAGAGTCTTAGGGATGTTGATCCCCAAGCTGGCGTGAATCCCAAGGATCCTATTTCTGGCCAGCTAGCTTTGCATCAGCCACAAGCTGGCATGGAGCAACACTTTAAGGTAAATGCACGTGGCTGTATTGTCGGTGGTTACATCAGTGCAATATTCGTCAGAAGAGTAACTCTAAGCCGGTACTGATGGGAATCGGAAAATCCATGAGGGTGAGTTGGGTTTGAGATTAGTAGAGTTGGGTTTGAGATACCCCTCTGTGCCGTGTGAGTCCATTTTCTTCTTTATGGGTTTGTCAAGATCAGCAGTGACTGGGCTAATAATACACACTCCCACCAACAGTATATGAGATTACTTTTTGTGGCAATTCCTCAAAGACCTAAAAACAGAAATACCATTAGACCCAGCAGCCCCATTACGATTATACTCAAAGGAATATAAATCATTGTATTATAAACACACATACATGTGTATGTTCATTGCAGCACTATTCACGATAGCAAAAACATGGAATCAACCTAAATGCCCAACAATGGTAGACTGGATAAAGAAAACATGGTACATGTACCATACAAAAGAATGAGATCATGTCTTTTTCAGGGACGTGGATGGAGCTGAAGGCCATTAAACTTAGAAAACTAACGCTGGAAGACAAAACCAAATACTGTGTGTTGTCACTTATAAGTGGGAGGTAAATGATGAGAACACATGGACACATAGAGGGGAACAACACACACTGGGGCCTTTCAGAGGGTGGAAGGTGGGAGAAGGGAGATGATCAGGAAAAATATCTAAAGGGTACTAGGTTTAATACCTGAGTGATGAACACCAGGGGTCTCTACAACAAACCCCCATGACACAAGTTTATCTATATAACAAACCTGTACTTATACCCCTGAATGTAAAAGTTTAAAACAAACACCAACAGTGACAATACTAACTACCTTTCAGTTAAACAAGTAATTCATTCATTTAACTGAAAGAATATTTCTATTTGTAATTGCCCAATGGGTTGGCCATGGGAAAGGTCTCCTGGGTCAGGGGAATGGCTGTTCCAGCCTTCCTGAGAATTTCAACATTGGAGCTGGGCTATTGGGCTTATCCAGGTAAAGGAAGCAAAGGTGAGGTACACATTTCCAGTTTTTCTCTACATAGGAAACTCAACCATTTTCTTCGTATGTCTATTTTTGCTTGATAGTTTGTTTTTGTTTTTACAATTTTATACAAGCAAAAGTTGCTACTCCACAATGACTTTCTGTCCCCTTGCTATTGATTGTCTGGATCCATTTGCTCTTCTACTCACCTGGAAACATTAAAAAAATGGTGAGAAGGGCTAATAGTTTGACCTCTGGTAGCAGAGTTGTCTGGGCTGGGCTGCCCAAGGGTGTCATGAAAGGTGGGGTTATGAGTCAGTTTTACTTGTATTAGCAGAGGGATGGAGATTCTAGGGGAATTCTACCTGCCCATGACCTGTCTCTGGCTCTGAGACCTCCTGTGATCTGGGGGACTACTGTGTTAGTTGCAGAGGCCCTTTTTGCAGAGCAAGGGGTAGGAGCAGAGTAGCCATTCTGTACATTTAGAGTGAAACAGTGGTAAGGGTTTGGAGGTATTCACGGAGCAGACTGTCTGGTTGCTATTGCTGTATTCCTAGGGTCTAGAATAATAACTGATATATAATGAGTACTTAATATACATTTAAATAAGTGAATGAAGGAATCAATGAATGAGTTGTGGGGTGAGCCCGCAAAACAAGCCTTTGAGGTCATTGCTTAAGGCAATACAGCCTTTCCATGGAAGAGCTGAACTTCCAACCCTAACCATCCTGCCTCTGCCACACTGGGTTGCCTTCTGTATGTATAGGATGTTAGTCTTTCCCAGTAGCGAAAAGTGTCTGGCAAAGCAAAAGTGCAGGGGAGAGAGACACGCATCCCTCTCACTGTTATTCCCTTAGACATTTGGCTGGTGGTGGTCTCAGACCCTGGTGCGGAGTAGCTCTTTCTGATTGAAGGCACATCATGATATGCAGCTTCCTCATGAACATTGAATCTGGCTCTCCCTGGGCACCAGCAATGTCACTCAGTTGAGGATGAATTGACTAAGCAATAATGTTCATTGAACTTCTTTAAACTAACAACATTGTGCAATGTGTTTCGTGGCCAACAGCCATCATTCTGCATCCTCATAGAAAGTCACAAAGAGGACAGGGCTCATACCATGCACAGGTTCTGGAGTGAGAAAAATCTTTGATTCTAATCTGCTCTTCTAAGTTGTGAGAACTTCTGAGAGTTACTTCATGTCTCTGAGCTTTAATTTCTTCATCTATCTATTATAGATAGGGGATATATATATATATAGGGATAGCGAATTGATGCTCAAATACTCAAGTATATAAAAATTCAAGTGATGCAGTGATATTCTTGGTTTCAGGAAGGTGGGGTTTCCACCGCCAATATCCACTTACTTCATGATTTTAAGGAAGTCGCTTAGCTCCCAGCCTAAGTGTTCTCATTTGTAAATATGAGATGTTGATATTCACCATCCTGCCCTGTCTCACAAGCTAATTGCAGGGTTCTAGTGAGATGTAAAAGATGAGAAGGAGATGGAAGAATTCAGCTGCAGACTCAGTCACACTTCTCTTCAGTTGCAGGAGAGGGCCATGTGCCTCAAGTAACTTAAGGATGGAGGCTGTACATACAATTGGCCAGGATGGGAAAATATTGCTGACCCTGTGGGTTTTGTGATCTGAGCTAGGCAAGTCCCTGCCTGAGGAGATAGTGTGAACAAACGCAGAGAGAAAGATTTTCAATAGAGTCTTTGTCGCTTAATAGATGTGTGCCTTGAGAGAGTTACATCACTTCTCTGGGCCTCAGTTTTATCATCTTATCTCTTTCCAGTCTTGGCATAAATGTCACCTCTTAGAAAGGCTTTTTTATATTAATCGGCTTTATGGTGGTAACAGAAAAATCCTATCATTGGCTTACATGACAAACTTGTTTTTTCCTTGCTCACGTCCCTCCTAGGTGTGGGCTTGCTGGAGGCATGGCTCTCGCCACATGTTTTCTCATTCCACAAGCAGGTGGGAGGACCAGCCCTTGTCTAGGACATTTCATTTTCATGGTAGACGATAGACATAAGAGATTGAGCTAAGTGACACAGGTACATTCCTTTAGATGTTCTGTACAGCAATACCTGCTCATATTCCATTTGTCAAAACAAGTCATATGGCAAACCTCCTGTCTCTGGGGCAAGGAGGTCTCCTCAGCCAGCGGGGAAGGACTATAAGTTACGTGGCGGTGTCCGGGATGCCGGGATGCATAGTCATCTTGGAGTGGAAGAAATAATGGATATTGAACAATAACACATCCTAGCACAACTTCCCTGACTTCCCTATTGGGAGTTGCAGTTGCTTGCTAGCAACACCTAAACTGCCTGCCGTGATTGCTGCTTTATTTTTCTCTCGTACTCATCATGTTCTATTATCGTTCTGTATGGTTTACTTATTTAGTTTTTAAATTTTCTATCTGCACCTGGCCGCCCTAGACTGTCAGCTCCATGAGGGCAGGGATTTTTATCAGTATTTCTATGACTGTATCCTCAGACCCTGGGAAAGTAGCATGAATACTTTGAGTTGATTAATTAAACAATCTTTTACATGAAGATAAACAATGGATGATGTACCAAGTGCCTCTCTGAGCATTAAATCCTTCCTTCCAGGCCCAGAGCATTCTGTACCCATTAGATTTCCATCTGTCCCCAGGAGTGTAGCAGCAATGCTCTGAATTATTCTGAAGGTCACATTGGAGAGCTGGACTGTCTGTCACCTCCCACAATCTGATCTGCTGACAAGAATTCACCTGTCTCTGTAGATGAAATACTAGGATAAGCAATTGGGACAGGCAGCTCCTACTCCATAACACAATACTTTCCTGAAAAATTGCATAAAAGTCAAATGTCTGTGTTGGAACGGTTGACTTAGCTTTTCTTTTTGTGGTAGGGAGTGAGGAGGTTTGCTTCAAGAAATCTAAAAAATAATAACTCCCCAACTTGCCTCACCTTTTACATAAAATCTTCAAAGCTCTGTTTCCAACATTCAATATATCTTTAATTTTGTTCTTTTCATTGACACTTGAGCACAAATTTGACCAGCTTAAGTCCAATAAGCATCCAATTGAAACTAAAAATGTACCACTTCCAATGATGCTTAATGATTTCCATCATTGCCTCGGGTTTATGGGCCTGCACTTATCATCAAAAATGCGAGTGGTTCCATAATTTCACTTCAGTTTTCAGTTTTTACAGAACAATAATGACTGACAACATGAGAAAGATTTTAAATATTTATTCATCCCAGCATATTTCCTGAGTACCCACTAAGAGGCTGTTACTCTTGTAGGCAATTGGGACCTGTGCTGAGCAGTGAGGACAGCCTCCCTGCCCTCACAGAGTCTGCAAGCCCTTTGGGGATATAATTGTGTCAATGACATTGTGCAAAGAGATGATGCAGCCAGCATTTAGCTAGTGGTGGGCAAAATTTGTTATCCTGTGATAGCTCTATTTTAAAAAATCCATTAATGCACGAAGCTTAAGTTTTACAGAATTTTTTTTTAAGAATTTCAGTAGGTTTGGGGGTACAAGTGCTTTTTGGATACACAAAGACATACAGATTAGTATTATAGACATTGGAGTAAAAATATTTTAAGGATGCCCCTGAATGGCATACAAGAGGGAGAATTGCTCAGTTGAAGAAACAAAATTCAAGGACTCTCTGTAGGCAATTACGGACTCTTTTCTCTTCTCCCAAGAACGTTTTTTTTGGTCTGAAAATCCTGCAAAGATTATATTGCCTTAGATATAGGTGCTCTAGGATCAAGGAACACCCAGGCCTTTTCCTTTTACCACTTTCTGCGGCCTTGGTGACATTTTCTACTCTGCTGTCCCTGCCAGAAACTTTGACATCATCTTAGATGCTACCATTCATTCACCAAACGGTTGCTCAGACCCATCAGCTCCACCTTAGAAATGTCTTCTGCATCCACAGTTTTCCCCTCCATCCTGCTACTGCTGCTTGGTAGAAAAAACTAAGCTCCATCCTGGAATACTGCAACAGCCTCCTGCTTCAGGTCTCAACCCAGTCCTGGCTGCCCCGTGACTGGATAAACTCTAATCTGGACATTTCACCCTCTTCTCTGGGTTACAGAGGAAAACTGAGTGAGAACAAAAATAAAAAGGTGTGTGTAAAAGTCACGGTGTGGGAGAGAAAGTGAAAGTGTGGGGGAGAGAGGTCAAGTAAAAGTATGTGTAAGAAAGAAAATGAAAGTGCAAGAGAGAGAATGTAAAACTATTAACTGTGAGAATGAAGTAAACATGGATATAAGAGAGAAGGTAAAAGTCAGTGACAGAGAAAAAGAAAAAGTGTTGGGGGAAAGGAGAAAGGAAGACAGCATGCATGAGAGGAAAAGCAAAAATGGCTTAGAGAAAAGAAAAATGGTCAGTAAGAAGGAAAGTAAATGTGAGTGGAAGGGGGAGATAGAAGGTAAAAATGAGAGAGAGTGAAAATGGGCTGAGAGAAAGTAAATGCATATGTGGGAGAAAGAAAGGAAAAATGTGTGGAGAAGAAAGACTGGTGTGTGTTTGGCACAGAATGGCACATAGTGAGGAAGAAGAAATAAATTTAAAGAACTCTTTTGGGAAGAGATTTTGTTTGAGCTAGCCTATCATTGAATTTTATGCTACTTCCAATTTTCCATTATTATACCATTTCAGAGAGCATTGTTGTACATGCGTCATTGCAAGTTCACATGATTCTTTCAGGTAAATTCCTAGAAGTAGAGTTGCCAAGTGAAAACTTATTCACATTTTGAAATTTTAGATGTAGAATAGAGATATAGACTAAAAAGGGCCAGGCTGACCTCTAAAATTGACTGTACCGCTACTCAAGGCGGTTCTTATTGCCCTTGCCTGCCAGTACCTGAGACTATTTTTCATTTTAATGAATAAAAACATCATATATCAAAAATCTTATTGTTTTAATTTTCATTTCTTTGATACCCAAAGTGGAACTGTTGTTCATGCTTCCTGGCTACTTGTATTTCTTCTTTTCTAAACTACGAATTTACTTCCCTTGTACATTTTTCTTTGGGGATACTCATTAGTTTTCTCATTGATTTGTAAGAACAGTTTATGTATTAACAGCATTAATCTTGGTTGGTTCTATGCATGGCAAATATTTTCCAATTTAGACATGTGCCTTTGAATGTGTTGATGGCCTAGGATCATGAGAAAATATGATCCTTTATGTGATTAAATGTATTTATTTTTAATGGTTTTGGTTTCGATGTATTGTAAAAACATTTTCGTGCAAAAAATTTTATATTCATCTAAATTGTGGTGTCATTTTTGTTTGCTTTTGTGCTACACTGAGAGCTTTATTTCATCTAGCATTTATTTTGGGATAAGATTGGATATTTTTCACACACTTAACCCATTATGGCAAGACTATTGAATAATGTAACATTGTTCTGCTGCATTGATCGATCTTTAGATTCTGAATTTTTATTTATGTTTGTGTTTGCTTCTGGATGTTTTGCTCTGTGCTTCATATGTGTCTTCAGTGGCATCTGCCATCTCTCTTCCCAATTCAGGTTAAGGAGGTATTGTTTGCCTATATCTGATTCCCAGGGTATCTGAAATTGCTCAGGAAGCTGGTTTGAAAGTTATTCCTTTCATGTATTCCTTCATCTGGTCTCATCTTCATCATGAGTCCAGCAACAAACCTTGAGGCTTTTATGCTGTTGTAGGTTTCCCTATATTTATTCCCTTAATAGTTTCTGTGAGGAACACAGCACCTGTTGAAAAGAATTCTCTAGAGGTTAGAAAAGAATGATGCACAGCAAAGTTGGTGTTATAGACTGATGGTAACATAAGAGAAGCATCCCCTTCATGTATAGGTGGTAATGAAAGTTTGAGATCAGTCAGATTATCCAGGAATTGCTAAATAGTAGAAAGGGATTAAGAATGACTGGAACCCTAGGGAAAACAAACAAGCAAGGAATGGGGAAGGTCCAGGAAAACAAAGTACTCAAGGATGTGGGTATAGTAGTCATACCAATGTTTATCTGGGAAAACCTAGGTAGGTGAAGGGTTCCAGAAGGCAGGGCTAGTCAGCCAGACCCCCATTCAACAAGTAAGGCCACAGGTTTTCTCAGAGAGTTCAAGGGGCAGACCGTAAGTCAACAAGCTAGAAATTGCCAATGCATAATTTGAACTTAGAGATTCAAACTTCTTTCTATCACAGATGTAGACACGAACACTAAAAGCTAAGCTTATTACACCAGATAAGCATTGACTAACACATTTTGCATAGAGGGAAAATGCACTTAGTCAAACAAACAAAAAAAATCTCTGTTTAGCCATCCATTTCAAATTTTTATAGAAAATAGTGTAGGCAGCATCAATTATGCTTGGGCAAATTTAGACTAATTAATGGGTTGACTAAGATAATTATTGAAATTTGTCTATGGATGAAAAGAGGAAAGATGAACCATTTAAATTGCTTTTTGTGTGTGCCTGATGACTATTTCTAAAAGAATGAGCCCACGGGGAAGTGTATGAAATGGGAGTGGCCCAGCTCTTTGCAGGGTATGATGATAGAGTAACAAGGCAGATGTTTTAATCAATACACCAGGATTAATGCCTTAAAACGTCTAATATGCATAAATCCATAAAACATACCCCTTATATAAAGAGATATATAATTTGTTGAGGGTCAACAATGTGCAAGAATTCTTCCAGATGTTTTATGTGTTTGATTACCTTTCATCTATGAAAAACAATGCATGAAGAAGCTATCATTACCCCAATTTATACACCAGGCCCCTGAAGCATAGAGAGGTTAAGTACATTACCCAGTTATACACACAGTAAGGGGAGAATCGAGTCCAATTCCGATGACCACATTCTGTGCCCTGTATCTTTTCAAAGAAGCCTCCTTTGGTGGCAATTTACTTGTGGTAATGAGGAGGCCATGGCTCAAATCAGACTTAGACACACTGAGAAATGCTTTCAAAACCAAGTGTATGATAGATACATAGTGCATCATGCTTATTTCCTTTCAGTGTTTTCTGGAAGGGCTTTCAGTTTTATTCCACAGATGTAATCTGGGTTTTCTCTTTTTTTCCACAGGTGTAATCTTGAGCAATTTCTAAAACTTAGATCTACCTATAAAGGATGCAGCTTAGCCCCGCAATGCAATAAATGTCTGTGCCAGGAGCCAAAGTGGTTCCTTTGTACCAGTCGGAATTTGTGTCTAGGCAAGAGATACCATGGGTTAATAGGGGGTAACTTGGCTTTGGATCAAGAATGCAACTAGGTCTGCTATTCACTGGTTGTGTGTTTTGAGGTGGGATATCTATTCTATTGGATTCAACTGATAGAAACTCAACTAAAAAAAAACCCTAATCCAAAGAATAATTTCATGGTTCATATAATTTAAAAGCTCAGGGGTGGCATTTGCCTTATGCCTATCTTCATTTCCTCCCTCTCTCCCTCTCTCCCCTTTCCCTTCCCACTCACATCACTGCTTTTCTCTTTGTTATTTTCATTTGCTAGTGAGTCCCTTCAAGAAATTGGAACGGTGGTCTGGAGATACTTCTAGTCTTTAATGGCAGGCTCTCACTGTCCTTCCTAAAGTCACATACGTACCCCTATGGCAAGAAAGTTGGGGAGGTGATTGGCAACCTATCAGGATAACATGGAGGAGAGTGACAATTCACAAAAGCAAGGGGCGTACAGAAGACAAAGCGATAGCTATTCAATACAGAGTGGTCATTCTATAAATGGCTCTCGTGATTTTTCAATTGCAAATTAGCCCACAGTCTTCCTAAAAATTACAAAATCTCGAGCCATTCACAGTTCATGCCCATTTTCAATTTGAAACAAACAGTCTGGTCTTTGTCTAAGCACTTTTGGCAAAGTTTTGAAGTATTTATTCCATTAATTTTTGAGATAGAAATAAATCAAAGTAGATATCTGCCCTGGAGATTTTCTTGACCCACTACCACGATTTTCCACAGTAGTGTTGAGATGCCCTAGGTGTGTCTGATCAATGGGAAATAAGGCAGTGTTGTCGCAGCTGGCTACTAGAGACTGTGCATCACATAAACCACAACCTTCCCCTCCCATTCACCAGCTGTGGCGAGGGTTTGCCACTGAGGGGCATGTGTTTACACATGGCTCTAAGCAGATGAATAAACAGGTGCCTCTTCACATGGATAGTTCTCCAAGATTTATTTCATGGAGGTGAGATGAACCTGACTTTTCTGTTGATCTCTAGTGCAGGTAGTTGAGTTAATGATGGGCCACAGTTTATAGCATTCAATCACATTGGTACACAAAGCACTCCTGCTTGTTTCTTTTATTGAGTAACCCTCTTATCTCCTTCTTCTCTGCTCCCGTGTCCCTCCCCAACCCCACTGCCCACTTAATACATTTAATTTACACTGCTTTGTTTGTGTTCAGGAAAAATTTACTTTGTTAATCTGAGTATTTTAAACGTACACGGATAAATCATTTATCACTCATTCTACTTCACCCTTTTTTTTTCAATCAGTACTATTTTTTTAACTTCCATCCAGATTACTGTATGTACATTTCACACATTACTTCTAAGCTTTGCATCATAGTCTACACTTTTGTTATCCATTACCCCGTAATCGGTGAGCAGACTGTCTCCAAATCACCGCTACTGCCTATGATGTTCTGATACACTTTCACCCAGAGGGCCCTGTGAGAAGTTCTCTGGACTATAAATTGGAGTTGAATGTCTGGGTTTACATTAGATTAGTTGGACTAAGTATAACAGATTGTTTTGCAAAATGCCTGCACTAGTCCATGCTCCCGAGCTGCAGGTGAGTTTCTAGAGCTCCCCAGCTCTGCCCTGGAGTAGCACTACCTAGCTTTCTTATTTCTCTGCCAACCTATTCAGTGTAAATGACTGTACATTGTGTTCATCTTCATTTCTCTGATAACTAATGAGTTGGAGCATCAGTCCAATGCTCCTTAATATTTTGCCTTCCCTCTTCTTTATTGACTGTTCACATAACACCTGCGCGTTTCTTGGAGAAAGGGTTCCTGTGTTTTCTATTAAATTTTCACGAGTTGCATTTATATCCTGGATATTATTTGGTTGTCGATTTAAGACATCACAAGTATCTTTTCCCAATCTGTGTTCTGCTTATTTTACTGAATATACATCCATAATTTTTAGATAATAAAATTCCTCAGTGCTTTGATTTATGATGTGTGTCTTTCAAGTCTTAAGTCCTCCACCCTTAAGTCACAAGTATAGTCTTCTATATTTTCTCTTAATAACTTTATAGTTTCAGTTTTTATGTTTTGTTATTTGATCCATTTGAAATCTATCTTTGCATGTTTTATTTTTTTCCATAGGGTGATCCAGTATTTCCAACATATCTACAAATCTGTCCATCACTTTTTTATTGATGTGCAATTTAACATTTATTACATGATATATTTTTATATTTTCATTGGCCTTTCTCAGAGCTCATTATTCAATTCCACTATTACTGTGCCTTTTGTTCTGTTTCAGTATTGGATTGGGCAAGTCACCATCCTTCATCTTAGCTAGTCATGGATTGTTATTCTTTCTTATAAATTTTAAGCTAAGTTTATCTAGTTCTTATAGGAGTCCAATTAGAATTTTTACAAGATTGCATTGAGTTTGTAAATTAATTTAATAATAATATAGCACATTTGTTATATCATTGTATCCTATCCAAGATCATAGAATGCCTGGATTTGTTGAGTTTTTTCATGTCCATTACCTTATCAGATTTTTTAAAAAGTTGTCTTCATATAGGTCTTAGGAGTTCTTGATTGTTGATTCTTAAACATATTATAGTTTTTGTTATCATAGTATATGGTATCTTTTTTAACTGTGTTTTTTAGTTACTTATTGATGGTGTAGAAAAATGCTATTGATTTTCTGGAGTTGATATTATATCTAGCTACCTAGTAAAACTTATTGATTCTAATAGTTTGTTGACTGTGTGGCATTCTCTGTATATATGATTGTATTATCTGCAAATAATGACAATTATATGTCTTCCTTTCTAATATTTACACCTCATTCTGATCCTTTTCTCTTTCTTTGATAAGCAGAACCTGGGATATAGGGACCTTTGTGTTTTCTTTAATATTAAAGGGAATATTTCTACAGTTTCTCAAAAATGTATACTATTTACTATAGGTTTTAGGTATAACCTTTAACAAGTTAAGAATGTTATCTTTTATTCTTAGTTTGCTGAAAGATTTAATCAAAAGTAGAGGTTGAACTTTATCAGTCTTTTATCTGTCAATTAATGATGTGATTTTTATTCTAAGACTCGACTTGCTTTTCTATTAATAAAAATATTTCCTCATTTGAAAATAATGCATCTATTCCCTTCTGTGACTATAAAGTCTCTAAATAATATATTTTTTTTTCATTTTACAGTGTTTCTATCACATATACATATAGAAAGTTTATGTCACTCAGACTAATTAAGGAAAGAGATAACTTACAAGGATATAGAAAATAATTTTAGTATTTCTTGGTGTCCATGTTAGCAAGTTTCCACTTTTCTGAACTTTTCACTTACTGTAGAGCTTCTTAGGTAGCATTTTTACAAGATTTTTGCTAATGTAACATGTAATTTTCTAAATAAGTGTTAGAGTTCTGAGGCTCAAAATTCAAAACACACAAAAGCGTACACAGGCATACCTCATTTTATTGTACTTTGCTTTATTGAGCTTTATAGATATTGTATGTTTTTACAAATTGAAGGTTTGTGGCAACCCTGAATCAAGCAAGTCTATAAGGCACTATTTTTTTTAACAGCATGTGCTAACTTTATGTCTCTGTGTTACGTTTCAGTAATTCTCTTAATATTTCAAACGTTTTCATTACTATTAGATCTATGACAGTGATATGTAATAAGTGATCTTTGATGTTGTAATTGTTTGGGGATGCACAAACGTTGCCTTTCTAGCAATGAGCAAACATAGTGGGTAAATGTTGTATGTGTTCTGACTGTCCACTGACCATCCATTCTCCTGTCATTCTCCCTCTCCTGGGCCCCCATATTCCCCGAAACAAAAAAATATTGAAATTAGGCCAATTAATTACCCTACGATGGCTTCTAAGTGTTCAAGTGAAAGGAAGAGTCACAGGTCTCTCACTTTAAATCCAAAGCTAGACGTGATTAAGCTTAGTGAGGAAGGCATGCTGAAAGCCAAGACAGACAGGCACCAAGCTGGACCTCTTACACAAAGCAGTTAGTTAAGTTGGAAACACTGTTAAAGGAAATTAAATATGGCCTGAGAAGGACTCCGTATTTCTTTCTCTTTCTTTCTTGTTTTTTTTTTCTTTTTTTGTCTGTTGTTTGTTAGAATTGAAAACCTAACTAGTAGTATGCAGCTGTAACAATAGCTAAGTCTTGGCCAATCCCAGTGGCCGTACTTCAACCAATCATACACTGCTGAGTGTTCAAACTGTGTTCAAATAATGCATACGCCAAGCTGTAACCAATCCAGCCATTCTGTACCTCACCTTCAATTTCTGTACATTATTTCCCCCCTTTTTTGTGTATAAATCTTCTTCCACCACGTGGCTGCGCTGGAGTCTCTGTGAATCTGCTGTAATTCTGGGGTTTGCCCGATTTGTGAATCGTTCATTGCTCAATTAAACACCTTTAAATTTAATTTGGCTGAAGATTTTCTTTTATCAGTGCAAATGGAAAGTTCTTGAAGAAAATTAAAAGTGCTACTATAATGAGCACACAAATACACCAGGAATGTTTACCTATGTATACATGTATTTGTATGTATTGAAAGAGATATAAGAAATATTATGTATAACTATTTATAGATATAGATATTTAAACTAATATAGAAAAAAACACATATACATATAAATGTCTATCTGAGATATAAACAATATCTAAAACAGGAAATGAAGACACACACTTAGAAACATACAGATGCATTTAATTTCTCCTAACTTGTTGCTATTCTTGTGGACCTTGTTGCTAACTTCTGTGAGTGAAGATGGCCTAACAGCCTATGGGAGTCTTTCATTGCCAGCTCCATGTGACCTGCCCTAGGGTCAAACCCAGAATAGAGATTTAACCAGACCCAGCCCAAGTGCCTTCAACCAATTGTGAGAGTGCTGACCACTTCTCAAAAGATTTTCAATCAAGATTGGTTCTCTTTTATTAAACATGTGATGTGGATATAAATCATTGTGTTTCAGTTTGAGTAGGAAGAGAAGACTCTTTCTGGGTAGGGGAGTAAAGCCTAGGTTTGTTTCCTCAGGATAGGCTGGGGAATTGAAAGTGTGGGTTGAGCAAAATGGTACCTGGGAAAAAAAGAATCTCGCCATAGTGGGTGTGCATTGAGTGCAAAAAGTGGCTTTTGGTGGCAGGCAAATGGCCGTTTGTGTGGAGGGCTGCACACACTGCTGTCAGCTGGCTCTGGCTGCTTCTAGCTGGACTTGCAGAATCCTACTAGGGTGGTTTGATGAACCCCTGGATTAAAAACTCCTGTTTGCCAGGTAACTGAGAATTGTTTCACACATATAAGAAGCATGGGAAAAGGTGTGTGGCTTGACCGGTACTACGGAATTCCAAGGTAAAAGTCCAGCAGAGTTTACTTTGCCAGCACAGGTGGATAGATAAGGGTATGACCTTAACGGGGCCTGGTCTGAGGATCCAGGCAGGTCTGAAGTGGCAGAAGTTAAATGTGCATGGGCAAGCCAGGAAGGAAAACAGAGCCCTGAGGCACTTGGCTTGGTGTCTGGCCGTATGTTCCTTCACAGCACTGCTAGTTTTCTGCCCAGGCCTTGGATCTAAAGGCGAAGCTGGGGAGTGTACAGCCATAGAAGACCCATGTCTGGGTCAGACACAGTGGCTCACACCAGTAGCCTAGCACTTTGGCAGGTTGAGGCAGGAGGATCACTAGAGCTCAGAAGTTCGAGACCAGCCTGGGCAACATAATGAGACCTTGTCTCTCTTAAGAATAAAAATGTTTTTAAATAAAAAAAGAAGACCCATGTCTGTTATTCTTAAAAGCTCAGGAATGTATAGCTTACACAAGACTTGAATGCAAGACCATGTGATCTTACTTGCTTACTAGGCTTTTGGTGCCTGCATTCTCACATAAACAGCCAGGCTACTCTCTGTGCTCTCTCCTGAGAGAGGAGTGGAAAGTCTCCCAAGTGCTGAGACAATAAATGTCCCCTCTACCCAAAGTCTGGCATACAGTGGGTTTTCTTACATATCTGTGATATGCTCCAGACAACAGGAGTGAAACAGTCATATTGCTGATACATAGAGAGTTTGAGTGGTCTAGACAGAAGATCAAACCAGCCGCAGCATTCCCTTAAGCCAAAGCCTAATCCAAAGCAAGGTCCTAACTCTCTTCAATTCCATAAAGGCTGAGAGAGGTGAGGAAGTAGCAGAAGAAAATTTTAGAGCCAGCAGAGCTTGGCTCATCAGGTTTAAGGAAATAAGTTTTCTTCATAACAGAAGTGTAAGGTGAAGCAGCCAATGCTTATGCAGAAGCTGTAGCAAGTTATTCAGCATGTGTAGCTAAGATAATTGATGAAGGTGGCTAGACTAAACAGATGATTTTTAGTGTAGACAAAAGTCTTAAGTTGGAAGAAGATGCCATCTAGGACTTTCGTAGCTAGAGAGAAACAAATGTCTGGCTTCAAAGCCTCAATGGACAGACTTGCTCTCTAGTGAGGGGGTAATGCAACTGGTGACTCTTGAGTTGAAGACTGTGCTTATTTACCATTCCAAAAATCCTGGGACTCTTAAACACTACGCTAAATCTACCCTGCCTGTGCTCTGTAAATGGAACAACAAAGCCTGGATGACAGCACATTTGTTTACAGCAGGGTTTACTGAAGATTTTAAGCCCACTATTGAGACCAACTCCTCAGAAATAAAAGATTTATTTCTAAATATTACTGCCCATGGACAATGTACATGGTAATTCAAGAGCTCTAATGGAGATGTACAAAAAGATTAACGTTGTTTTCATGCCTGCTAACACAATATCCATTCTACAGACCATGGATCAAGAAGTCATTTTGACTTTTGGGTCTTGTTTAAGAAATACATTTTGTAAGGCTACAGCTGCCATAGATATTGATTCCTCTGATGGATATGGGCAAAATAAATGGGAAACCTTCAGGAAAGGATTCGCCATTCTAGATGCCATTAAGGACATTCATGATTCATGAGAATGTCAAGATATTAATAATAACAGGAGTGTGGGAGAAGTTGATTCTAACCCTCACAGATGACTTCGAGGGGTTCAAGACTTCAATGGAAGAAGTCGTTCCACATGTGGTGGAAATAGCAAAATAAATAGAATTAGATATGAAGCCTGAAGATATAGCTGAATTGATGCAATCTCATGATAAAATTTTAACAAATGAGGAATTGCTTCTTATGGACAAGCAAAGAAAGTGGTTTCTTGAGATGGAATCTTTTATTGATGAAGATGCTGTAAACACTGGTAAAATGACAACAAAGGATTTAGAAAATTATATAAAGTTACTTGATAAAGTAGTGGCATGGTTTAAGAGGATTGATTCTAATTTTGAAAGAAGTTCTACATTTGGGTAAAAGGCTGTCAATCAAAGAGCATCTCATGCTGCAGAGTAATCTTCTGTGAAAGGAAGAGTCCATTGATACTGCAAACTTCACTGTTGTTTTATTTTTAAAAACTGCCACAGCCACTCCAACATTCAGCAACCAGCACGCTGATCAGTCAGCAGCCATCAACATCGAGACAAGACCCTCCACCAACAAAAAGATTACAACTTGCTGAAGGCTCAGATGATCCTTAGCATTTTTCAGCAACAAAGTATTTTTCAGTAAGTAATGTTCATGTATTTTAGACATAATTCTGTTGAACACTTAATAGACTATAGTGTACACATAACTTTTATAGACCTCTTGTTCAGTACCTTCTTTTAGTCACTGCTCAATATATCTTGGAAGTCACTTGATTACATAAAGAGCTTTTTAAAATGGCTATGATTTCATGATATGAATGAAACTTGGTGGATTTAACAGTCCCCTGCTAATAGATATATAAGTAGTTTGCAGTCATTTGTTCTTATAAACATTATTTCATGCATGTGTGAGTATATTAGTAGGAAAAATTCTTAGAAGTAGAATTCTTTGTCCTAAGGTAATTGCAGATGTAATTTCCATAGATTTGTTCAATTATCTTCTCTACATAGATTGTGTCACGTCTCAGCTCTTACAGAATTACATAACAGTGCTTGTTTCCTCTACATCCTCACAACAAAGTATACATTTTTAACTTGTCCTGTCTAAAATGTGAAAAATTGTATCTCAGTAAAATTTCATTTTATGTGTCTGGAATTTGACCATCTTTTCAAATGTTTATGAGTCATTTGTATTTTTTTTCCCCCTGGAAACTATCTCCTGTGCCAGTTTTTCTGTTGGCTTATTAATAAATAAGGTTTGTTTTTTATTGACTGATTTGTAGTACTTCTTTCTATATTAGGAAAACTATGAGTTATGCTTTTTTCAGTTTAAAGTTTTTGACATAGTATATTAATTAGTCTGTTCTTATGCTGCTAATAAAGACCTACCCAAGACTGGGTAATTTATAAAGGAAAGAGGCTTAATTTACTTACAGTTCCACATGGCTTGGGAGACCTCACAATCATGGCAGAGGAAGAGCAAAGACACAACTTACCTTGTGGCAGGCAAGAGAGCATGTGCAGGGGAACTGCCCCTTTATAAAACCATCAGATCTTGTGAGACTTATTCACAATTACGAGAACAGCATGGGAAAAACCTACCCCCATGATTCAATTTTTTCCCATCAGGTCCGTCCCATGACACATGGGGATTATGGGAGCTATAATTCAAGAGGAGATTTGGGTGGGGACACAGCCAAACCGTATCACTTAGTTTTACAGTAATTTTAGCCACACAGATTTTTTTAAAATTTTAATTTTAAATTTAAAATTTTTTAAAATTTTAAAATTTTAATTCAATATATGTTATCCATCTTTCCTTTTATGGGTTTTGTATCACACTGGGCTTCCTTCTCTCCAAGTGTATAAATAAATAGTAGCCTCTCTTGTTATTTTTATAGGTTCATCTTTTCCATTAAACTTTTGATTATTTGCTCCATCTAAAGTTTACCTTTGTGTGAGCTATAGTTCCAGCTGCATTTTTTTTCCTATATGGCTACTCAGCTTTATTTACTAGTATTAGTATTTACTAGTAAATACTTATTTACTAGTATTAGTATTTACTAGTAAATACTTATTTACTATTTACTAGTACACTAGTACTAGATACTAGTGTATCTCTTTTCCTACTGATTTATATTCCACCTTTATTATATCCTAAATCCATGCTGTAATTTTGTCTACTTCTAAGTTTTGACTGTATTCCTTTGTCTACTAGCATACTGGAATTATACAGTTTTATTTACTGAAATGTAAAGTATGCTTGAATATCATAGATAGCTAATCTACCCCCAACACCCACCTTCACCCCATGTAATGCTCATCATTTTCAGTTGTCTAATATTGTTGGTTGTTCATTTTTCACATAAAATTTAGAATTATCTTGTTGGTGTTTTTATTGGCATCACATTAAATTGGAATTAACCTATGGGGTGTTGACATCACATTGTATATTTTTTTATATTTTTAAAAATCTATCCAAGTTCTATGTGCGCATAGTTTAAATCATCAAATTGTTCTTTGGCATATGATAGGAGCAAGTGTAGACTCCAACTTCTCTCACCCAGTTGCAAACACTTTTCACCTGGTTATAATTATGCAAAACATATTTCTGAATTAGCTACCTTTATTGGTACTTGTGACTTTTCCACTGTACCATTATCTATTAATGGTTTTGCTTTCCCTGTACTCCCCACCCATCACTCATACAGGCATCCCTTCCACCTACCTTCCCCATCCTCCCGATGAAGTTATATCCTAATTTTGGCTAGATCAACATTCAATGTTTACACTATTTTGACTATGTAAATGCTATTCAAAACTGAACCATGCAGTAAATTATGATTATTTTCCCTTCCTGCACAACTATTATGTTTTCCCTGAAGCTAATATTTGACTTGTTTATGGTTTGTTTGCTTCATTTTTATGTTTTTATTACTAATTCAGCCCCAACACTTTGCCAATTATCTAAAGCTCTACTCAAGATATTCAGATGCTTCAGTTATTTTTTCAATTTCATCCTCCTACAGAAAGCTCTCCCAGAGCTGCTGGCTTGCTCTGTGCTGGTGTTGTGCTCTCTCTGTGCCGTCCTCTGGGATCTTCCTCCACTTTCACTCTACCTTCAAGAAGGGTATTATGCTTTACTCCTGCTGTATTCCTGCTCCTATTGCCAATAACTCCATCCTCACTTCTTTTTTTTCTTTTTTTCCTGCCTTGTCTTGGAGGTGCACTTTCTTTAGTAGCTTCCTAAGAAAGTGTTCACAGCAGGTCAGCATGTGAAGACCTTCCGTCATTGACTCTCACACTCAGGGAAGAATTTGACTGGAAATAACTTTCCTTTACTACTTTGAAGGTGCTGTTCTATTACATCCCAGCATCCAGTGTGACTTTTGAGAAAGCTAAAGCCATTCTGATTCCTAAGTATGAATTTTTCCCAATTCCCTGTCCAAACTTGTATGACATGATCAGTGTCTCATCATTATAAAATTGCTCCATTATCTACCTTAATGTGGATTAATTTTTATCCATTTATTTGGTTGAGCACATGGTGGGCTGTTTCACTCTGGAAATACTCATTCTTCACATCTAGGGAATTTTGTTGACCTGTTTTGTTGGTTATTCTCTCCCTTCATTTTCTCTGCTTTCTTTTTCTGGAACTTTAGTATTTGGATGTTGGAACTGTTGGATTGGTTCTGTAATACCCACACTTTTGTTATTGTCCAAATCTTCGGATGTTTTGCTCTGCCTTTCAAGAGATTTCCTCAGCTTCATCCTCTAACCCTTTTATTGGCTTCTAATATATAGTGTCCTATTTTTAATTTCCAAGAGCTTTTTATTGTTTTCTGAATGTTCCTTGGTTTCTAATATTTTGTTCACAGTTTTGCAATATGGTCTGTTATCTCTCTGGGGATGTTAGTAATAGTTTGTTTTTTTTTTTAAATGCATGTGGGTTTTTTTTTTAGTTGTCAACAAGTCCCTCCAAATTGCTTTGTTCTGCTTGTTTGTTTTGATCTCTATCTTTCATGTTTGATGCTTTCTCCAGGTATCTGTGTCTGATGAGAAATGTGAAACCTAGACTAAGACAAGTCTAGTGGGGAGAGGGCAGATTAGATCACAATTAAGGACATTGATAAATTGATCATTTATTTAAGCAATGAGAGATCAAGAAAGTGATGGTTTCCCATTCAAGTACTAACCAGGCCCAACCCTGCGATTACCACAAAAAAAAAAAAAAAAAGTGATGGTGATCCTCCACTTTTGTAATTCACCAAGATCAGAAACACATGGTAGGAGCAACAGGGTTATTTTCACATAATTCCCTGGTGATTCAATCTGCATATTTCCTAAGTCTATACCCTCAAGCCTAGGAACCACAGTTAGTGTGTACTCAGCCCCACGCCTAGTCTGGAGATACAGAGTCAACTATTCAGCAACTACTGAGTCTTACTGAATACCAAGATCTGTACTTAGGCTCTGAAGATCCAGTATTAAGAACAACATGATCCCTGACTCTGAGGTCCCATTGCCAATGGAAGAGACTGGTAGGTGTACACACGGTGGTCCAACAGTGCTAGTGAAATAGGAGTTTGTACATAAATCAATGTGAAATACCTGAGGGGGAGAATTAGTGATAGTTGCATGGATTGGTGACATTTGAACCTCTTGTTGGAAAATGAATAGGAGTTTGCCAAAATGCAACAAAGATTCAGGAGGATACATTACAGTGCACAAACAACATGGAGAAATGAGTGGGAGTATGAATGTGTCCAATGTGGAGAGTGGGCAGGAAGAAGTTCTAGCTGGACTGGAAGTGGCAGATTACTATTAGTGAAGCAGCCTCCGTGAGTGGTTAGAAAGATCTCCCTGCCTTTGTCTAATGCACAACATACTCACGATGCATAAGAGGAATGTATGAGAGCATCAGGATTCCCTTTGGAGGTCAGTTGTCTCACTGTCTCTGTACTGAGCAATGATGTTCCCAATTTTGGTATAGATTAATCGCCATGTGACTTGATGTGTAATATTTCTGAGCGGCCAATTAATTCTGCTAATCACATTAGTGGCAATTAGCAAGATGCTCCTCTGATTAGGGGGCTGAGGTCAAGATGCTTTTACATGCTTGTGTTTACTGAAAAATAAGTTCCCTCTTTCTAGGACCTATTAATTTCTTCCAACAGGGGACATGAGATTTAGCCCAAAGACCCCACCTGTTCTCTCTCTCTTTACCTACTCCTGATTCTTGTACAAGGATGACATCTGATACTCTATTAGTATGTTCGGATTTCAGAGAAGACTTGGAAAAGGAACCTTGAGAGGGGTGTCCTGCTGAGCAGCTTGGAACCTTTTGTTGGGAAGGCAGTGTAGAGTAGGGTTGCAAGGTAGACAGCCCTGAGTTGAATCCTGGTTCTAGCATTTACTAGCTGCATAGCCTTAAGCAGATGTGTATTTGTTTTGTTTTTTTTTTCTTTTTTATAATCTCTGTGCCTCACCTTTCCACATCTGTAAGATAAAGATTGTAATAGAACTTACTTAATAGGGATATTATGAGAATTAAATGTGTCATCTGTTATATTTAAATGTTGGAATGATATCTGACACATAGTTAATACTCAATAACTATCTTCATTATTACTATTGATTCAGAGATCTATTAGAGAATCAACATATTTGGAGCAGCAGGATACATTGGTGGTATACCTTATGCTGATGAATCAGACCTAAACTAGTTGTTTAGTTGTGCGTCCATACTTTGTTTCAGACGTCAGTGAAGAATAAGCCATTACCCGTGAAATCTAAGCACTGCACACTGCATTGTAAGTACATGTTGCTCTGTCTGCTTTTCTCGCTGGACCGTGATGCCATGAAAACAGGGAGCACGTCTATCCTGTCTCCTGTTGCATCCCCAATACCTAGTATGGAGCTTGGGACATACACAGTGCTCAGTAAAGACTTGCTGGATTAATTGAAAGAGAACTGAACTTGGAGGCAAACAGCTGGTTTTCAATCCTGGCTCTGTGCCTTACTAACTGAGCAAGTCACTTAAGCCAAACCTCACTTTCATCATCAGCAAAATAAAAACATAATTTCCCTTTCAGTGAAAAAATTCTGTTGAAAGATGTCATATGAAAGTAAATCAGAGTAGACACACAATAAGTTTGTTTTCTAAATGAATAATTTTATTTGAAAGAAAATGAAGATTCAGAGTCAACACCTGACAGATTATAACTGCATTTATTGTTATTATTTTACCTTTATAAGTGTACAAATCATATATGAATATATTCACTTTGTAAAATTTATAACATCAGGTAATACTATGTCCATTTAAACTCGTGGCTGTTCTCCACCATTCCAGAATACTGCTCTTAACAGTGTAATGTATATATTTGCAGGCTTCATCCAATGCACTTCCAACACGTATATATATCTGTAAAACCTATTGTCATTTTCGAGTTTTTTCTTTGACCTAAGTGACATTTGATAATATTCTAAAACTTAGGGTTTTTTTTTTCCACTTGTCTCTACTTCTTAGAGAAATTTTCAACTTAGTTACTACATATTTACCCAATTCTTTTTATTACATGATATTATCTTTCACACAAGAGATATATCATGGTTATTCAGTCATTAGTTCATCAATAGACATTTAGGTTGGTTATAATATTTAGCAATTGCAAAAAAATGCTCTTGATAGCTGTCTATCTAGAAGTAGTGCTTTAGATATAGGTCTTGCCAAATTGATCTCCTCAGTGGCTCTACCAACTTAAATCTCTGGTTTCTGCCAGTGATAGAAGAGTGTCTATTTCCTCTATCTTTTTTGACACTTAATATTACAAAAAAAGTTTTCATTTCTGCCAGTCTAATGAGCCAAAAATGGCATCTCATCTTCCTAATTAATACAGAAGTTGAACATCTTCTCATGTGTTCTGATAAACACTTTATGTATGTCCTTATTTAATCTTGAGACAATCCAATGAGTAAACTGTTACTGTCTTCATTTTAGAGATGTGTAATCAGTGGCCCAGAACAGTCATGACATTCCCATAGCCCATAAAGTGAATAATGGTAAAATGTTCACACACAGGAATGCAGGTATCTCCTGACAAATGTGCTACGGTAGAGTAAAGAAGTATTAGGGACTGCAGGTAGAATAAAAATCATTAATAAGAAAATTGGTGGTAGATAGTCTTAGGTGCAAATGTAGAGTTTCCAAATTGTCAGCCATCTGCCAATGGGTACATCATTTAATTTCTTGGGAATATCAGTTATGACTTCTATAAAATCAGAAGGAAATTTCTCTCATGGTGTTACTGTAAGGATTAAAGGAGATAATGTATAGGGCATAGGCAGCTTTCGAGAAATGTTAGGTGCTCTTTTGAATTGAAAAAATAAAGTCTTCCTGGCACATGGGAAGCTGTTGCTTATGAAATGGTTAAAACAGAGCTCTGCCGGGGCAGGGACACTCAAGTTTCTGTCCCTGGCAGAGCTCTGAGGCTTCTGCTTGGTGCAGCATTCGTTTCTGCTTTAAACCTAGTGCAGGAGATTATTCTTTCTTCCCTGAGGGATGGTGAGGAATAACCAGACTAGCCGATCTTATTGAGTCCTCATAAGCTTCCTATTAATAGACAGGGTAGTTATCTGTATATGCAGTTTATAGATGAGGTCACTGAACTCAGGATGAGAAAGTGACTTCTGGCAGTACCTGCAATCTTTGTGTTGCCCCTGATCTGGCCACCCCAATGGCCATGGAATAGGCTATGGATCTGCAACTCCAAACCCTGCCTGAACCAAGCCCGCTTCAAACTTTGCCCTGCCACAGGGACCCCAGATAAGTGCACTCAACCTCTTTATACAGGGCCCTATCACTGCAGGGCCATTCTCAGGCATTACTTGGTCCCATCAACCATTCACTCTTAACTAATCTGGTGCCTCCCTGAGGCCATGAGGCCCTTTTATTCCCCAAAAGTTAGCACTGATGGTAGCCCCCACAATAGCTCTATTTAGCCATTGCAAAAATGTTCTTGGATAGCTAGCTGTCTAGAAGTAATGCTTTAGATATAGGTCTTGCCAAATTTTTCTCCTAAGTGGCTCTACCAACTTACATCATATGTATTTTAACTTTTATTTTATAGGCTCTGGGGTAGATGGGAAGGTGTGCTATATAGGTAAACTGCATATTACAGGGTTGGTGTACAGATTATTTTACCACCCAGGTAATAAGCGTAGGACCCTATAAGATAGTCTTTGATCCTCACCCTCCTCCCTCCCTCTACCCTCAAGTACTCCCCAGTGTCTGCTGTTCCTTTCTTTGTGTCCCTATGTACTCATCATTTAGCTCCACTTATAGTTGATAACATGCATTATTCAGTTTTCTATCCTGTGTTGGTTCACTTAGGATAATGGCCTCCAGCTCTATTCATGTTGCTGCAAAGGACATGATCTCATTTTTTTTGTGTGTCTGCATATTTTTGTTGAGTACTTATTTTGTGCCAGGGACTTTGGTAACAGCGCCTTATTTACTAGCTATATATGACTTCAGGCAGGTTCATTAACCTCCTTTTCCCTCTGTTTCTTATCCGCATAATAGGGATTAACAGCAGGGCTCACTTTCCGTGGCGAGTGGGAAGAGTCAGTGGGTTAGAATTCATACATTAAACATTTAGCGCAGCACTGGGTGCATTCTGAGAGCTCAACAAATACGTACCATTGTTGATATGCTGCTTTTATTCCCACAGTCACCTTATGTTGTAGGTTGATAGTTGGCCCCATTTTACAGAGGGAGCAATCGAGCAGAGTGATCAAGTGGCAGCCAGTCAGTAGATAAATAGGCATCCAGACTGCAGAGTGAGGACAAACATGGCTTTTGGCACCAGAGTCACTCATGATAATGTTGATTAAGATATGGCCAGTGTTGTTTGGCTGCGGTCTGTAGCACTCTAGTTTTGTATCTTTTTTTCTTTTTTGAGATGGAGTCTCGCTCTGTCGCCCAGGCTGGAGTGCAGTGGCGTGATCTCGGCTCACTGCAAGCTCTGCCTCCCGGGTTCACACCATTCTCCTGCCTCAGCCTCCTGAGTAGCTGGGACTACAGGCGCTCGCCACCATGCCCGGCTAAATTTTTTTGGTATTTTTAGTAGAGACGGGGTTTCACCATGTTAGCCAGGATGATCTCGATCTCTTGACCTCATGATCCACCCGCCTCGGCCTCCCAAAGTGCTGGGATTACAGGCATGAGCCACCATGCCCAGCCTAGTTTTGTATCTTGATGTCTTTGTCATGCAAGATGCTGTCCTTGTGGAAATCCACACACACTGTCTGCTGGTATCTGTTTGCCAAGGATTCAAAAGCGTTCTCACTGTTGGACACTGGTTTGGTGAAAGCTCCCAATGAAGGCAATGTCAGGCTCAAATGCCGGATATTTCAAGTGAACACAGCCTGTCTGATTTCTTTCCCTCACCCTCACTGGTCTACAGGAAGAAAATGCAGACACCTGTCTGCTCATCTTTTGTTTTCCAAGTGGGTCTGGCTCACCTTCTCCCGACCTGCCTCCCTGGCCAGGTGACCTGTCTTCCTTCAGTGTTCACATGGATCTCTATGGAAACTGTCCATCTGGACAGAGAGAGGGCAGCTGCAGAGAAGAAGCATTCCAGAGTGGTAGCGTGTATGAGAATGGCAGGAGAGGAAGCCTGCTTACTGGACACCTCAATGCCACACTTTATGCACCCTTCACCCCCATTCCCTTGCACAACAACCATTGACCCAATTTACAGAAGTAGGGACTGAGGCTGAGGGAGGGCATGTGCCTGCCCATATGGAAGCAGTGAAGCTGCGATGACAGCAAATGCGTTTATAGAATTGACTGTTAGCCAGACCTCAAGGCATCTTGTATTTATTAAGGCATTTAATTCTCACTGTCACCCTTTGAGGTAGGTACTATTGTAATCATCCCTATTTTAGAGATGAGGAAACTGAGGCACCTAGAGGTTACTTGCCCAAAGTTACATAGCTAGTAATGGCAGAGCTAAAACACCAACTTGAGTTTTTTCTCTTAATTGTGGTGCTCACCTGTTTACCAGATAAGTGCAAACCCAAAGCGAGAACACACTGCCCATTGTGTGCCATCCCCCACCTACTCCTGGTTTCCAGGTAATTGATTGACTGAAAGACATCATGGTTCCTTGTCAGCTCCATCTGTGGTCTTCAGAAAGAAGATCAAGATTCCTGAGAGAGACGGCTCACTGCCGGGCTGGGAAGGACCAGAGTTGAGACCCGGCGGCACACCCGCATTTGATTACCCAGTCCTGCAAAGGAACACTGAGCTTGTGGAACAGTCCAGTCCAAATGCCTCTGCTTGATTTTCTAGAATCAAATTAGGCTGGTGAATAGGCCAGTAGCGATTTCATCAATTTCTCAGCCTTTGGCCTCCTGCAATGCTGCCCGCTGTTTACTAAGCAAATGGGCTTCCAGAACCAGTCCCGCTTTAGTAATGCAGCAGGGCAACCTGGCGGAGGGAAGATTACAGGTATTAGAGGCCATTTAGGATCATTTAGAATCGAGCTGTTTTCCGAGCAGGCAATTAATCCAGTTGCATTAAAAGGCGCTGCTGGGGCTCCCATAACTCTCCCTGCATTAAGAGTGGGGATTTGAGAGGCTCTGCTAAACGACTTGCATAACTAGCTCTGGGGCTCAGTGGGGCATCTTTATTGGGGGTGTAGACTGTGGGCCTCTCCCTCGTGAGCTGTAGGTCTGCTTTGGGAAGAAAATGTCTGTATTGAAAGGACTGGGTTTATACCTGGAGCCCAT
The DNA here is from genome assembly GCF_000001405.40 of Homo sapiens. Lineage (NCBI taxonomy): Eukaryota > Metazoa > Chordata > Mammalia > Primates > Hominidae > Homo > Homo sapiens. Next base: position 42,532,798 of record NC_000020.11, on the reverse strand, counting down.
GACTGGTCAAGCCTAAGCACCTCCCAGGGTCGTGGGAGAGATGTTGGGGGAATGGTTTCAGGTCTAAGGATATGGTTGTGACACAAAGAAGCAAATGCACTTCCTCAGGGCCTCTTTAGTTATTTAAGGTGGAACTGCCAAGGTGGAAGTACTACACAAGACCAGGAATTTGAGACTAACCTGGGCAACACAGCAAGACACTATCTTTACCAAAACATTTTCTTTAAAAGTTAACAAGTCATGGTGGTGCACACCTGTGGCCCCAGCTACTTGGGAGGCTTAGGCAGGAGGATTGCTTGAGCCCAGGAGGTCAAGACTGCAGTGAACTATGATCATGCCACTGCACTCCAGCCTGGGTAATGGATTTGAGACCCTGTCTCAAAAAAAGATGGAACTGGCCATAGCTGGATATAGCCCTTTTATAGAAGGATGTGAATGGATTGCTGGAGGACTTCTAGAATCATGCCATGCACTGACATCCCACTTTGTGCTAAGCACTTGTGCATTCCTTATATCAGCCTCACAAACAGCCCTATGGGGTGGGGACTTCAGAGATGGAAGCTGAGGCTCAAAGAACCTAATGAACTTGGGACTTGAACCCATGGACCCATGGCAGCTGACCTTGTGCCCTAAGCCACACACTTCTTCCAAGGGTCTGTATCCAGAAAGCTCTGTTGTTCTTCATCCCCAAGCACGAGAGAGACAAAGGGTCCCACAGCACTGCCTCCTCTCGTCCCCATAGCCTTGCCTATCCCCAGCCCAAGTTACGGCCACTGACTACACTACAGTGACATTGTTAGTTTAAGCATCTGTCTATCCCACCAGGCTCCCATGAGGGCACGCTCATCTTCCCAGCTCCAGCAGACAGACAATAGCACGGCTTCTCAAATAAAACATGCTTGGCTGAGTCCCTTCCCTTTTCTGTATATGTTTCCCTTGCAGTAAAATGAGAGGGCTGGCCTCCCTGCTGAGGTCTGCGGTTTCCTCTATCTCTCATGTGCTGTGAAGCTGCATCTGTAAGCCTGTGGAGGACAGCCAACATCTATCCAAAGTAGTGACTGTCTCTTTAGAGGGACAGGTACTTCCCGGAGCACTGGGAGTCCTTGCTCCTGTACTTGGTTGCTTGCACGTGGCGTTATTCTTCAGCATTTATCCATAGTCTGAATTCCACTGACAGCCACTTGTTCTCAAGGTTGGCTATACCCCAAAATGAAACTGTTGGAGGCTGCAGCCAAGGGCGCCTGGCAGCCAGGAGGCATTCAGTATGAATTTGCTAAATGAGTGCCTGAGAATGGCTGTTGACGATTTGATTAAGGCCTCGCCTAACCAGCACCAGTGAGTCGGGCATATCTGCCATCCCCAAGTAAAAATGATAATTAATAAGAAGGTAATCAATTTATAGAAACCTCCTTTCTTTCTCAATTTCTGGTGATGCCCTTTTGCCTGTTCATAACCCCTTTTAACTAAGTAGATTGCTCTTTGTCTACCCCATAGGTAAATTTTTAATTTTCTCTTATCTTTACTCTGTTCTTCTGAATAGAAAAGGAGATAGACTCATTGCAAAATAGTAACTCATTGCAAAACATTTCAGAACTTCACAGCCCATAATAAAAAAGAGTACCCCTGAAGAAAACCACCATTGGCACTTCAGTATATATTAACTCCGGAAATTTCAGGTTTTAAGTTGCCAACTTGACAGGATTACAAAGAAAGATAGCTTCCAAACCGCAGGTGGGTCACATCTCCATACCACCAACAGGTGGCAGTAGGAGTTACATTTGGAAATTTTAGTTCTAAGGATGATGTCGTTTGCTTCTCTGTTAAGCATTTCCTGTGTTTTGTATTGGGTTCAAGGTGTGGAACACTGTGCTGGGCACTGTGTCACAGGGAAGGTGCTGGGCCATGTTTCTCCGGAAACCACTGACATCCAATTTATCCCAGGTTCTAGTTGAAAAAGCAAATACTTGGCCACTATCCCACCCCACCAAGTCAGAAGTAGGGCTCCTGGATGCACAAGTACTGCAAAGCTGGATGCCTGAATCTCCCCGCTCTATTCCCTTTACCTTTTTCCTCAAGTGACAGCCTGGGGTGATGATGGTGGGACAAACCACCGGATCAGAAAGAAGCCTTGGTCCACAGGAGAAGCACATGCAAGTTCAAAAACATAAAGAAGAGAACAAGAAAACGTGGTACTCAGAGGTTGAATTTCCTTTTCCCACATGGATCTGATTAACTCTTCTTCCCATAAGCCTGATCCCAAAAGCCACTTCCTCTTCAAAGCCTTCCACGGTGTCTTCAGGCTAAGCTAACTGTTTTAGATTCAATGCTCACGCAGCAGTTTATACCTCCCCCAACACTTAACACATTATGTTGTGATTATCTGTGTCTGTCTCTGCCACCAGGATCCACACTCCTTATGGATAGGAGCCACATTGCATGGTGCCTGGCATGCAGCGGGCATGCAGTGACTGAGCAATGAATCGCTGGGTGACTTAGAGAGGGTTGGTAGGAGTGCTTGGTTGGACCCACTTTCTGTGAAAGAAGGTGATCTTTAAAGGCTGGGCTCCTTTCAGAGATATGCCTCAGGGCTTGCTACAGTGAACCACTTCTAATTTCTCAGTGAATCTGTGGAAACTACCTCATCGGCCTATGTACAAGCCTTCTCTTTTCTCAAGATAGATGAAATCAACTAATAGCTAGAAGCAAGGAGCAAGTCCACAGTCTTATAAACTCATCCAGGATCAACACAACCCAATGTAACAAAAAGCCTTGCTGTGCTCTTTCAGGTAAAGAAACGGCGAGACAAGAAAGCAGGGAGATGGTGGGAGAAGGCGATGAGTTAAATAAATCAATTTCCATTGGCTCAGGTAGTAATGTTTCAATAAAAAGGCAGTTGTATGCCCAAAGGACAAAACCATCAAGTCTTTTTTTTCTTTTTTTTTTTTTTTTTTCCTCTAACAAGTTGCACAGGAATAAGAGTTAGGTCTTTTGATATTTTAAAATTTACTTTGAGGCCAGGCGTAGTGGCTCACCCCTGTAATCCCAGCACTTTGGGAGACTGAGGACAGTGGATCACCTAAGGTCAGAAGTTCGAGACCAGCCTGGCCAACTGGAAAAACCTCATCTCTACTAAAAATACGAAAAATTAGCCGGGCATGGTGGCACATGCTTGTAGTCTCAGCTACTCGGGAGGCTGGGGCAGGAGAATCGCTTGAACCTGGGAGGTGGAAGTTGCCGTGAGCTGAGATCATGCCAGTGTACTCCAGCCGGGGCAGCAGAGTGAGACTCCATCTCCAAAAAAATAAAATAAAATTGACTTTGTGCAAGGCGCCTAGAGAGTGTTTTCAGACTTGATGATACCTGTTATCAGCAGTTGGCTCCTCCTTCTCCCATTCTTCCATCCATATCTGATGATCCAACAAGGTCATCCTTGTTTCACATGTGTCAAACCCGGCTCATTAGACAGTCGTGGTCTCACGGTGCCCTTCCCCGTACTATTCACTGGGACTTTTAAACCTCAGATACCTTTTATTACCTTTACCAAGCGGATTTTTAAACTAACATCTTTTTGAACTCAGAAATTATATTCCCTACACCATTTTTGAGGATCTTCGAAGTCCTATGCACCATGCGTGACATCTTATAGGTGAGGAAGCTGAATCAGGGTTATGTAGTGAAACTTGAGCACGTTAATTTAAAATTTAAAAGGTCGTTTCTGTTTCATATTGAGGTTTTAAAATTCTCCAACTTTTCACAAGAGCTAGTTCTCGCAGGAAGCATACAATGGTTCAAAAAGATACTTGTGACAAACTGATAGTTGACACGGTCATAGAGAGCGAGTTGTATGAACAAAAAGTCAGGACACAAAGTCTGACAGGTGAGATGCACTTTCTAGCAGCAAAGGCTTAATCTATTTTAAAAATGAAACTATCCCGGAAAAATCCAGGATATATGGCCACAGTCCTGGAATGTTTTGAGATAGAGATATCTAAGATTAAGCAAGCATAAAATGCAATTGATTTTATGTCTTAGTATTTATATTTCAGGGATTTAAGCTGTAACACTGTGAGGATTCAGATAATGAACCGTTTTTAGTAACTTTTTTCAGAGTTTGCCCTTAATTGTCGTAAGGACTACTTATAGCATTGGTTATCCTGAGGCTGACACTTGGAATTGTATGTAACATACACATGATTCATCAGAGACCCAGACCCAAGATATTCCAGGCAGGGCATCAGGAGTGGAAGGGGGACAAACATTTCCTTAACTTCAGAAAAGTAGGTTTGAAATTAAGAGCTTTGTCTTTAACATGAAATATTGAACTATTCATTTATCCATTCATTATCCATTTATTAGATGAATGGATAATGAATGGATATTCATTTATCCATTCATCTAACCACACATACTTATTGAACATCTAGTATACGCCAGACACTGTGAGCAGTATTGGGACATAAAGACATAAAGTGGACATAAAGACAGGGAAATCTGGTGCTATTAGATGGTATATGGCAGGGCTGTTCGGCCTGTGAAAGCTACCCAAATAAATGAAATTTGAGCTGAGTTCTGAAGGGTGGGTAAGCATGAAAAGGCAAAATGTGAGAGAAAGATCTTCTAGGCAGAAGGAACTAAATATGCAAACACCCGAGAGCTGGAAGAAGCATAACATGTTCCAGGAACAATAAGAAGGCCAGTTTGGAAAATGGTTCAAATTTAGAAGGGCCGACAGGAGCCAGATCATGGGCCTATGAGGCCATGCTGAGGATTTCATCCTTGGCCTATGAACAGTGGAAAACTGTTGAAGGATTTTAAACAAGAGAGTGGCATAGTTTTGCATTTTAAAAGATTCTATATTCTACTAACTAGAACTTGGAATTTATTTTTTCCTTAGAAATAACTTAATAAATGGTAGTTCTATGGAGCCAGAATAATGCTATTAACACAATGCATCCAGCTAAACTGCCTATTGGAAAGCTGGTCTTGGTTGCCAAATACCACTTACAACTTGGTTCCTATAAGAAAATTCATTCCAAATTCCAGACAACCTAATTACAAATGACATTTTCAGGGACAGCCTACAATCTACTTAGGCTTGTGAAAAGCCTCCAACATTTTTCCATATCAAAGGTTGTTAAGAAAGGTGAGGAACAGACTTCTGATTTTGAGATAGCAAAGACCCTTCTGCTCCTTCTGCTTTTTTTCCCCTTCTCCATAAGAAGAAAAATCAGAAAAGGAAATGCAAGTGCTGTGGTAAAACTAGGAAGAATATATTATGTTGGAAAATAATGATGAGGAAAGGTGGCAGGTTGCAGTGTGTACATTAAGGGTGTGGTCAGATGCTGAGAGATGACATCTGTGGCTGCAGACCTTAAACAAAGTCAGCATATCTGCAAGACTGACAGTGTACCATAAGCCAATAATCCCTTCGATGTCAATTTCAGGGATAAAGCACATAGGATGGGACAATTCCTGGGTACAGTTTGGCACCATGGAGAATCAAGGAAGGAAACACTGAATAAAGAACCAAGAAGTCGGCCGGGCACGGTGGCTCACACCTGTAATCCCAGCACTTTGGGAGGCCGAGGCAGGCGGATCACGAGGTCAGGAGATAGAGACCATCCTGGCTAACACGGTGAAACCCCGTCTCTACTAAAAATACAAAAAATTAGCTGGACATAGTGGCAGGCGCCTGTAGTCCCAGTCACTTGGGAGGCTGAGGCAGGAGAATGGCGTGAACCCGGGAGGAGGAGCTTGCAGTGAGCTGAGATCGTGCCACTGCACTCCAGCCTGGGCGGCAGAGCGAGACTCCATCTCAAAAAAAAAAAAAAAAAAAAAAAAAGAAAAAAGAACCAAGAAGTCAGTCTCTTAGAACGGTAGAGTAGAAGAGACTTAATCCTATGACATTAATCTTTGCTGGCTAAAATAAGCAATGTACACAACCAATGCTATGTACCATAAGGAATGTTACTATAAACTGGAGAGAATTTCTGCTATCTTAGAACTTGGCCCTGCTCCACGTCAAATAAAACCTTCTACAAATAGCTGATTCAAGTAGGACTCAACTCAATCAGAGATTGGTAATAACAGTTATTTTAGAGATACCAGAACAGATTCTACACAAAAACTTATAATACAATCATGGAAAAGCATAGGAAAAAGACAAGTTAAAAAAAGAACACTTGCCAGAAAGTGTTGTCACAGATAAAAACTGGGACCAAATTTATCACTACTAATTTTAAAAGAAAATTAAGCAATTATCTTTTCTACCAAAAATATGTCACAGAGAAGTATCAAGCAGAGGATAAAGTATGATCTTGCTTCCATTAGGAGTGAAGTAGAATAGCAAAATAAAGTCATCACAGAAACAAAGGGGCCATATTGGAAGCATCACAAAGAAGAATGAGCACTTCTGAAAACATTAAAGGCATGAACAACAATGAGGAAAAGGAAATGGAAATCAGTAAAACGTTAGAAAGCATTAGAGAGAAAATGATAAACATGGAAGACAAAGGAGTCTAACATACACATATGTGGTGGCCCCAAAGAAAACACTGAAGAATGATAAGAGAAAAAATCCAGATAGAACACAAGAATTTGCTGCAGAAATTAAGAGAGTCTTAAACCTAAAGAAGGAAATATCACATTGTGTTCTGGGGAAACACTCTTTAGAATATTCAAAACAAGGATATATCAAGTAAAATTAATGGACTTTAAATCTAAACAAAGAATTATTTGGTGTACAAGCAAACATATCAATGGCCTACAAAATTAAAAAAAAAAACACTCTCCATAGTAACATTAAATGCTAAATGACAGTAGAATAATATCTGTAAATATTTCAGAGAAATAAAGTTTGACCCTGAAAATCTGCAACCAGCAAAATTGCCATTCACATATAAGTACAGGAGATGGACAATATAAACACACAATTTCAGGAATATGGTCCCCATTAATGTTTATTGTTAAATTATTAGAAGATAAACTCTAGCCAACAACAGATAGATTCCGTGTTCTCTGCCTAGTCTTTTTGCTGTAGCTTCTACATTCATAAAAATCACAACTCTTCATATTATAGAGACTCGAAGAGGTAATCAGAGAAATTTGAAGAGATAATTAGGGAAATGGAAATGTGGAAATTACCCAACTTACTTTCACTATGGCCAATATTGAAAACCGTGTATCCTAAAAAAATCCTTCTGTAACAATTACGTATATGTTGGGAGAGGACGAGTGTGTGTTTTTAAGTGAATGACTATGCTTGTGAAATTAAGGGAAATATCCAGGGGACAAAAGTGAAAAGAGAGCTGAGAATAGAGTTGTAAGTGAATATACAGCACTGCCTGCCCTAGGAAAATTTCTCAATAAAAAGAACCTTGAGTTTCAGTTTTATTAAGGGGAGTTAGAACAAAGGCTCCACCCTGAATAAAGCTTATGTACTTGAAATCATATACCCTCAGTGAATGACCAAATATGGAAAAAATATTTAAAACATTTACAGAAATAAAAGATGAGCCGGGAACAATGACTTACACCTGTAATCCTAGCACTTCGGGAGGCTGAGGCAGGAAGATCACTTGAATTCAGGCTGGAGACCAGCCTGGGCAACATAGGGAGACCTCCTCTCTACAAAAATAAAAATTAAAAAATTAGCCAGCTGTGGTGGTGTGCTCATATAGTCCCAGCGGGAGGCTGAGGTGGAAGAATAGCTTGGGCCCGGGAGGTACAGGCTGCGGTGATCAGTAATCTTACCACTGCACTCCAGGGAACAGAGCAAAACCCTGTCTCAAAATGCATGAATAATGGGATAATGGATTGAGAACACCAAATGTTGAGGAGGCATATTTTTAAAAGAATCAAATATAATTTAGATAGGAAATGACAAACTCAGCAGACATATTATGAAGGAAATGAGACATACAGGAGAAGAGAATTAATGAATTGGTTGGAGGCTAGAACTTAATACCCTCATTGTAGCCAAGAAGAGAGAGAGAGAAAAAAAAGGAAAACATGAAGGGAATAAAGAAACATGTTAGTGGGATGAGAGTCTCACATATGTATTCTGTAAGTAGAAACTGAAGGAAGGGACAATATTCAAAGTGAGATGACCAAGTACTTTCTAGAACTGATGACAGACACCAATTCTCAGTTTCAAAAAGCCAGTTTATCCTAAGCGGGATAAATAAGAAAGAATCAAAAGACACTTAGATTTATTACAGGAAATTTCATAGCAACAGAAAGGTCTTCAAAGAGGCTGAAAATGTATACAGATCACTTGCCATGGAATGACTAACTCAAAGCAGGTTTCTCAACAGCAGCAATGAAAGCCAGAAAACAGCGAAAAATCCGCAAAATGAAGAGAGAAGGAAAGAAACAAACCTTAAATTGCATACATGGTTGATAGTATGGGTAAGAGAAAGGTATTGTAATAAACAAAACCTAAGAGTAAATTGCCAATAAAATCTCATAGGAAAGTCAAAGCATTTTAGCTGAGGAAAGGGAAAATCAATCTCTTTCCCCAGAAAGGAAGAAAAGCCTACTATGCAAAAATCAGTGGTGAGCAAGGAAATTGGTAAGCAGAATGGGAAATCTAAATAAACACTGACTATATAAAAAATAGTAAAGTTCAAGTTGGTATATGTGTGTGTAGAAAACATGATACAACTAAACTATTGGTCAACCATAACATGTAAACTGAGAGGGAGTTTCTATTTAATGTATTCCAAGATCTTTGGATTGCTGTGGAAGTGATGTATTGATACTACTTAGACTTCAACTGAGATGTGTGCAATTTTTTTTTTAGAGATAGGGTCTCCCTATTTTGCCCAGGTTAGAATGCAGTGACTATTCACAGGTGTGAACATAGCACACTACAGCCTTCAACTCCTGAGCTCAAGTGATCCTCCTGCCTCAACCTCCTGAATAGCTAGAACTGTAGGCACATGTCACTGTGCCTGGCTACAATTTTAACTAAAAGATGCAGATATATATATATTAATTTCTGAAACAGGAGAGGGAAAAAATGGAATTAAAGAGAGGGTAAAAAATGTTTAGAAATTTAAACATGAAGTAAAAATATAGAATAAGTTGAAAAACTAATATCAAACTTATCAATAACTACAATATATGTCTACGTCATTGTACTAAACTTACCAATCAAAGGAGACATTGTCAGATTAAGTTGTTGAAAGAAAAGAAAATGCAATTGGCTGGAAAATGACACTGGTGACTTAGTTTTTAAATTTTCCAAATTCCCTCACACAAACAAACTGAAACAGCAAAACAAAACCCCATGAACAATATTTACAAAACACCTAGGAGGCAAGTTATCCCTATAAATTACAAATAATGAGTAGAGAGGGTCAAACTATTGACAATCAGGTTGTCCAACAATGAGACATTCAAATAAAATTTCTGGACTTTAAAAGAAAAATGAATTCTGTGTTCATTCAAGGCAAAACTAAATCACTTGTCAAGGAAAGACGATCAAATTATTATGAGACTGACAGCTACAAGATCTGCATGGTGTCAGGACTACTCAGGGAGAAGGAGAGGAAAGTAATAAGGCATCGTATGGGCTTCAGAGTCACACATAACTAACAGGTACTTCCTGGAAAGCTCAAACATCAAATTTGAGAATTGTAGCTAAAACTGTGAAGGATCTTGCAATTTTCAGTAGAGGATAAAAACAAGGGGTCAACAGTAAGACCTTATGTGTCTGGAGTAGTCTAGGCCCTGTGGACTCTCAGAAGGAACCAGTCAAAATTCCCTTCCAGGAATAAACAATGAAATTAAGGATCTAAATTGAGTAGCACAGAGACAACAGTGACAAGAAATTGAAGATCTGCGAGTATCAGAAAATGAGCCACCATATTCGTGCATACCATATACAGGAGAAAAGAGAGCTCTGTGAGTTTAGAAATGAAATTTTGGACTATATTCTCTTCTAAATGCTCAGGGAAACCAATTTCATATAAATGGGAAGACAGAAGATAATCGAAATAAAAACACATGCAAAGTTAGTGTCAAGAAAAAGAAAGCCGGGCATGGTGGCTCATACCTGTAATACCAGCACTTCGGGAGGCCAAGGTGGGCAGATAATTTGAGGTCAGGGTTTGAGACCAGACTGACCAACATGGTGAAACCCCATCTCTACAAAAAGTAGAAAAACTTAGCTGGGTGTGGTGGCACACACCTATAGTCCCAGCTACTCAGGAGGCTGAGGCAGGAGAATTGCTTGAACCTGGGAGGCGGAGGTTGCAGTAAGCTGAACTCGCACCACTGCTCTCCAGCCTGAGCAATAGAGTGAGTGAGACTCCATCTCAAAGAAAAAGGAGAATAACACCCCTCCAGAAAATCAAAGTTTGCCAAATAAATGTGCCTACGAGTCAGATGAGAACTATTTCAGAAAGCGTTAAAGACATTAAGAAAATGATATGAGACACAACAACAAAAATCAGAATTAGAAAACTCAGAATGTAGTCATAGGACTCAGGAAATAAATTATAAATTTAAGAAAATATATCTAAGAAATGGAGACTAAGGTAGAAGTCACACACGAATAAATTCACACAACCACTAGTGCCTGGAGAAAACTAAGTTAAAGAAGGAAACTTTTACAAAAGCAAGAGGCAACTAGATCCAAGAGAAAAGGAAAAAGTTACAAGACAGGCTAAGAAAATCATTATACTGGAATTCCCAAAGAAGAAACCCAAAGCAAAGGCACAAATATCAAAAAGTAAAATTTAAGAAAAAGTTCTTGTTGTACTATTTCTTTTTCTGAAATAACTTCAATAATTACTTATTGAAAGGGCGGTCATACCTACTTGAGAACACCAACCTGGATTGCCAACACTGAGCCATGTTTTAGTAAAATTTTTGGACCTCAAAAGAAAATAATTCTTTCATGCTTCCAGGAAAAACGACTAAGTCATACAAAAAGGAAAGAAAACCAGAATGTTATCAGTCTTTTGGCAGCAATGCTTTGTGCCAGAATAAAATAAAGTGATATATTTATTATACTCAAGTAAAAAAATGTAAACCAAGCACTTTATATACAGCAAGACTGACTTTCAAGCATTAAAAACTGCAAATTGCTATCAACATGCAGGAAATCAGATAATATTGTTCTAATGGGTTCTTCCTGAATAATCTACTCAATGAGTTTCAGTCAACCAACATGATTAGAGAGATATCAGCATAAAGGCTACTGGTGAACATTAAATAAATATTCTATGGAAAAAAGTACAGTATTGAATGGCTATATGCTCTGACAACATAAATTCAGCACACCTATTAAAGATGCAGGAATATTGGAAAAGGATCTATAAATCAATTTATTGTTTTAATAATCAAATAAATGGACGTAGTATTGAAATTACTTCTGTCATTCTGAGACTGTTAGGTGTACAACATAGAAAGCATGACATTCTAATTTCTATTTTACCCTTATCTCCGTGAGAACCAGGATTCTTGGTGAAGAAGAAAGGCAATACATTTGTAAGATAGGAGAACTTGTAGTCCTAAATTTAAATCGTAAGTTTTTATATGAGCTTAAGGGGTATTTTATCTTGAACTCATATGAAATGGCCAAAATCTTGGTAAAGCATGAATGAAATTTGTTGAACTGGAATCAGAAATATCAGAATGGATAGACAGGTGAGTAGGTAGGTAGGTAGGTAGGTCACTAGGTAGGTTAGATAGGTAGATACACATAGAGAGAGATATGTATGTATGTATATAGGTAGGTGGGTGGGTGGATGGATGGATGGATGGATTAGATAGGTAGATGATAGATAGATAGACAGACAGACAGATAGTCACATATGTATGTAGGTTGGTGGGTGGACGGATAGATAGATGATAGGTAGATAGATAAATAGATATGGGTTTGTGTTTAGGCATGAGTTACTATCTATCTATCTATCTATCTATCTATCTATCTATCTATCTATCTACACACACACCCATACATACATATATATATATATATATATGTCTTTCCAAGCTCTGTCTGCTGACAAGCCCTGGAAAGAATGATATCCTAGTAACAATGAACACAACTAGCATGCAGATCTTGGTTTCTAAATACCATCTCCCATAAAAGGAACTAGGCATCCTTAGATAAATAGTTCATCTCAGAGCTGGGGCAGAGAAAATACAAGATGAAGTTAGAGTAAGCATGTAGATGCAATGACCCTGTATTTTAACAAATAAATTGCACTGGGAAAATTGGAGAGTAGTAGGCTGGAGACAGGACTGATAGACTAGAAGAGACTGAAGGCATTGTCTTTAAAAATATACAACCAAAACAGAAAAATCTAAGCCGTGGTGCCTGGGGATGTGTATTTGGAAGACAAAACTATAAATAAAAGAAGAAAGGGGTTATTATAAAAGTCATGATACTGGTTACTTTGAGGGGCCGAAAAGGGTATGTTACTGGGACGGGGATTCCATGATGGCCAGCAAATTGTATTTGTTGACTTGAGTGCTGATGTCGAGACTATTTGCTTCATAAATATTCATTAAGCTCTATATTTGTCCTATTCTGTTTTCTATAGTTATACTATATTTTACAATAGAAAGTTTTATTTCATTTTTTAAGCTGCATGTTCCTTAAGAGACACATCGCCAATATAAGTATTCAAAAAGACAGGAAGTAAAAAAGTTGAGAAGTTTCATACAATATTTTTGAATAGAATAAGATACTCTGGGCAAAACTAACAAAAAGAGAGTTGGTGTAGTTATAATAATATCAGACAAAACAGAGCTTAAGGCAAAAAAAATTATTATGAAAAAATGAAGCTATGTGATGAAAGGATAAATTCACTAGTCAGGTACAATAATTCTAAATTTGTATGTACCAAATAAAGCAGGTTAAAACATATGAAATAAAACTTGATTATACTAGGAGGAAAAATTTTCAAATGACACATCATAGTGGGAGATTTTACACATCTCAGTAATTTGTAAACCAAGCATATAAACCACAATGAGGAGTTAAAAGATTTAACAAAATTAATAAAATCTTTAAAAAATTAAAGAATTCTATGTTTGGACGTCAGAATACATATTCTTCCCAAGTACACATGGATGCATAAAATTGATCAAATAAGGACTCAATTAATTCAAAACATGAATACACACAAACACACATCAATATCTATATCTGTCTGTCTATCTGGAAAGACAGAAGAAATAAGTCAACAACAAAAATATAGCCCTATTAAATGTAGATTAGTAATTTTTTAATTCCAAACAACCACTCCTGGGTCAACAAAGACATCATAATAAATTAAAATCTACTTGCCTACTCTAAATAAAGCTACTATATATTTTGTGTAAGCAGTGTTTATGCAGAAGCTTGCATGTGAGTGTTCATTGCACCTTCATACGTAACAACCTCAAAACTAGAAACAAGACAGATGTCCCTTGGGTGAATAGTTAAACAAATTGGTACCTGCACACCATTGATTACTACTCAGCAATACAAAGGAATACATACAAAAACCTGGGTGAATCTTCAGAGAATTAGGCTAAGTGGAAAACTCTAATCCCAAAAGGTTTCATGCTGTATGATTCTATTTATATAACATTCTTGAAACAATAATTTAAAAAAACTGGAGAACAGATTAGTGGCTGCCAATGTTAAGAAGGAGTTGCGGAACAAAAAGAAGTGAATGTGGCTATGAAGGGCAGCATGAGGGAGCCTTCTGGTGCTGGAGATGTTCTGTGTCTTGACTGTATAAACATGAAGAACTCGATCAGGACATTGCACCATAGTTTTGGAAGATGTTAAAATGGGGGAAACTGGATAAAGGGTACATGAGAGCTTTATATATTATTTCTCACAACAGCATGTACATCTACAGTTACCTCAAAATAAAATTTCAGGGAAAATAAATAAAATACTGTACATTAAAACACAGGGTATAGTGAAAGCAAGATTTATTTTCTTTAATCCTTATTTTTTAAAAGGCTGAAAATTATTAAGCTAGTTTTTCAAGCTAATAAACCAGAAAAAGAAACTATTTTATAGATTCAAAGACAGTAAAATAATGGAAATTATTAACATAAGAACAAAAATTAATGGAACAGAAAAAATCCCAGAAGATCAACAAAGCCAAAAGGAAGAAAGACAATACACATACTCACGCACGTGCGCACACACAAAGAATTAAGGGGAATTATAGTTAGTCTACAGATATGGCACAATTTAAAATAGGAGAATACTATTGATTACCATATTCTAATGCATTTAAAAATTTATGTGAAATGGATAACTTTCAAGAAAAATAAAATACTATCACTAACACAAAAAGGAATACCTAAATTCTGTTAACTGTGACCATGAAAGAAATCCAGACAGTAAAATCTTGACAGCAATCTAATAGAAAACACAAAACAGGGTGGTAGAAATATATCTAAAACAAAGATACAAAATTATCTGAGAAGAGACCAAAGTTGTCTCCTAGATTTAAAAAAAAATCCAGTTTTATGCTGTTTATAGGAGTCACAACTTAAAACATAAAATCATGGAAAGGTTACAGATAAATTAGAGGAAAAGGGACACTAGGAAACACTATTAAAATGACAGTTTGCATTACCAGAGATAAATATAACCATTAATATACCGACAAAAGTCAAATTCATCCTGAAGATATAACCACCTCTAAACTGAGTATGACAGTATTAACATGCCTTTAAAAATTCAAAGCAAATGTTAGAACATCAAGGAGAATGTGACAAATACATTATAATTATAAGCAATATTAATATATTCTCTCTCAGTAAGTAACATTTTAATCAGGAGAATATATACTATCAGGATGACGATTTGAACAATTTCAAAGTGTTCAATGACTAGAAACCACATATTCATTCCAAGCATACATGAGAATTCATAAAAATTGACCATTTGTTAGGAATGAATCCTCAACTCAATCTGTTATCACACAGACTACATTCCTTGTTTATAATTAACATAAAATCAATAAAAAGTAACTTTATTTTAAAATCTGTGTGTGGACTTAAATCTCTCCTAAATTACTCTGGAGTCAAAGGAGAAATCACAGTGAAAATTGGAAAATATGTAGAACTTAATGATAATGAAACTATTATATGTCAAAATGTGTGAAATGCAGTTAAAGCAGTATTTAGGGAGAAGTTTAAGCCATAAATGTTTATGTTAGCAAAGATGTAAAGTTGAAAATTAATGGACTATGCATCACACTTCAAAGTTAGAATAAACAAAGAACACAGAAAGGAAGAAATAATTAAGGTAGAAACAGAAATTAATTAAATGGAATGCATATGTACAATAGAAAGATTGGCAAAGTCAAAGTTAATTCCATAATAAAAGCTAAAATAATTGATAAACCTCTGCCAAGGTAAAATGAAAAAAAGAGAGAAGGTACAAATAAGCCATATTATATGTGAAAAAATACGATTATAAATGCATCAGTGATGTAAAAGATAATATTATAATCTCTATGCTAATTACCCTAAAGAATTAACCTGAAATGAGTGAATTGTAGAAAAATATTAAAACTTAGTGAAAAAAAAATCTGAGCAGTCCTGTAATCTTTAAAGGATTACTTTATAATCTGTCAACAATCTCCCCAAAATGAAAACATCAGGTACAAATGATTTAATAGGCAAGTTTTACCAAACATTTGAGGAAAAGGAAATTCTAATCTTACATAAAATCTTACAAAAAAGAAATGAAACTTTCTCTGATTAATTATACTTAGTAAACATAAACTTTGTGCCAAAAGTAGATAAGGACAGCATGAGAAAGGAAATTATAGCTTTATTTTCTTATGCACATTCAGAAACCAAAGTTAGTTAGCAATTTATTAGCAAAAAAATTGCAAGAGCCAGGTTTATGCAAAGAAAAACATGATGACTAAGGCGAATTCATTCTCAGAATGCTAGCTTATTATGTAGATAAAATCTTAGAATTCATATGAGAATTTGCCAATGTTTCTATAATAAGAAATATTAAAATGTCAAATTACAGGCTGTATTTCGTATTGGAATTCTTATCTACTACAAGTGAATCTTGGTACAACCACTTTGGAAAACCAGAAGCGTATGGCAGGATCTACAAAAACTAAGTATATGCTTAACCATTAATTCTACTTCTAAGTACAAATGAGCAGACATGAACACCTAAGTATGTAAAAAGATGAGCCCATGAATGTTCATACTAGCCATATCCCCCAAATGTAAACTGTTTAAAAATCTACCAACATTAATGTGCATAAGTTATAGTCTAGTCATGTAATATAAACCTATACAGCAAAGAGAATGAACAAGCTGTAGCCATATTCAACATGATGTATCTCACAAAAACAAGGGGGAAAAGCTAGTCATAAATGAATACATTCTCTGTCATTCCATAAGTGTCCAAAAGATGGACAGCTAATATGTGGTAAAAGGGATGAACATAGTGGTTATCTTTATGAGGGGAAGTCACTGGTTAAGATGGTTCTCATATCATGGTGATGTGTTCATTCTTTTTTTTTTTAATTTATTTTTTTATTATACTTTAAGTTTTAGGGTACATGTGCACACTGTGCAGGTTAGTTACATATGTATACATGTGCCATGCTGGTGTGCTGCACCCACTAACTCGTCATCTAGCCTTAGGTGTATCTCCCAATGCTATCCCTCCCCCCTCCCCCCACCCCACAACAGTCCCCAGAGTGTGATATTCCCCCTCCTGTGTCCATGTGATCTCATTGTTCAATTCCCACCTATGAGTGAGAATATGCGGTGTTTGGTTTTTTGTTCTTGTGATAGTTTACTGAGAATGATGATTTCCAATTTCATCCATGTCCCTACAAAGGACATGAACTCATCATTTTTTATGGCTGCATAGTATTCCATGGTGTATATGTGCCACATTTTCTTAATCCAGTCTATCATTGTTGGACATTTGGGTTGGTTCCAAGTCTTTGCTATTGTGAATAATGCCGCAATAAACATACGTGTGCATGTGTCTTTATAGCAGCATGATTTATAGTCCTTTGGGTATATACCCAGTAATGGGATGGCAAAGATGTGTTCATTCTTGATCTGGGTGCTGGTTACATGGACCACGCTGTTTGAAAATTTAAAAAACTGTACACTTATGACTTGTGCACATTTTTGATCTATTGTACTTCAATAAAAAGCTTATTCAAGAAAGTCATTGCATTTCTGTACCCCAGCTGCAAACAGAAAAAGTATTAAAAATGATAATAAGTATAATAGCAAAATATAACTTCCTAGGGCTGAACAACACTCGTCCATGTTTTTTGTTTTTTGTTTTTAATGGAGTCTTGCTCTGTCACTCAGGCTGGAGTGTAGTGGCCCAGTCTCAGCTCACTGCAACCACACCCTCCTGAGTTCAAGCAATTCTCCTGCCTCAGCCTCCCGAGTAACTGGGATTACGGGCACATGCCACCACACCTGACTAATTTTTGTAATTTTAGTAGAGATGGGGTTTCACCATGTTGGCCAGGCTGGTCTCAAACTCCTGACCTTGTGATCCGCCTGCCTCGGCCTCCCAGAGTGCTGGGATTACAGGCATGAGCCACCATGCCCAAACTTGTCCATGGTTCTTATGAAAAAAAATTATAAAATTGCATTGAAAAGTTTTAAACGTGACCTAAATAGAGAGATAGATTATTGGATAAAAATACCCAGTGTGTTTAAGATGTTGATTATTCTCAAGCTAATCTATAGATCCGATGGCAATTAAGATAAAACCCCCAGTGGAACTTGACAAGAGAGTTCTCTGATTTTTACAGAAGAGGATATCCAAAAGAGAAAATCATGAAGATTGCTGCCCTCCCGGTAATGAGGTCATACTATAAGTTACAGAAATTAAGAGAATGTGAAGTTAGTACAGGGATTTACAAGTAGAGCAGGATGAAAAGTCAGAAATAGGCCTATACATATGTGGAACGGTTTTGTAAATTGTTATGACAACAATCCTACATAGCGATAGAATAATTGATTTTCCACTTGGAAAAATTGCTGGGATCCTATCACTCACTATGCACAGAATCAATTTTTGATGAATAAATGTCTTATTTATAAAAGGTAAACCTTCATATTAAGAGAAAAATATAGACAGAATACTTTTTGACTGTGAGGTAGAGTCTTCTTAAAGATTATACAAATAGTAATGTTAATCAAATGTGTTAAAACGTTGAATTTCTCTTCTTCAAAAGGCACCCCCAAATCAATTGAAAAGACAAACCACACACTGGCAGAAAATATTTGCAACATACAAAGCCAGCAACAAATAAGTATCTAGAGTAAATCATGAATCTCAGTGAATCAATTTTAAAAAGGCATTTGAAAAGAAAAGAAAAGCGTGAACAAAGAAAATGCATTTTATAAAGTTGGATGATCACAAAGAACTGAGAAATTGTATTAAAATCTTAGAAACAGATATTAAAAGTACTAGGTGATATGACTTCATATCCCATATGTAAGAAATGTTTAAAAGTGTGACATTATCAAACATGAGCAAGGATGGGGAGCAGGAGGGTGCCGATACATGCAGGATCAATTGGTCAAGCCACTTCAGGCAAACATTGGCATTTTATTATAAAGCAAAAGATGAATATATCGTATATTTTAGCCATTCCATCCTGGAGGAGCTAACCTAAATAAACCCATGTTTATCATGGATTATGCCCAAGAACATTCCTAGCAAATTTGTTTGTACAAGCTAAAAATTGATAACAATCTAAATGGACCATCATAGAAAAAATGAGAAGTAAATTGTCATATTTACGCTCAATGGGGCTACTACACAGCAGTGAAAGTGAGCAAACTATAGCCACCAGTATCAAAATGGATGAATTCCACACATACTGTTCAGAGAAAAATGAATATTAGAGCGGAATGCATTCACTATGATTCCATTGACATCAAGGCTTAAACGTTCATTTTTCATTGGAGGTTTATCACTGCTTATGTATATAAGCAGTTGAATGACTAACCCCAAATTCAGAAAAATGGGTGTTTCTTGGGGTAAAGAAATGTATGAATTAGAAGAGTGCAGCAAAGTGGAATTCAGAGATATGGATAATGTTGTTTCTCAAACTGCTGGTGAAGAGTGTTCTTCTGATGATCGTTCTTTACACTTTATGTGTAGCATATATATTTCCCAGCACCTGGAAATGTAATAGAATATTAATAACAAAAAATTATCTCATGCAAGTTTCAAGTAAAAGAGGAAACCAATATTAAAATTGCAAAATATCTAGAAAATAAGAACACAAAATAATACAAATAGGTATAAAATAATACATATCAGACCTGATGGGATACAACTAAAACAGTGAACTTCTGGACTTAATGTCTACTCTCTCATGTTTGTTAATCTGTGTGAATTAAGAAGTTAACTCAATAAATTAGAATTTTTTCAACAGAATAAACTGAAAAAAGTAGAAGAAAGAAAATTGGGTATCCAGAAATTAACAAAATTAAGAAAAACAATGGCTTCTTCAAGGAAGCTAGGGGGGTAATTGGCCCAGTGATTTTGCACCTGGAAAACACACACACACACACACACACACACACACACACACACCCCATCAATAGAGAACATATGAAAAACACAATAACAACATTAGGTCGGGTATGGTAGCTCACGCCTGTAATCCCAGTACTTTGGGAGGCTGAGGTGGGTGGATCACCTGAGGTCAGGAGTTCGAGACCAGCCTGGCCAACATGGTGAAACCCTGTCTCCACTAA
Source organism: Homo sapiens (assembly GCF_000001405.40). NCBI lineage: Eukaryota > Metazoa > Chordata > Mammalia > Primates > Hominidae > Homo > Homo sapiens. The sequence continues at coordinate 42,513,037 of NC_000020.11, read as the reverse complement.
AAATACAAAAATGAGCTGGGTGTGGTGGTGGATGCCTGTAATCTCAGCTACTCAAAAGGCTGAGGCAGGAGAATCCCTTGAACCCAGGAGGCGGAGGTTGTGGTGAGCCAAGATCATGCCATTGCACTCCAGTCTGGGCAACAAGAGCGAAACTCTGTCTCAAAAAACAAAACAAAACAACAAAAAACAAAAAACATCACAATGACAACATTAAAACATTGCAGCCTGATTTTTTAAATGAGGTAGATCTAACTAAACTGACACATCCAAAATGATTGGTAGGATGCATCACTGATTTTTATAAAATGCAGAACAGTGTATGCAGTCAGCTTGAAAACATTTAGTTAATTTCTTAATAAATTAAACACGTACTACTTGTTAGACCCAGCAACCCAAATACTGGTTATTTATCCTAGATAAATGAAAGTATGTTCACACCAAAATAAATACGCAAATATTTATAGCAGATCTATTCATAATCACCAAGAAGATGTGGCCTTCAACAAGTTAATAGATAAAGGAGATGTGGTACATCCTCATGTTGGAATATTACTCAGCAATTAAAATGGGACAAGCTATTAATACACACAACTGGATGAATCTCAAAGGCATTATACTGAGAAAAGGAGACACTCAAAAGCCTACATATTGTGTGATTCCACTTACGTGATGTTCTCAAAAAGATAAAACCATAGTAACAGAAAAGAGTTCGGTGGTTGCCAGGGGTTAGGAGTTGTGTGGGAAGTTTTAGGGACACTGTGACTATGGAAGGATAGTACAAGGAAGTTTTTTGGAATGATGAAACCATGCTGTATCCTGATAGTGGTGGTGGTTACATGAAATCTATATATGTATTAAAATTCATAGAAATTTATATAAATTGTGTATTAAATTTCATGAATATTTGGTATGATAATTTAAACATTTACTTATATATGTTTAAGTAAAGAATATCTTTAGAAGGTTGCATCCAAAATTGCTATGAGTAGTTGCCTCCAGGGAGAGAAACAAGACAGATGGCTCAGCTCAGGGAGAGGGAGGAATAGAACCTTTCCTATTTACTCTTCTTGCCTTTGGAATGTTGTTCCTTGTTCATTCATGATGTACAAACTTTGAATGATAATGTACACACTATACGTTCTAAGTTAAGAAAAGAGGTTGCTATAGAATGGAGTGCTTTGCTGTCATTGGTAGGAACTTGGTCTAGATTTAGAAAGCAGGAGGCGAGTCTGCAAAGGCCCAGGGTGTAGCCCTTTCAGAAGGAAATAGACCTTGCCAAGACATTGGTATCTAAAAAAAAAAAATAGGGTGTTTACCAGTTATTACTCATTTGGTACCAAAATCATTAGAGTAAGAGTTAAGTTGGGCATATCTAATCCTGATCTCCAGATACATGTGTTTCGTGATCTTTATCGAGCTCCTAGTTAAGGAACCACACCAGAAGTAATAGCATCAGATTCAAATTATTGACTGAAAAGGAATACATTTTACCCTCAACTTCTTGACCATAGTCATGAAAAAAAAAAAAGTCCACAAACGATGAGTACTATATTCAGTGCATTTGGTGAAAGCCTTCAATCAACTCCAAATAAGACAAAAGTCCTGTCCTGGCTTCCTTCGAGTTTCTCTTCCCCTTGAGTGTTCCTGGTCTCCATTCCCCTAGACTTCCCACTGTTACTGCCTCACACTAGTCTTGGCTAGGATAAGTCTGTTGTATCAAGAGTTTATTATTATTTGCAGAACAGGTTAATTAGTCTGCTTTCTGTTGCTTATAACAGAATACCTGAAACTGGGTGATTTATAAAGAAACAAAATTGATTTCTCACAGTTCCAGAGACTGGGAAGTCTGAGGTTCAGAGGGTACATCTGGTGAGAACCTTCTTATTGGTGAGGACTCCTTTAGAAGTCCCAAGGCAGCATGGAGCATCATGTGGCCATGTGCTAACTGTACTAATATGCAATGTGCTACCTCAGGTCTCTCTCTTTTTACAAAGTCATCAGTTCCCTTCCCATGATAACCCCTTAATCCATCAATCCATGAATGGATTAATCTATTCATCAGGGCAGAGCCGTCATGATTCATTCACTTCTTAAAGGCCCGCCTCTCAGTGATTGCCACATTGGGGATTAAGTTTCAACATGAGTTTTGGAGGGGCCATTCAAACCATAGCAACAGGCAAGGCCTTTGCTAATGCTTTTGCTCAAGGTTATTTTACATTTTAAATTTTTATTGCTTCTCTGGCTGGGAAATGTGGCTTTCCCCTAATTTATTCTGCACGATGAATAGAGAGAAATGGCTTTGCCACCTGCTTGCAGGACTCCACGGTTCTGTTACTTCCAGTCTGTGTAATTTGTATGTATATTCTTGCCTGCCACCCCTTAGTTCTACCGCTTTGTCTTGGTTTCTTGCCTAGCAAGATAATGGGAAAGGTTGTTTTACTCTATCCTTTAGGGCTGGAAAAATAACTTTCCTCTTGGGGTCTGAGCTCTTATCTGGACACCATAGCACATCTTGTATGACCCAGTAAATACCCTTCATCTTGCTGTGAGCAGGTCTGTATTGGGGCTCCTTTTTTAAAAAACACACACGTTATAGCATGTGAATTCATGCCTATGGAAGTTAAAACTATAACCCAAGCAAAGTTCCAGGAATACATTTCAAAATAAATAATTCCTATTATTCAAGAAGAATATAGGCTACAAACTTTTGTTCCTAGGTAGGGAAGGGCTGTAGGACTGCACCATCCTGCAAATTTGCTGGGACTGCTGTGGTCATACAAGCCAATTCTTCCTGGGGCATTTTCAAGGGGGGTTAGGTATTGGAAACACAACGGGGCCCTGAACTTATGCACATGATGGTGCTTTTGGACTCAGCAAACCATGTGTCCTTGTCTCTTGGGCTTCATAAAACCAAATTAGAAGTAGACTAGACAGTCTCCCTCTTTGTCCTTGATGTGTGCCCAGCACTATGCCATGTATTTTTCCTTCTCAGATTCTTGTTCTCTTAGGTCAACCCATTTTACAGATAGGATTCAGGTGAGGTGACATGTCCTTCTACAAGTGGAGGAGCTCAATTTCTGACTTCACAGCCCAGGTTCCTTCTTTATCCAAGACTGTTCCTATCTATATGATCAGAGGTCCCTGTGGGTGGTATGTCAGGATTGATTAAAATTACCAAGACACTTCCCGCCAGGAATGGGTATGGTACTCTAAGTGGATGCTCAATACATATTTGCTAAATAAATAAGACACATCAGTCTGAAACAGCAGGTACAACCTGTAGCCTAATTTTACAGAGAGATGAACTAAGGTTCAGAGTGATTTGCCTTCAACAATATAAGTAGAGAGGATGAGACTTACTTAAAAGAATCCTGAGCTATTCTGCAGAATGACATACAGTGAGTATAAATAAAGGCCAATTCTATATCGGGCATTGATAAATGAATAAGGAACACCTTACAACACAAACAGTTTGAATAGAAATATAAATTGATATATATTAATTTATATATCTATAAATTAAATATAAATTATATAATTTATATCTATAAATTAAATATAAATTATATAATTTATATCTATAAATTAAATATAAATTATATAATTTATATCTATAAATTAAATATAAATTATATAATTTATATCTATAAATTAAATATAAATTATATAATTTATATCTATAAATTAAATATAAATTATATAATTTATATCTATAAATTAAATATAAATTATATAATTTATATCTATAAATTAAATATAAATTATATAATTTATATCTATAAATTAAATATAAATTATATAATTTATATCTATAAATTAAATATAAATTATATAATTTATATCTATAAATTAAATATAAATTATATAATTTATATCTATAAATTAAATATAAATTATATAATTTATATCTATAAATTAAATATAAATTATATAATTTATATCTATAAATTAAATATAAATTATATGATTTATATCTATAAATTAAATATAAATTATATAATTTATATCTATAAATTAAATATAAATTATATAATTTATATCTATAAATTAAATATAAATTATATAATTTATATCTATAAATTAAATATAAATTATATTTATAAATTATATTATTTATATTTATAAATTATATTATTTATATTTATAAATTAAATATAAATTAAGTGTAAGGATAAACAGCCATCATTAAATGTACAATGACCAGAGTTTCCAGTACAAAAGCCAGGTCTATTAAGTAAAAATATGTTTATTGGACCAATAACAACAGTAATAATAGCTCACCTGTTTAGAGTATGAAATCAAGAATGTACTTCTCTAGGCAGATTGTCTGGGTTCTAATTTCAGCTCTACTACTTACTAGCTATGGCACGATGGGAAAGTTACTTAACCTCTCTTTTTATTTATCTATCATCTCAAAATACCTGTCTTGGTAAGGTTGCGTTGAGGACCAAATGAGTTAATATTTATAAGTCACTTAGAATAGCTTCTGGTACATAGTAAGGGCTATTCTATTTTTTGTTAAATGTAATTACTTTTAAGCATCTTTATATTCTCCACCACAACTTTATAAAGAATAGTGCTCTACCATTTTACAGATTTGGAAATTCAGCTTGGAGAGTTCCTATGAGTAGCCTTCTCTCATACAGCTGGGATTCAGACCCCACCTTTGGTTGGCCCTGAAGCCAGGGCTCTCTCCCAACCCCAACTGTTCTTAGATGAAGTTTGCATTAAAATCCACAGCTTAGAATTCACCTTTCCTGCTATTCAGCAGGCGCTCCTAGAAACAAAACCAAACATAAAACAGTATTTTGAGTATTCTACCTTAGTCTTTTTTTTTTTGCATATCTAAAAGCCAAAATTAAGGAAATGGAAAGATGTTAATATAATACACACACACACACACACACACAAAAAGGGTAATTACTGATTTTATTAAAAACATTTATCACAGAGCCACATAACCATTGTTATTTCAGGCCTGGGAATACAATGCATGCTATTAAGCCATTTGATGATTAAAGATAAAAGCATGATTAAATACGTTAATGAAAGTGCCAGGCTGCATCAAGAGGCACACCATGCATTGACCTCGAAGAGCTTGGGCTACCTATGTGACCCCTTTGTGAACTTTCTCCTCAGCTGGGTTTTCTAGAAGGTTATTTTGTGCTGAAAAAAAAAAAAAAAGTCCTGTGAGTAATGAAATTCTACCTGATCCCTGGGACCTGACCGGCTACCCTGGCCTTCTGTCCTCTGGCTGCTGTTGCAACCCATTTTCCTTGTCTTCTTGGTGGAATTAGAAACCGGCCCGCTGGCATTTTCCTACCAATTCCCTCTATTCTCAGGTCTAGAGAGAAAGGAACAAAATGCAGACAGGATTGAACTAATATTTGTTAAGACTCAACCGCTGGCCAAGCATTGTGCTGTACATTTCATGTATTAAGACATTAGTTCTGATTTATTATATTTCTATCCTTATCACTGTCCTGTTTTTACATAGAAGACTGGGGCTCAGAGATGCTAAATACATTGGCGTGATAATTATGAGTGGTGTATCTCCAATGTTTTTGGTTCTCCTCCTGAGCACACGATGGGCTTTCCCTTCTCGGCCAAGAAGGCTTCTCCCTTCTTGGGTTGGGTGCATCCGTGTGAGTGTAAGTGACATATGTCTCATCTCCATGGAAGCTTAAAGAGCTAGTTATGGGTCACCATGTGCTCCTCCTCTGGCATCTGCTTCATCAGCTTGGGTCCACATATAATTAGAATTTGTGATTTAAAAATGAGTACACTGGTTTGTGTGACAGATTTGGAAGCCTGATTTCTCATCCACACGATTCAATAAGCATAGCCCTATAGGTCCTCTCAGGTATATTATCCCAATTCATATCTTGGGCCTTCTAACCTGCCCATGGATATATAAAGTGAGTGGGAAACAAATATTGGTGGTTTTCAAGCCACTAAGATTTGGGGCGTGTTTTTACTCCTGCATAATGAGGTCTCACAACTTATGTGGACCTGGGAGCTGAGATTTGAATGCACTTCTGTCTACTTTCAAAGACCTTGCTCTTTCTACTGCCTTGAACTCTATTAATAAGATGTGGTCAGATCCTAGGATCCAGGAGGACATTTTCCTTACCATATGAAAAACAAGGACAGGGCACAGGCATAGCCTCTGGTCAGAGGTTGAGAAAACATAGACTCACTGAGGATCCCAGCAGGGAAAAGTACAAGACTCAGAATCTCAAGGTGAGGTTAAAAACGTACGGATTGATTCTGTAACCTTACACAAAAATCACCTAATCTCAGTGTTTTTTTTCACATAAATAATGGGAATAATACCATCCATTATTCAATGTCCCTGACCTCCAAGGAGCCCTGATACTGAAAGATATTCTCATTTTTTTCTCAAGTCAGGAAAGATATATTCAGGGATTACACAAATTATTGTGCAACATTGTTCACAACCTGGAATGGAGAAAAAGGTAAGAGATACAACTGAATTTAAGTGGCAGTAATCTGGGCCTTGGACAAAGGGATTAAAGAAAAAAGAGAAGATAGGAGGAAAGTACTCTGGAAATAGATTCAACTGGAAAGCATCAGTATCACCTTAAGGAATTAAGTCAATAAAGAAGGCCCAAGATATGAACTGGGATAATACACCTGAGAGGGTCTATAGGGCTATGCTTATTGAAGTGTGTGGATGAGAAACCAGGCTTCCAAATCTGTCACACACACCAGTGTACTCATTTTTAAATCACAAATCAAATTAGTAAAACATTTCTGAGCACATATTCCCCATATGTACACATACTTATTGATAAATGTATGTATACATTACTAGAGTAATGTATTATATGTACATTACATATACAATTTGGGTACATAAAACATACACCAAAAAAGAAATGTTAAGAAGATGGCTAAATAAACAGAAGGAGACAGTCAAATGTGTTCTTCCCATTGAGCCTGGTTTGGGATGTATGTAACCCTGAGTTAATGGCTTTGCATCTTTCTGCCTGAAAGTGACTTTATTGCCACCAGTCATACAACGCGGGAGGAAAGGGGCATAGAAAATCTTTTCAACTACTTGCTCTGGCTCAACCTTTCGTGGAGCTGAATGCTTTAAAAAGGACAATGAACAAAGTGAAATATGCTTTAATCCAATTCCAATGAAAAGCAGTCAAATGGCAAATATAGTCTTGCTTCTTTTCTCTTTTCAGTGTCACAGAGGATTGTAAACCATATGTCCTTTGGAGACCAAGCAGAGAGATAGCCACAGCTTGATTTGCAGAGATGCATTAATTTTCACATTTAAGCCAGTAGTTCCTGTTGCTCATATGAAACTCACCCTCCTTCTATGACCCTAAAATTCTGTCATTTCAACAAATAATTGAAGAGTTCAATTTGTCACCTGGCTATTTAAAATAGTAGAGACAGGAGGCCAGGCTTGGTGGCTCACACCTGTAATCCCAGCACTTTGGGAGGCCAAGGCAGGTGGATCACCTGAAATAAGGAATTCAAAACCAGCCTGACCAACATGATGAAACCTGGTCTCTACTAAAAATACAAAAATTACCCAGGCATGGTGGTGGGCGCCTGTAATCCCAGCTACTCAGGAAGCTGAGGCAGGAGAATTGCTTGAACCTGGGAGGCAGAGATTGCAGTAAGCTGACATCACGCCGCTGCACTCCAGCCTGGGAGACAGAGCGGGACTCCATCTCAAAATAACAATAATAATAATAAAGACAGGAGTAGCTCTGAACTTATTCTGGTCCAGAGGGTTGGTGGAGGCTGTCCAATAAAATAAAACTAAGTAAATAAAATAATTAAAAGAATGAAGTCGTGAATGCTACCAGGCATATTTACGTAACTTAAGAATCACTTGATACACAGAGCAGTAGGCTTAATGGCTAACTTGTTTGGTTGGGGTTAAAAGAGGGGAAAGAAAGGGAAGAGCAAGTTCAGTAGAAACTTGAAAGTGCCTTTTTTATAGGGGGTCATTGGGATTTGAATTCCATGAAATAGTATATCGTAGGTATGCTCTGCCCAGCTCCCAGAATATCGGACCTATCGAATGGAGGCTATTTGCATGCATAAATTTCACAGATGTGTATGCATAACTTATTTCTACTGACCTGCAGAGCCTAGTAAAATATTTGGAGGACCAAAGGCTAGATTTATAATAAAACATAATTAAAACTCAGTAAATTCAAAGAAAGGCTGGAAAGGAAGGAAAGGGCATTTTAAAAAGCAAGACAACGTAAGATGTGAGAAAGAATTTTCAACTTATCAGTATTCTCAAAAAATGTACTTAAACTAAACTCCCTAATTTAAATGTGAAAATGTTACATTTGATTAGAAAACAAAATCCAAATTATACAATTTTAAAAGACACATACATAAAATGTAATAATGCAAATAGGCTGGAAGTCACAGGTGGGAAAAATATAGCAGGAAACTGGTAATAGGAAAAAAGTTGATGAAACATTATTAATATCAGATAAATTAGACTGAAAGCAAAATGATAAATTATTTTATTAAAATAAGATTTTAATTTTCAGTTATAAAATGTTTGTTTATTCTGAAAGTTCCAACAATTCTAAACCTGTATGCACATAATAACTTGATCTCAAAATATGTAAAGCCAAATTTGAGACAGTTGCAAAGAGGAAATTGCAAATCTGTCAGTGAGATGGTTTTTTTTTAACATTCATTTATTCATTCATTCATTGAACAAATGTTTGCTGAACAAGAATTAATTGAACAATAAATGAATAGATGGGATTACACAAGTTGTTGTGCAACAGTTTGGGCCCACACATAATTAGGATTACCAATAACATTTTATTATTAGAAACATTTAAAAATAAAATCCTCTATTTTATTCCAGGCATCCTTCTAGGTACTGAGGAAATTATAATGAATAAATCACAATTCCCCTGAAGCTTATATTCTGGATGGAAAAGATAATGAAAAAAATATTTAATATGCCTGATGTTGGTAAGGGCTGAAAAGGAAAAAACAAATGAGGGTAAAGGGACAGAAAATTAAGGAGCAAGGGAGCTATTGTTTAGATTGTGATGAAGGTAGGATTCCCTCATAAGGTGACCTGAATGAAGTGAGGGAGTCAATCAGGTTATAGATTTGAGAAAATCATTCCAAACGGTAGAATCAGTAAGTTTACTGGCTCTGAAGGGGCAGAGTTCTTGGCCTGTTTTAAGAAAAGCAGGGAGACTGGTATGAGCAGAAGGCATAAGAAGAATGCTTGGAGATACCAGATACATCTCTGTAATTGACAGACAAAGTAGACAAATAACTAGTAAATAAAGAAAAGATTTATATGACACAATTAATAAGAACAATCCAGTTGACAAGTATAAAATGCTGCACTCCGAGATTAGAGAATATACATTTAGCTTAGGAATACATAAAACAATTACAAAAATCAAAAATCAATCAATAAAGCAAGTCTCAAAAATTTTGAGTCAGCATCACACAAACTATATTCTCTAATCACAATGAGATCAAGTTAGAAAGAAAAGCAAAAATTTTACTTTTATTAAAGTTTATACATTTGGAAGTTTGAAAGCACTCCTACAAAATAGTTATGTCATGAAAATGTCTTAAAGGCAACAGATAAGCTATTTAGAATTGAATGATCATAAAAATAATACAAATAAAACTCTTGGGATTTGGCTAAACTCACAATTTCAGGGAAATTCCTAGCTTTAACATGCTTACAGTAATGAAGAATATCCAAATATTTAATGATTTAAGCAATCATATTACGGTAAAAAAGAACAATAGATTAAACCTAAGGGTAATGGAAAGAGGATATAACTAATATTAGAGAATACATCAATGAAATAAGAAAAGCTAAAACAGAGTGTATCAACAAAGCCAAAACTCTTTGAAAAGGCATAAAAAAACACACCAAACTCCTTTTTTCTCTCCAGAAAAAAAGTTGGCACAAACAAAAATTGTTAGGAATAAAAGAGGATACCTTAACATACAGCTAATATTAAAAGTCCAAGAAATAAACTTACAGATTGGTAATAACCAAATAGCCTGAAACACCAAGTATTTGCAATTAATTAGAACAGCAAATATTTAAATACTCCTCATGAGAATGCAAATTGCTACAACCACTTGGATAAGCAGTTTGCAATCATCTATTAAATTGAAGATGTGTATAACATAACATCCAGTGATTTACTCACAGATATGTAGCCTAGACTAGAGAAACTCTTGCACATGTACTCTCAGGAGATAAATACATGAATGTTCAGAGCAGCCTTGCTCACTAATAGCTAAAAAATCTGGCACCAACATAAATGTTTATGTCTGGAGAATTGATGAGTAAATTGTATTAATAGTTTATATCTATTCATATAGTCTGATCTTGTAAGACAGTAAAAATGAGTAAGCCAGCACAAAAATGAGTTACCCAATATGGATAACTGTTGTCAAAAACGTGAAGTTTTAGTGAAAACTGCAAGGCAAAGAAGAATATATGTGATATTCTTCCTTTTATATATATTTCAGAAACGTGCAAAATATATTCCAATAATATTTGAATATCTCATTTGAGATGTGTGTGTGTGTGTGTGTGTGTGTGTGTGTGTGTGTGTGTGTTTGTATACATATGTAATTTTTTCTAGGAGAGTGCCTATCCCTCCAAAAGCAATTGGAAGTGGATACTGTAGGGAGGGGCACAAGTGAATTTCAAATGTATTGATATTGTTCTGTTTCTTAAGGAAGATGTTTCATAGACAGAAGTGAATTTTATTTTTCACTACATATACTTTGTAAGTGCTCTTTTTATATATGAAATGATTCCTATTAAAATACTTAATGATGAATGAATATAATAACTTTTTGTCAATAAGTGAGACTAAAAAGGTATATCCTTGAAAAATGTAACTTTCAAAACTGACTCAAGAAGTAAACAAAATGAATATAATTTTAAAAAATGAATCAATAATTGAAAATCTTCTCAAAATGCTAAGCCCAAATTGTTTTACAAGCAAATTTGACCAAGCATTCAAAGAAAATATAATTTCTTTCTTTCTTTTTGCATACTCTTTCAGAGAATGAAAAATATAGGAAAATTTCCTAATTCATTTTGTAAGTCTAGGATATTTTGATATCAAAACCACACCAGGACAAAAAAAATGAAGGCATATTAGCTTAATGTCACTTATACATAAGAACAAAATTCAAGAATGCATATTAAAACATATCATGGCAAAGCTAGAGAAGTGGGGGTATAAATTGGTATAACCACTTTTAAAAACTGTTTGACAGTATACAACAGGGAACAGCAAACTTTCTATGTAAAAACCAGATAATAAATATTTTAAGCTTTGCAGGTTGTACTGTTTCTATCACAACTATTCAACACTGCCACTGAGGTGCTAAAACAGCATAGACATACATAAACAAATAGGTGTGGCTGTGTTTCAATAAAACTTTATCAACAAAAATTGTTGGCAGGCGGAAGAGAAGGGTTGTAGCTTGTAGATCCTTGGTGTATATAGAAAGTAAATATATACTACCCACACCCCAGTAATTCCACTTCTAGGTATATTTCTCACAGAAATGCATATATATCTTCAGCAAAATATGTGTAGCGTTCATGATAGCACTATTCCTAATGTTTATTAACTTGAAACAAAAATGTTTCTCAACAATAGAATAAATGAATAAATGTGGGATATTCATGTAATGCGCTTTTATACAGCAATGGGAATGGATGAAGTAATGTTACTTAAAACACTGTGGTGGACTCTCCCAAACCTAAGGTTGAACAAATGACACAAAAGAGCAGATGCTTATGATTTATTCTAGATAAAAGTTCAAAAATAGGCAAATACAAACAATGAAGTTATCAATTAGGATACTGGCTACCCTTGTGGGGGTTAGTGACGGGGAAAGGCGTGATGGGGTGGGCTTCTGAGGGCTGGTAATATTTTGTTATCGATCTGTTACATAGGAGATGTCAGTATTGTGGAAATTCACCTTGCTGCTTTTTTATGATTTATGACCTGCTTGTATTTATCAATTAAAAGTTTAAACTTAAGAAGTAAAAATAGTAAATAGATGAAGGCAATTTTGGGTTCATTGAGAGACTATGAGGGTTGTCTGACATTGGAAAATACATTAATGTAATTACCACATTAATCAAACAAAATAGAAAAATTATAGCTGCCTAAGTGCATAAAATTATTTGCTAAGTGCATAAAATCATTAAACTAAAAATACCCCTTATAAATCTAGGAATAGAAAAGAACTTTCTTATTCTGATGAGGGACATCTTCAGTCAATAAGCATCATAATAAATGATAAATATGAAAACATTGCCTTGAAAACCAAGGGAAAGTGAGGAAGGGATGCACCAACACTACATCTATTTCACTTGGTGTTAAAGACAGCCAGTAAGGGCAGAGAATTTTTTTAAAGGGGAGTAAAATGAATAATTACTGGAAAGGAAGCAAAACAATGTTATACTAGTCACATGTGGCATGATTGTCTAGAGAGGAAAAAAGATTACAATATAAATCAAATTTTTGATTACAACAAATTATAAATAGTAATATGCTATATCAAAGTCTCTGGATATTAGATCAGTATACAAGTCATTTACATTTTTATATAATAATTATAAAATTTAATTCAAAAATATTAAAATAGCATTTACCTTGCTGATGGGGGTAGTGAGTAGACCGGCATAAAGAGGCTTATGTGATTCTGGTAACATCTTTCTTGATTTTTGTCTGGTTATACAAGGGTGAAGTTTGTGGAAATTCAGAGATGCGTGTACTTCTCTGTACTTTATATTCAAATAAAAAGTTTAAAAACACCATTTACAGTAGCAACAAAAATAAAACATATATCAAAACAAGTGAAAAATGTGTAAGACCTAGAAAATTATAAAATTTATGCTAAATAAATTTTAAAAGACCTAGGTAAGTTAAGAGACATACCATGTTAGTGGATAAAAAAACTCAAATTACAAACAGAACTAAAAATAAATTAAAATAAATATTCATCAAAAGAATAATGAATGAACTGTGATATAGTCATACAATGGAAAACTGGATAGCAGTAGAATTAATGAACTTAAGCTCCATGTATCATAATGAATGAATCTAACTAAAATGATAGAAGCTGAAGAAGGGTATGTATATGATACCAATTACAACTCACCCTTGGACAATGTAGGTTTGAACTGAAAGCATCCACTTATACAAGGGTTATTTTCAATACATATATTGGACATCTTGTTGGAGGTGTGCAATGATTTGAAAAACTTGCAGACGCATCATGCAGCCCAGAAATATCAAAAATCAAAAAATTTTTAAGTATGTCATGAAAGATGTAGATAGTAGTCTATTTTATCATTTGCTACCATAAAATATTCTAAAATCTGTTATTAAAAAGTTAAAATTGGCCAGGCATGGTGGCTCACGCCTGTAATCCCAGCATTTTGGGAGGCCGAGGCAGCTGGATCGCAAGGTCAGGAGATCAAGACCAGCCTGGCCAACATGGTGAAACTGCGTCTGTACTAAAAATACAAAAATTAGCCAGGTGTGGTGGTGGATGCCTGTAATCCCAGCTACTCAGGAGGCTGAGGCAGTAGAATCGCTTGAACCCAGGAGGCAGAGGGTGCAGTGAGCTGAGATTGTGCCATTGCACTTCAGCCTGGGTGACAAGAGCAAAACTCTGTCTCAAAAAAAAAAAAAAAAGTTTATCAAAACTTACACATATACAGACTGTACATGGCACCATTTGCAGTCGAGAGAAATGTAAGCAAATATAAAGATGCAGTATTAGATCATAACTGCACAAAATTGCCACAGTAGTACAGTATGTACTACAGTTAATTTTGTAGCCACTTCCTGTTGCTATTGCTGTGAGTTCAAATGTCATGAGTATCTCCTTAAAATGCCATTTGAGGCTATAAACCAAAAAGTATGAGACAGGTCTTAATTTAGACGTTTATTTTGCCAAGGTTAAAATCATGGCCTGTGACACAGCCTCAGGAGGTTCTGAGAACATGTCCCAAAGGCGGTTGGGTTACAGCTTGATTGTATACATTTTAGGAAGACAGAAGTTACAGGCAAAGACATAAATCAATATATGTAAGGTATATGTTGGTTTGGCCTGGAAAGGTGGGACATCTCAAAGCCGGGTAGAGTGTGGGGCTTCCAGGTCATAGGTGGAGTCAAAGATTTCCTGATTGGCAATTGGTTGAAAGAATTAAGCTCTTCCTGAAGAGTTGAGTCAGCTTGAGTTAAGGTAAGGTAAGAGAGGTCGAGTTGTGGAAACCAAGGTTCCTGTCATGTAGATGAAGCCTCCAAGTAGCAGAGTTCAGAGAGAATAGATGTGCATGTTTCTTATTAGAGCTAAAAGATGTCAAAATCTCCTGAAAAGACCTCGTAGGGGAAGGAGAGTCTCTATAGAATATAACTTCCCCCGCAAGAGATAGCTTTTCAGGCCCATTTCAAAATATGTCAGGGAAGTATATTTTGGAGCAAAATACTTTGATTTCCTTTAGGACCCACTATCTGTCATGTGATGTTACACTAGAATCAGGTTGGAATTTGGTGTCTTATTGCTACAGAGTCTGTTTTGTCAGTCCTTAAGATCTCTATTTTAATGTTAACACTAGTCAATTTTGTCTAACCTCCAGAGGGAAGAGGGTGTAATGAGACATGTCCAACCGCCCCTGCCCCCTGCCTTCCTGAACTAGTTTATTTTCAGGTTTTGGGGGATCTCTTTGGCCAAAAGGAAAGTCTGTTCAGTTGACTGGGGGGCTTAGAATTTTATTTTCGATTTACAAGGCTGACATCTCCATATGATCAGTTCATCTTTCCAGTACATCACTTACCACAATAAAAAGTGATCTCTTGAGGTTCTCGTGTATTTTTCATCATGTTTGGTGCAATAGTGTAAACCTTGAAAAACACCGTGATACCCATACAAAGTACCACTAGTGATGCTGGAAGCACTCCAAAGAAGCAGAGAAAAGTCATGACATTACAAAAGAAAGGTTAAATTCTTGATATGTACCCTAGATTGAGGTCTACAGCTGCAGTTTTCTGCCATTTCAAGATAAATGAATCCAGCACAAGGACCATTGTAAATAAAAAAAGAATAGAAAAGGAAATTTGTGAAGTGATCACCACAGCTATACCAGCATGCATGAAAACCTTGCACTTTTTGCAAAATACCTTTTTATATCATATTGAGAATGCGGCTCTTATGTGGTTGCAGGATTTCTATAAGAAAGGCATATCTGTAGACTCTAATATCATTGGAGTAAAAGGCAATTATTATATGACAACTTAAAACAAAAGGAAGGTAAAGGATCTAAAGCTGGGGTATGTAATGCCAGCAAAGGGTGGCTTGTTAATTTTTGAAAAAGATTTCGTTTAAAAAAATGTCAAGAAAAGAGCCTGGTACAATGTTGGGTGCCTATAATCTCAGCTACTTGGAAGTCTGAGGCAGGAGGATCGCTTGAACACAGGAGTTTGAGGTCAGCCTGAGCAACAGAGAGACTTTGTCTCAAACAAACAAACCAAAAAAAATCAAGATAACAGGAGAAGCAGCTTTTGCCCACCAAGAGGCAGCAGACAATACCCCAGATGCCATTAAGAAAATAATTGAGGAGAAAGGATATCTACCTGAACAAGTTTTTAATGCCAGTGAATGTGCCTTATTCTGGGGGGGAAAAATGCCATAAAAGACATTCAGTTATAAGAAAGAGAAGTGAGCACCAGGATTTAAGACAGGAAGAGATGTGCTAAATCTATGATTCTGTGCAAATGCACTCAGGTTTATGACAAGGACTACCCTTATCTGTAAAGCTGCTAAGCCCTAAGCCTTGAAGGGAAAAGATAAACACCAGCTGCTAGACTTCTGATTGTACAAGAAGTCCTGGACAACAAATTCTGAATTGGTTCCATTCGTTCTCTGGGTCAGGAAGTACCTTGCTGGTAAGGGACTACCTTTGAATTTATTTTGCTATTAGACAATACCTCTGGCCCCCTAGAACCCAATGAGTTGAACATCACAGGCAATGAAGTGGTCTGCTTGCCCCCAAACACAACGTCTCTAATTCAGGGGTCATGAGGATCTTTAAGTTTCATTACACATTGTATTCTATGGAATGCATTGTCAACGGTATAAAGAGAGCCCATGAAAGTCTGAAAGGATTACACCATTGAAGATGTCATCATCGTTATACAAAAAACCATGAAAACTGCCACGCTTGAAACAATAAATTACTGCTAGGGAAAACTGTGCAGATGTTGTGTGTGACTTCACAGAATTTATGACCGAAGCAATCAAGGACATTATGAAAGAGATTGTGGATATGGCAAAAAAAAAAAAAAGGTGGTGAAAGTGAAGGATTTCAAGATACAGATCTTGGAGAAATTCAGGAGCTAATAGACACTTCACAAGATCATAAGAATTAACAGCGGACAACTTGTTAGAGATGAGCTCTTCTGAACTGGTGCCAGAAGATGAGGAAAGACATAGAAGGAGCGGTGCCAGAAAACAGATTTACATTAGATTATCTGACAGAACGGTTCCAATTATTCAAGACCACTTTTGACTTCTTTTAGGACATGGAAACTTCTGTGAAACAGGCACTGAAACTAAAGCAAGAGGTGGAAGAAAAATTGGTACCACATAGAAACATTTTTGAGAGAAATAAAAAAGTGAAAAAGACAAATTGCAATGTGTTTTTGTGAAGTTACATGGGGTATGCCTGCCTCTCCTGCCTCACCTTCCACCTCCTCCACTTCTTCCACTTCTGCCACCCTTGAGACAGCAAAGCCGACCCCTCTTCTTTCTCCTCTTCCTCAGGCCAGTCAATAGGAAGACAATGAAAATGAAGAGCTTTATGATGATCCACTTCCCCTTAATGAATAGTAAATAGATTTTCTCCTCTTTATGATTTCCCTAATAATATTTTTTTCTCTAGCTTACTTTATTGTAAGAATACAATGTATAATACATATAACACAAAATATGTTTTAACCAACTGTTCATGTTATCAGTAAGGCTTTCGGTCAAGAGTAGGAAAGTTTTTGGAGGTCAGAAGTTATACATGGAGTTTCAACTGTGTGGGGGTGGGAGGTTGGCACCTCTAACCCTTGCATTATATACAAGGGTCAACTGTATGTAGTTTTTAAGTCTGCCAGTCAATACTATGTTATTCTTAGAAACTTATATATGAAAAGGAAACATGGATACCTACATGGAAATGCTGAACCCTAAATTCAGTATCTTAGGTGCTAGGTTTGGGGAATTTGTTATATTTTAACCTGTATTTTCCCCTATGTCTTAAATAGCTTATCTAAAATTCTTTTAGAATTGAGCTACCTCTTCCTCAAGGGAGCGCTGAGACTCTAACGGGAAAACTGAAAGAGGCTTTGCACATATTTATCAGAAAAACCACTTGTGGATGGTCTGTGTGCCTTTTGACAGTTGCCAGAGAATTATTGCTTTATTTCTTCTTCTCCTTGTTAATTCTTTGGGCATAAAGGGTAGGATGCCAGGTGCATGGACATGCCAAATAAAGAGAGAAAGTATAGGTGAGACTCCTCCACTTTCCAGCCCTTTCTGCCCCTTTCAGCCACTGAGGTAGGAAATATGAATTGCAAATGCAGAAGGCACTGCCCTCTGGCCTAGAGAAGAGAGGGTAGAGGGCTAGGTGCCCAGTTAAAGTGCTGAACCTACCACAGCTTACCCAGTGACCTAAGACAACTTGAACAAAGAAAATATGGCATTAAGAGTGTAGCACTTTCCTGGATTATCTTTTGCCATTGGGTCTGGATAGCTCACATCTCTGAGTCTCACTGTTTTCATCTATAAGTGGGGACGTTAGGCCTGATGATCTTTAAGTTCTTTGCTGCTCTGGAAATTTATGAGTCTAACACTCAGAGGCCTTAAATTTCAGTGAGGAAGACAAGAAATGTAGGCAAATAATGAGAGTCAGGATGACAAGGCCCAGTGTCCAATGAGAGGTTTGAATATTCTTGGGAGATTAGAGGAGGGAGATTCACTTGTGCCCGAGGAAACAGGAAAGGTTTCTAGAAAGATGTGATGCTAAATTAATGTTTTCTTTTTAGAGCAGTAACATTTGTTCATTATAGAAAATTTGGAAATCACAGAAGATTGGGGATAGAGGAAACATTTATTTCACGTATCTATCCATCTATTCATCCATCCATTCATCTGTCCAAATATTTGACTACTTATTATATGCCAGCTATGATTCTAGGTACCAGGAAATGGCAGAAAACAAATACACAAAGTTCTTTCTTTTGTACAATTAATTTTTCAGGCTAAGGTGGGGGAAATAATACAAGTAAACAATCATATAAGTAAATAAACAAGGTAATTCCTGCAAGTGCCAAGAGAATAAAGGAGATTGATATGATAGTGAAATGATAGTTGGGGGAGGGGCGGGAGTTTTTACTGAGCTCATGGAATGCCTCTTTGATGACACATTATTCCCAAACCCACAACTGAGAGTTAGTCATTGATATCTGAGAGGTTTCTTTACTCTGTGTATTTCCTTTTACAGGTATGTTCTCACCCACCGTCCTCCGCTAAATCCATGCCTTATGAAGAGACTCTCTTTCATAGCCTCTACTTCATTATTCTTTATAACTAGAACCTCCCCATGCATTCTTATAACATTTGCAATGAGAAAACGTTGT
Source organism: Homo sapiens (assembly GCF_000001405.40). Classification (NCBI taxonomy): domain Eukaryota; kingdom Metazoa; phylum Chordata; class Mammalia; order Primates; family Hominidae; genus Homo; species Homo sapiens. Next base: position 42,494,300 of record NC_000020.11, on the reverse strand, counting down.
TTCCCTAATTTTCAAAGAGATCAATAAAAACAAATTAAAATAGAGGATTAGAGGTGTCTTTTTGCCACATTATTTTTCCAAGAACAAAAGATGCAGTGATCTCATCATTATTTCTCCAGAGGTCTCTAACCATAATATACAGCCATTTAGTGCAGCTTAACATGACAATAACTCACTGCTTCTCTCTCTTTACTCTGAAAAAAACAGGTAGATGAAAGGGTCGAGATGATTGAGAAAAGCCCCTATCTTCATATTTAAAATATACTATAAGTTGTATGGGCTTATCAGTCCATTTTAGGGTAAGACTTTTCTGGAAGACAACAGGAGAGGATGGGCAATGTGATTGAGTATGTGTACCTCCACTGAAGATGGGGAGGTTAAATGGAGGGGTATGAAGAGGAAGAAATGAGCTGGGCCAAATGCTGCCTTTAGGAATGTGTTGAGCAGCTTGGGGAGAGAAAAAGAGGATGCTGGGCTTCAGAGTCCAAGCAATTGAAAGGAACATTTCAATCAAATAAGAAAGACAGAAGACTTCTTTCTGAAGTCCCAGGGGTCAACCAAAAAACTTTTGGATGGATGTGGTTAAGAAGGCACACCACTTCTTCCCTCTGACAGCTGTTGTGGGGCTACGTGAAATGTCATCTATAAAGTCCCCGGTTCAGTGTGGAAGATCAAAGTCTAGCATTGTGATTAGGACCTTAGGCCCTGGTGACCTCACCAATGAGTTCTTATCCTAACTGAGTACTCACTCTAAGCCCTCGTTTCCTCATCTGTAACACTAAGTTTTCAACACCTACTTTATAGGGTGGCTGTGAGGATGAAATAAGATCACTGACGTACTGTGCTTAGTACAGAACCTAGAACTTACAGAGGAAGAGTTCAATAAATGTTAACCCAGACAATAATAATGATGATGAGTTTCTTAGTCTTAAAAAAAAACCCCTCAAAGTCCTCCAAATTTCCTCCTTCTACAAATGAGTAAACTGAGGCATAGAATACAATCATTAAAAACATGGACTTAGAACACAAATCTGCACTTAAATGCCAGCTCTGCCATTCTGGCTGCATGCCATGGTTAATTTGCTTCTAGACTCTTGGATTCCTCATCTGTAAAACAGGAACTTTGTGACTTGTAAGTGTAAGAGGTAAATGTGACACCAGCAAAATGCTTAGCCAAGTCCCTGGCACATAGTATTTAAAACTTTACATGAGGCAGTTAGGTATTTGCAAATTATGGTTGTTTTTGTGGTTATCATTTAAGGTGGATACAAGTTAGCAGCCATACTAGGGAATCAATCTATTGAAGCAGAACAATATCAAGTAGACAAAAAATAACTAGAGACATTGAAGATCTGAGAAATAGAATGAATAAACTCAAGCTTATTAACATATTGACAAATTAGTGTTAAATAATTTTAATATATAGAACTCCAAATGCAAACAGAGAAAGTCATTCTTTTGAGCACACTCAAAATCATCACAAAAATAGAACATGTATTAGGCCATAAAAGCAGCCCAATTAAAACCAAATAATTCATATAACACAGAGCATGTTCCCCAACTGTTATGCAATAAACTTAGAAATTAATAACCAAAGGACAGATTTAAAAATCTCATGAATTTGACAACTAAATAACATGTTACTAAACAACACTTTGGTTACAAAGGAAATCATAAAGGAATCCTGAAGTGAATAATAATGAAAGCAGAACAAGTCTATATTTGCACAACAGGCTGAAGCAACACTTAGAGGAAAGTCTAAAAGTTTAAATTTATTTAACAGGAAACAAAAGTTAAAAACAAATGACCTGTATATACAGATGGCAAAAAAAAGGAACATGAAGAAAATGTTTAACATGATTAGTCATTAGGAAAATGAAAATTAAAACCACAGTGAGGAATCACTACACACCTATCTGAATGGCTCATATAAAAAGTAGTGATAGCACCAGATTATAGCGAGGATGCAAAGAAACTGGATCTCTCCTACGTTGCTGGTGGAAATGTAAAATGATATAGCCGCTCTGGAAGGTACTTTGCCTGTTTATTTTATAAGTAAAAATGAACTTACTATATGATCCAGCAATTATACGCTTAGGCATTTATTCCAGGGAAGCAAAAACTCATGTTCACACAGAAACTTATACATGAATGTCCATAGCAGATTTACTCACAATCACCCCAAACTGGAAACTACCTAAATGTCCTTAAATGAGTGAATAGTTAAACAAGCTGTAAAACACCTATAGCATGATATACTACTCAGGAATAAAAAGAGCAAACTATTGTACCTGTAACACCTTGGATGAGCCTCAAGAGAATTATGCTAAGTGAAAAATTATGCTGAGTCAAAATGTTACATAGTATATTATTTCTTTTATATAACATTTATGAAATGATAAAAAAATTATAGATGGAGAACAGATTAGTGGCTGCCTGGGGTTTTAGATGGCAGGGAGGAGAGAAAGGGTGTGTCTATAAAAAGATAGCATAAGTGTCTTAGTCTATTCCTGCTGGTATAACACAATATGTTAGAATAGGTGATTTAGAAATAATAGACATTAATTTCTCATAGATCTGGAAGTTGGGAAGCCCAAGATCTGGCAAATTTGGTGTGTGACGAGGATTCACTCTCTGCTTCCAAGATGGCACGCTGTTGCTTTATCATCCAGGGTGGACAAACGCTGTGTCCTTACATGGCAGACGGACGGGAGAAGAAAACTTGCCCCCTCAAGCCCTGTTCTAAGGCACTGATCCCATCTTTGAAGGTGGACCCCTAAAGGCTCCACCTCTTGACACAGTATTCCCCCTTGATCCACAGTTTCACTTTTCTTGGTTGCAATTACAGTCAACCACAGTGTGAAGATAGTACATGGAAAATTCCAGAAATAAACAATTCATAACTTTTAAAAATGTCACTTTTCTGAATACTGTGATGAAACCTCATGCCATCCTGCTCCATCCTGCCAGAATGTGCATCATCCATTTGTCCAACATATCCATGCTATATATGCTACTCACTTATTAGTCGCTTAGTAGCCCTCTTGGTTATCAGACTGAAAAATCAGATAAGAATACAAGAAAAGAAAATACAGGCCCATTTCATGCGTGAATGTATAGAAAATACATCGTATGTTAAATACTAACTAACGAAGTCAACACTGTTTTACAAAAATAATAATTATATGGGGCTTATCCCAGGAGCAAGTTTTTTTTCAATGTTCGTGCAATTCACTACTTTAAATATGCTAAAGAATAAAAATCATATGATTATTTCAATCCTTGAGACAAGCATTTGATACATGAATGTCCATAGCAGATTTACTTATAATTACCCCAAACTTGAAACAACTTAAATGTCCTTAAATGAGTGAATAGGTGATAAGCATTTGATAAAGGTATTCACCAATTTATGATTATTTTTTAAAACCCTTAGAAAATAAAGGGAAACTTTTGTTAGATTGCTAGTTTATAAGCCAAAATTCTACAGCAAATATTATACCTAATGTAGAAAATGCAGGTGCATTCCTTTTTGGAGCAGGGAGAAGAGTGGAGCCACCATTGCTATTTAACATAATGCTGGAGTTTCTGGCCCAAACTTTAAGGAAAGAAAAAGAAATAAGATGTATGAGGATTGCAAAGAAATAAAACTCATTGTTTGTAGATGATATGATAATCCTTTTAGAAAAATCAATTGCAATCAAAAATTGTGGTAATAAGAGAGTTCAACAAGGTTGCCAGATATAAGATTAACTTATAAAAATCAATAGCATGTCTGTACACCAGCAATAATGAACTAGAAAATCTAATTTAAGACAATTGTAATACAAATGATCAAATATTTAGGATTTAAGTAGTCTAAGAATATATAAAATCTCAATGGAGAAAACTTTAATAAGAGAGTTAAAAGAAGACCTGAATAGATGGAGAAAAAGTCTATGGCCATGGATGGGAAGATATTACACAAGTGAAAATCCCCCCTGAATTTATCTATGAATTTAATTCAGTGTCAATAAAAATTTCTGTTAAGTTTTTAACGAACTTGATAAACTTTCTCTAATAAATATATATAGAGGGGAAAAATCATAGTAGTCAACTTCAAGGAGGGATTAAAAACACAGAAGATGTACCCTTCCATACATGAATCTATAAAATATACTATTAAGCCATAACTATAAAAATGCATGCTGTAATAGGCAGTGGATCAATAGAACAGAATGGAAAGCTCAAGAACCATTTCATGTATGTCTGGAAACTTCATGTGTGATAGAGATGGCTCTACAGATCAACTGGACTGAATAGTAAGCAAATGGTTTTGAGGAAAACTTTTTTTACTGTGCAGGGGAAAATAAAACTGAATGCCACCTTAATACCTACTCCCAGGGTAATGGACTTTGGAGACCTAAGATGTCAGTGTGAATGATAAAGCTACAAAGTTAGAAAAGAATATTGCAGAATGACTTTGTAGACTAGAGTTGGGCAAAGATTTCTTCAAAAAAAGTTTGTGTCTTTCATAGGGAAAGGAAGAGAGGGAAATCACAGCTGTGGCTCACCCACACAGCATTTAACAACAACAGATTTGATATGCAGTTGTAGCAGTGTGGCTGGACCTTAAAAGCATAATGCTGAGTGAATAAAGTAAGAAACAGTGAGACAACCCAACACCATTTATCTAAATTTTAAAAATGCACATGTAATAGGATGCATTTTCTAAGAACACAAAATAAATATATTAAAATGGTTGCTCATGGTAGGAGAGTGGGGAATGGGATAAAATAAATTAAAAAAAAAAAAGTCAGGATAGGCTAGGTATGCTCGAGGAACAAATGACCCCAAAATCTGATGGCTTAACCCGCAACAGAAATCTCTCTCTCGCTAGTGTGTTGTGATCACATAGGTCAACAGGGGAAAGTGAAATGGGCCAATTACACTTGGGCTTTAAAACAGTCCTGAAAGTGACAGGTGATATCTTCTCACTTATCACTGGGCAAGGAAAGTCTCATGGCTATACCTAACTTCAAAGGAAAGTACAACCTGACCATGTGCCTGGAACAAGGGGGACGTGGAATATTTGAGAACAGATTTCATGTCTACCATTAGGGAGACATTTCAAAAAAATAACAACATGTATACATATGTAACTAACCTGCAGGTTGTGCACATGTACCCTAAAACTTAAAGTATAATTTAAAAAAAGGTAAAAAGATAAAAATAAAATAAAACCTTGAGAATCAGCAAAGAACACACACACACACACACACACACACACACACACACACACACACACACACAAACTTGGTTGATTTTATTTATTTTTCATATTTCTTTCTCTCTTTCTTTTTTTTTTTTTGAGACAGAGTTTTGCTCCTGTTGCCCAGGCTGGAGTGCAGCTCACTGCAACCTCCACCTCCTAGGTTCAAGCAATTCTCCTACCTCAGCCTCCAGAGTAGCTGGGATTACAGGCATGCACCACCATGTCCGGCTAATTTTGTATTTTTAGTAGAGATGGGGCTTTTCTCAGTTGGTCAGGCTGGTCTCGAATTCCTGACCTGAGGTGATCCACCCGCCTCGGCCTCCCAAAGTACTGGGATTACAGGCATGAGCCACTGCGCCTGGCACTTGGTTGATTTTATTACATCAAAAATAAAGGACTCTTACTTATTAGAGATTATCATGAACAAAAAAAACCCCTAGAATATACAAAGAATTCTACAAATGAGTAGATGATTGTGCAAAGGATTTGAACAACGAGTTTATAAAGATAAAAATCCAAAAGGCTGAAAAATATAGGAAGAAATTCTCAAACTCCTTAGTACTGAAACAATATAAATTAAAATAGTAATGGTAAAAAATACGTAGTGCCCATCAGATTGGTAAAAAGGTAGAAAAATTGGATAATACCAAAGGTTGGATGAATGTGGGTTCACAGGTACCTTTACATACAGCTAAAAGTTTTGGGGCTGCTGTTCTGAAAGCAATCTGACAGTACTTTGTCAAATTAAGTTTACACACAGCCTATATGTCAGTATTTCTGCCCCTAGGAATGTAGACCACAAAGGAATTCACACAAATCTAGAAGGAGACACCTGAGAAGGTCTACTACAGTGTGATTTCTGACAGTGATGAGTAAGAAGCAAACAGTGTCTGTCAGTGGGGAGCAGATTGATAAATGATGGAGAGAACACACCCCAGAACCCCATGCAATGGTTGAAAATCATGAAATAAGGGCACACAGCAGCCTGGGTGGATGTCAGAAGTGTAGTGCTGAGTGACAAAAAGGTAAACGAGCTAGAACACATTCCAATCTACATAATTAAAAATACATGCATAGTAAACAATTACATGTATTTTACAAGAACTCATTCGGGCAGAAGACAGTGTATAAAACATAATGGGTCTACAGAAGGAAGGCAGTGAAAGTGAAGAGTGTCAATAAACATACAGAAATAAGCAGAGCAATCTTTGAGGTTTGTGTTAGTTTCGTCTTGCCGCTATAACAATTCACCATAAGCGTAGCAGTTAACACTGATTTATTGTTCTGGAGGTCAGAAGTCTGAGATAGGTCTGCAGGGCTGTGTTCCTTCCGTCGACTCTGGGGGAGAATCTGTTTCTTGCCTTTTCCAGCTTCTAGAGGCCACTTCTATGCCTTTGCTTGCTGTTCTTTCTCCATCCTTGAAGCTGTCAGCCTAACATCATTTCTCCTCTCTGCCCTCTTGCCTCCCTCTTATAAGGACCCTTATGAGTACATGGGGCCCACCCGGATAATCCAGGATCATATCCCCAGTTCAAGATCCTTAATCACGTTCACAGTGTTCTTTTTGCCATGTAAGATAACAGATTCCCAGGTTCTGGGTATTAGGATGTGAACCTCTTTGGGGGCTGATATTTTTGCCTACTGTAGAGTTTTGATTTGGGGCAGAGGATATCAGGGTGTGTGTGCAGGGATGTGGTCTGAGACAGCATTTGGGAGTTGAGGACAGGAAGAACTCATCTGACCAGTTTGGCTGGTAGATGAGAATGTTCATATTGAGATTGACAAAGACTGCAAATGCCAGGGTGGCTTCTCCAGATCTCTCTATTAGACTTCTGCCCTTCTCTCCAAGAGACACATTCCATAATAGTTAAAATGAACATAGAACAGGAAACTGCTTAAATCTTATGGCTTTAGCAGAATCTTCTGGCTCTCCACACACCTGACTCAAAGTCAGACTTTCCTCCCTCGGGGGATCAAGCCTGTACTATGTGAAGGAGTGTTGGCCGGTCATGTTAACCAAAACATACACATCTATTGATCTGATAGTTTGAGTTATCTTTCAGTAAATATTCACTCACCTCTGCTACTCCCACCCTTTCCAACTGTGGGACGAGTGGCTTCATTGATGTTGAGCTTGCCTGTGTGACTTGCTCTCTCAATATGGTATTAGCAAGCTTGACATGAGGGAGGCCTTAAGAGCTCCTACATGGGTTGGCTTGGCTCGGCTCTGGTGCATTCATCATGGAAAGAACTTACTCTGAGGGGCTACCGCTCCTTCAACCTGGTTTGTAGAATAAGCATACATCAGGCAGACCTGGGCACAACTCATAGCCTGGAGCCATGCCTGGCTGATCCACACCAGGAGATTATACAAGCAGATGTATGAGCTTGAGAATAAATGTCTGTTGCTGTAAACCCGTGGCTTTGGGGGTGATTTGTTATACAGCACTATGGTGACAACATCCCACTAACAATGCATGCATATAATTTTATTTAAACCCTACAAGAAATGTAGGAGGTATGTATAAATATAAATCTGGGGCCAGGAAGGGTAAAATTATTTTTTCAATGTCACACAGTTCATAAATAAGTTTTAATGTGCAAGAGATAGAAAATGTGAAAACATCAAGTATCTGAGCAAGACTATTTGCAGATGGAGGAAGATGGAAAGTGGAAAAGGCATCGAGACTGATGACATTTAAGGAGAGCTCTATATTTTGTAGAGGCCATCCTTAGAAGGCTAAGTCAAAAATGAAAGTCAAGGAGGAAAAGTAGCTATCATTTTTGAGATTCTGATATGAAGAAGTATCATTTGGTGGCTTATGTAAAAGCCTGTGCTAGGATTGTGTCTCACAATGTCATGGCCAAGTGTCAGCCCCTATTAGAGGGGTCAGTCAGGAAACAGACCATGTGCATTTTAACCCCTCATCTTTTCTGAGAGGTGCTCAACAAGGCCAGCAGGTACTTCGCAAGTGAGTGAGGCAAGCAGTCAGATAATGTGTCTTCTAGCTACTGTTGTACTGTGATCCGTGTTCTACTGGGGTTCCATTCTTGTTTGCCACAAGTTAACTGAGATGGACAGCTTTGTTTTGTCAATTGCCTTTTTCATTGCCTAGGTAAGTCCCAAATGAGATTCGACAGAAAATAAGCCTCCCTCAACTGACAGTGGTTTTCATTTGAAAGTGTTCCTTCAGTTTAATGACACTCTTGTACATTTCAAAGAATAAAGCTTTGGACATCATAAAAAAGCTTGGTAGGCATTTCTGGGGCTGCTGACACAGCAGGGCTCTTCAAGGTCCAGCAGTCCTGAGTAGTGTCTGTAGATTAATGTGATTCCTTGGAAGATCAAGAATGTCCTGGGATGGGGGAGTTGTCAGCTATGAGCAGCCTCAGCTTTGAAAAACCCTGGATCTGAATATGAAAAGCCAAATTCTCCAGCTGAAAAAAAAAGGTAGTACTTCTAGAAGGGAGGCGATCAGAGTCCAATTAGGAGATATTACTTTTGTTTGTTTTTACATAGTCTAGAAACAATTTGATTTACACATGGCTTCTTAGGCAGTAATGGCAAATTAGCTACGCTGAGACTTTTCTAATTCCAGTGCCCTATTGTTCACAGCCAGGACAAGTAAAGTGTTAGAATGTTTAATACCTCACCAGGGCCCAGTGCTAGGTGGCTTTTGACCATCAGAAATGTTTCAGGTTTTATTCTTTCTCCAGCTTTTCTTCTTTTCCTTTAATTTCTTTAAATGAATAAAGCGACTTGCCATGAATCAAGTGGGAATTGAAGTGAAACTAACCCAGATGTTATGGGTTTGACTTCTCCTTTTCTTCACCCCAAATCTTTTTTCCTTTCTCTGGAAACTGAAACCACGTAATTTCAAAATTGCTTCTCTTTTCCCAACCCGATTTCCTCTAGCGCAAAAGTAATTTTTAAACATTCCAAAGTCTCTGTCTTCAGGCTGCAGTCTTTTGCCTCTGTTCCTTTAATTCTTCCCAGCATTTGAGCACTTGAGCAGTTGATGTGGCAGGAGGCACACAGCTGACCACCCTGCTCCCTGGCTCAGCCACAGTCCAGGGGACTGCATCTGGATGGGGCAGAGAGGGAAGATCAAGGTCTGAGATGGAGCTGGGAAGCAGAATGTGGCAGCTAGGAGGACATCAGATTTCTGGGCATGAGGTGCCTAGGCTGAGTGGAATACTGGGAGACAAAGATGGGAACGTGGAATATTAAGGAAGTTTAGGCAGTGGGGTCCTGCATCAGTCAAGGTCTATTTTGGAGATAAATCATGACACTTATAACAGACAGAATTGCCTATACAGAATTGTTAACTATCCTGGTTTTCAAACTGTGTTGAGACAGTGTAAGACACCACTCTTAACTCACAAGAGCACCGGTAGTACCAGTATTGTGGAAAACACAGCATCATCTGTCAGACACGCTACAAATGACTACTTGAAGGGGCCCAGAGTTTCAACATGAGATTGGGCTACATTCCTTCTGATGTCATATCTTGGCAGAATTGGGCTTCTGGCAATTGCCATGATGAAATGCAAGTTTTGTGCCAAAATCAACATGGAACAGGCAACGAAAGTGGCAGTGTCTGTCTAATCTGAATCTTCAGTTTGAGAAATTGTGTAATGCTCAACAGATACATGCATCCTTTTAGGGAGTAATTGTAGTTAAGAAAGAAAAAAATAGCTTTATTTTGATTTGTGTGTACTGTTTTCTCAAACCACTTCTTATTTGTTAGGACGCAAATACTTATTAAGTTGTTTGCAACAACTAATACATGAAACTGTTGGGTATGTTTTTTGGCTTAGGATCTGTGGGAAAAAAAAATTACCAAAACACCAAGGGCACTGTGAACCTCTGGTTAACTGTATATAAAGAATTGCCTAGAAAATGGAAAACATTAAAAGAGAACATGAAAACACTAGACAAAGGTGGCAACTGTGGGGAGCAGCTACTGCCAGGGTTGAAAAGAACGAAAAGAGGCTGGTGCTGGTGTCTCTGAGGTGCTGCAATGAGGCTGGCTCTGTAAGTGTTGGGGAAACTGCAAGCTAGATCCAAATGCTGTGACAGAATGAACTGGCTACTTGGATACCTGATGCTGAAGTCTCCCCGTCCTCCTGCCCCGCAGGCTCCCTCTATCGCCCCCTATGGGCAGATACTAGCATGCAGCCAGACAGTAGAGCACATGTGATTTGTGCCATCCTAGCCTTAGCACCGTAAAGCAAGATACAGAGGGCATGTTTGGAGCCAAAGACAATGGCTGAATAACTGGCTGAAGGCCCTTGGGCTGCAGTTTTTGTGCTTACTGTGGGCCCGAGGGCCATGACCTCAGTCAATAGGCTGCTTTGTGAATCTGGATTATATTTGACTCTGGGTTCCCCCTCTGTACCCCAAACTGACTGGAGGACCTATGGGATAGGGCTGTTGGACTAGCCCTGATTGGACCCAATTTTACATTCATCTGAGTGGGATGGGGTGGGACACATACCCAACTGGGCGAGAGAAGCTTTTGAGTGACAGCTTTCTCGGAAGAACTAATGTTTAAAGGAAGGCCTAAAGAACGAGTGGAGGCTGGACACGATGGCTCATACCTGTAATCCCAGTTATTTTGGGAGGCCAAGGCGGGTGGATCACTTGAGTTCAGGAGTTCGAGACCAGCCTGGCCAATGTGGTGAAACCCCATCTCTACTAAAAATACAAAAATTAGTCGAGCGTGGTGGCATGCCTGTAATCCCAGCTATTTGGGAGGCAGAGGCAGGCGAATCCCTTGAACCTGGGAAGTGGAAGTTGCAGTGAGCCAAGATCACGCCACTGAACTCCAGCCTGGGTGACAGAGCGAGACTGTCTCAAAAACAAAGAAGAATGAGTGAAAACTGGGAGAGAAGTGGGAATAGAGAGGGAAGAGTGACACCTTTCAGTCCAAATGTCACCTCTTCAGTTGTCTTCTCTGACTACTGTACATAGCTTGCCATTTTTATCCAATCGATCCCTTGTGTTTCCTTCAGAACACTTTTTATTTGCATTATCATCATATTATAACATCTATATTTCCTTCAAAACACATGCAATTTGGTTAGCTCATGTGTTTGGCTGCCATGATGGTTGTTTTAGTCTGTTTTTCTCACCAGATTTAGTGCAAAGGAGGCAGGAATTATGTCTATTTTTGTTAACACTATGTCCCCCAAAACTAGCTTGCCACCCTATAGATGCTCAAAAAATATTTCGAGCTAAGCCGTGGGAAAAAAAGTAAAAACTTCAGGGTAAATGAAGAAGAAAGATCAGGAAAGATCAAGGAGCTGATGCCAAGGCCTCAAATCAAAGAAGTAAAATTGTAGACATAAGCCTTTCCCAACCCTCCAGTCTCTCTTCCCTCCTTGATTTTTCTCCACAGCACTTACTACTATCTGATGTGTTACATACTTTTCTGATTTATCTGATATATTATTTAATCTCCTACCCCCACTAGAATATATACACCATAAGGGCACAGAGGGTTTTTGCCTGTTTGGTTCACTCCTACATCCAGTATAGTTCTCAGCACATGGTAGAAACTCAAAATACAAAACAAATGACTCTGTCCAGTGCTTTACTTTTGGCAAAGAATACTCTTACCATACTGTTACAACTGCCCTAGTTGTTATCCTCATTTTCTTCTTAGGGATGGTAGGAGGACCAATGTGTAACACCCAGACTGGCCTAGCACATCACTATGGGGTGTGCATGTGTGGTGAAAGGCAGGGATTCCTGCTCTTGTGGACGGTCCACTCAAGCATGGCAATCTCTGTGGCCATTAGCCTCCTTGCTCTTGTCTCTTAGATTTTAAATGTGCTGCCTCCTTTATCTCTGGCTTAATCTTCCCGCTCCCTTTTCTCCCTCTCTCGTCCCCTTCTATACACACTCTTCCCCTTTACCTGGTTTAATCCTATCCATCCTTTGCCCAAGGTCCCTTTTTCAGGAAAGAATTCTTGGCCTCTAGACTAAATATTACATTGTTGGTAATTTATCTCAAATATTTAAGCTTACACAGTGGGGTGTGATGGGTGAGTTGTATTGGTCAAGCTATTGAGAGCTAGTACCGGTATTAAGAGCCTTACAATCAAGAACACACCATAAGTACACTAGTGTTGCAGTCAAGAACCCATACCTCAGAGAAAACTCTAAGTACACCACATGCTTTTGATATCATATATCAAAATAACATATGATAACCATATATATACATGCGCGCGTGTGTGTGTGTGTGTGTGTGTGTGTGTTTGTGTGTGTATGGTTTTTTTCTTTTAGAGACACGGTCTTGCTCTTGCTCTGTCTCCCAGGCTGAGGCAGGAGGATCACTTGAGGCCAGGATTTCGAGACCCGCTTGGGCAAATAGTGAGATACTTGCCTCTAAAAAAAAAATTAAAAAAAACTAACCAGATGTGATGAGTACACGCCTATTTTCCCAACTATTCTGATACCATATCTTGATCAACAACCTCCATGTTGCTAATTAGCAAACTAAATATTAGCAATTGATTACTGTGGTTGAAATCAAGGGCCTGTGGACTAGCATAATAAATGTTAGAAGTAAATTCTAATTGGTGAAATGAAAGGTATTTAAACTATGTGGGTTGGCCAAAATGGTTTTAAAATACTCTCCAGAAGGACATTATAAAGAATAATCCTGTAAGACCTCTAGTCTTCGACCTTAGGGATGGTGTCAAAACCTTGATTCCTAAACAGTACTGTGTTAGCCATGAGATTAGGAGGATTGCCGGCTGCCTAAAGTGACAATCATAGTCATTTATTTTACCTCCATAACAAGAGTAAGCATGCTATAGCCTAAGGTTCTAGCTTTTTGTAAATAAACATTTATTGAAACTCAGCCACACCTATTTTGCGTACATGTTGTCTATGGCTACATTTGCACTATAATAGCAGAGATGGAAAGATGCAACAGAGACTGTCTAACCTGCAAAGGTGCAAAACCTTAAATATTTACTATCTGGCCCTTAAAAAAAAAAAAAAGCTCACCTACTTCTGCCTTAGAGTATTGTTGTACTTGCCTCGAATGAACCTTTCATGAAAAATGGTAACTGATTCATCTATTGCTGGGACTTTATGAAATAGATTGTTTGAGCTGTTTTGTGCCCATTTGCTAATAAATGCTTGTATACTGTGTCCATCTGTGTAGTAGAATTTGGCCTAAGGCTTGCTTTTATTATCATCTAATAATGCAGTTGTTGGGGAATCGTTAATCCTCGTTCACCTTAAATTTCTTTGATGGCTTTGGTTTCTATGATAACGAATGTCAGGGTTGTGCATGCGTCATCATCAAATTGGCTTAGCTGGGTTTCAATGCTGTACTGTATCTATTGTCCAGAAGCCCAGTACTTCCCCTGCAAAAGACTTATCAAGCTTCATCATATCATCCTTCAAAATTATTGCATCCCCCTAGCATCAGTTTCACAAAGGCAAGCAAGTGTCCCATTCACCTACATCCCTAATGCCTGGCCCATCTCAGAGGTTCAGGATATGTATGTAGAATGGAAGGAGTAGATACAGCAATAACTGCAAGGGCATTAATGGAAGCTTTCTAACACTAAACTATAGTTGGTTAAAAGAATGAGGCCAGTAGTCAACTAGACTCAGAACCAGGTCAGAGATCCACAGAAACCTCCACAACCCCTGTTTGTCTCAGTGGCTGTTCTGTCTCACCTCCCACTCTGGGTTTGAGGGAGTGCAACTGTATTTAGTACCATCCAAGGCTCTGGAATATATTATCTTCTTAATTCACCTCATAGCCCTAAGAGTGAAGGAGTATCATCTACGTTTCCTACATGAGAAAAATAAGGCACAGACACAGGTAGGGTAAGTGATGTGCTTAGGTTCAGGTGATCACAGAACCAATGTTCTTTTCCCCATGTCATGATGCCTCCATGCTCAGTGAGTAGTTTTCAATTAAGAAATGAGACAATGAACACGTGAGTGGATTACCTTCTCTGTGGCATTGCTATGGGAGGGTAGCAACCGTGTTGCCTTCTCACAAGGTGACATGCTCCAGCTTCAGGTGATTCTAATCATCAGCACGGGTAGGATCTAGTGCTTCTATATTGTGGAATTACCAGCATCTCCAAATGGAGCTCCTGGATTCCTATGCTTGCTTATATTTATAAGATATCTATGATAATACAGGCTGAATATCCCTTATCTGAAATGATTGAACCAGAAATGTTTCAGATTTTGGAAGATTTGTGTTATACTTACCAGTCGAACATCCCTGTTATTGAAAATCTGAAATTTGAAATATTCCCATGTGCATTTCCTTTGAGCATCATGCTGGCACTCAGAAAGTTTCAGATTTTGGAATATTTCAGATTTCAGATTTTTGGTTTAGGAATAGTGAACTAGTATTCAACAAATTCTTGTCCACCAAACATCTGCAATAAATTAGAAGAGGTGGTGGAAAATAAGCAAGAGAGTGGGTTTCGATGATGCTGGAAAGAAGATGGATTTTATTTTTGTTCCCCTTACCTTTTTATTCCCTTCGTGTATCATTTCCATGCAGAAAGTGCAAATTAATGGTCACATCGAACTATCTGTCAACATATTTCTGCTCTTGCAGTATCAAATTATGTTGGCAATAATGTTTCCAGCTGCCTAGGACTCCATTGCAATTTAATTTGAAAAGAACTCAAATTGCATCTCCAAATGGATAAAAAATTAATTTTGCATACAAGCTATCCACCTCCACATTTTCAGCCCCATCCCCAAATTATCTTAATTTAGGTTCAACTTTGAACAGTACATATGCTACAGGCAACTCCACATGCAAACATGAATACGTAGCAAATTCATGAATTGAAAATCTGTTTTGCTGCTTCTTTTTTAATAAGATGTTCTGCCTTGATTAAGGTCATTAGAAGATTCTACAGCTATTGCCTTTGACAGCAGGGATGGAGGCTGAGTCCATACAGAACAAAAAAGGGAGCCAATTCTGACTTAACCACATGATTACCCTTAACAATTGGAGTGTAAGGAGATCCTGATTCAACCCTCTACTTATTGCTTTTCCCCTGCCCTCTATTAGCACCTAAATTCGGGTGGCTTGGTCTTCAGCTATCACTACTTTCTAGATTTATTCATTTATGTACTTATTCATTCATTTATTCAGCAGCTGTATGTTATAGTTATAAAATGAGGAGATCTAGGGGCTCACAGGTTGGCAGTGGAGGTGAACATGAACCAAACATATGAACAATAACCCTGAAGTCTGATAAGAGCTATGGGAGACATATGATAGCAGGTTAAGGAAAAAAAATGTCATCGAGGCATTAATTATGGGCAAGGGAGACTGTTAGAGAAAGTCACAAGTAAAGGGTGGCATTGGAGCTGGGCCTTGAAAATATTGAATGAGGATTTGTTGGTGGCATCCCAAGCAGAGGAAATAGCTGGGCAGAGGCTTGGAGGTGTGAAGGCATTTATAATCCCTTGCTTTGCTTTAAGAATACAGGATTTGATAAGTGAGAAGTGGAAAATGACTCAGGGGCATTTGGGGGCAGGAAGGTACCTGTTGCAGGGTGGGCTCGGGTATTAGGATGAAAATGGTACTTCAGGATGGACATGGTGCTTTAATAAGAGCTGATGTAGAAAGAGGAGCAGGGTTCAGAGGTGAGGAGGACCACCGTGCCTTCCTGAGGCCACAGTAAGAATGGAGAAGGTTCTGAAAACCTGAGTGGGTCAGTCACACATGCATGAACACAAGCCTGTCCCTAACATGTGCATAATCACAGAATCTGAGATAGGAATAAAAATGTCAGCCCGTGGCCCCTTCCCCCTTCTCCTTTCACCCAACAACATCTCTCCCCACAAGGGCCCCACATATGTGTGTGCACAGCAACCTCAGTCCTCAGGTGCAAGTTCTGTCCACTGCCCCCAGACAGCCATCCTTTGGCCATCCTTAGGCCAACGGCCACTCACAGGAAGGACAGAACAAAGGAAGAAACTGAGTGTAGGGCCTCGTGGCAGGGAATTCTAGGGGGTCATAAATGTGGAGCCTGGACCAGAAGGGAGAGGACAGAACCAGATCCTTTGGCCAGCCCATTGGCCCCCGATCCCTTGCTCCGAGAAGAGGGACAGTCTGAAGTGGGCCAAAGTGGCTCTCTAAAGTACAGGGCATAGGACAAGGCCACTGTTGTCTAGCCTAAGAGCATACAGAAGGTGCATCCAGAGGTAGAGCCACTTTGATTTTCTATCAGAGGATGGTTTTCCAGCTTCCCAGACAAGCCACACTCTTCCCACTGTTTGTCATCTTCTTGGCCTGTGGGCTATTACTCAAGAAGGTCATACGGACAGGGCTTTATCTGGAGGCAGAAACCATAGGCTCTAGGCTTGGCTGTATTTACACGGGGGATGTAAATTCAACAAACCAATCTCCACTGCACACACAAGGCTTTCTTAGCAATTTCCAACTTGTTTGCACCAACCCGAATGTAAACCCCAGATTCTCCATGCTGCAGGCAATTACCCAGCAGAAGCTGGGTTTGGCAGATGAGGTTTAGAGGGGTCGGACTGAAAGCATGAATGCTTCCATCACACTCTAAAACCTAGTTTCCATTGAATAGGATTTCAGGATATTCTCTTGCTTGAATGCAAAAAAAATATATATATATATATTACCCTTAAAGACCTGGCTGACATGCTGAAGGGGACAGAACAAGGACTGTGGAGTCAGAGAGTCTGAGCTCAGTTCCCAAGAACAGGTCACCATCTGTTCATCTCACAGGAACTGCCCCTTGACAGACCCTGTGCCACGTTGTGAGGTTACTGGCAAACAGAACATGGTCTGTTGCAGCCTGAGAGGGGGGACAAACACATGAACAAGCAATTCCTGGGCAGTGTGACAAATGCTAAGTGTGTGTTGGACAACAGTGCAAAGTGCCATGGCCAAAGAGTGGATGTCTGGGGGAAGTGGACAGAGCTTGCACCTGAGGACTGAGGTCGCTGCACACTTATATGTGAGGCCCCCTGCAGGAAGAGATGCAGTTTGGTGGAAGGAGAAGGGGGAAGGGGCTACAGACTAAAATGTGTATTCTTATCCCAGACCCATCTGTGATTTTGCACATGTTCGGGACAGGCTTGTGTGCATACATGTGTAACTGACCCATTCATGGGAGCCCAGAGAATGGGGGCTCGGCCATGTGGCCCTGGGTAAGTTACATCTCTTCACTGAGTCTCAACTTCCTATACCGTCGAGTTGTTTTTAGGACACAAGTGCTAAGGGTAGCTCCTAGCCCAGAGTTGCTACTTAATAGCCATTGTCTTTCCCTTTCCTGAATGCGAGTTCTCAGATTTACAAAATGCTTTCACCTGCAGGTACCGAATCTCTAGGTTCACCAGAGTCCTTCTTGCCTTTGGAATACAAACTGAGATTTCCTTGAATCTCTGAATTTTCATAGCCAGTAGAAAAATCATCTCCCCAAAATCATCTCCCAAGATTTCAGTAACACACATGAGCACATTTTCCAAGGTTCCTTTGCCTCTGGTCCCTGTGTTCCCACGTGGTATCTTATTAGGCCCAAGGCATGCCGACCTCAACCCTTTCTAGAACCCACAGGAGATCCAGGCACAGCAAAGGTCTTTGTTGTATTTTGAGGGCCTTGCTGGAGATCTAAAAATCACCTGGGGAGTGATCATATTGGGCTTCACCCAATATTCTGCCATTTGTTCACCCTCACACCTCTCTTATGCTATCCAAGCCCCCAGTGGGTTTATTTTTTCTCTTCCACTGGAGTCTCAGCATAAGTGATACTGAGGCCCCAAGAATGCAGCTTCTACCCCACACAAGCTTCCAAAGGCATTTCTCCAAGAAAGGCAATTCTCTCTAAAAGGAGTACCTACTGTTAGCCAAAGGCAATTTTCTCTCTCTTTACAGTTCATTTTATGCTCATTAACAACCTTTTGAGACTAGTGTAATAATTTCCACTTTATAGATGAGGAGATGGAGGCTCAGCAATGAAGTGCCCTTGCCCAAGGTCACCCAGATAGTGAGTGCCAGAGTCTCGCTTCAAGCCACGCTCTAGTCAGCAGCACTGTACCCGGGGCCCGCCGTGACAGTCACACATGCTCAAGAGGGAACAAGTGGCTTTTCCTGTATCCCAACTTTCCCGGTCTCAAAGAGTCTCTTTGCTGTGTGGCAAGATCACGATATCCTTGTCTTCTTTAAAAAGATGCTCCTGTTTAGTCCTTTAAGAGGAGCAGAAATGTGTGTATATGCACACCTCCAGAGGTGAGCTCCAGGGAGAATGGAGACCAGGGATCAAAAGGCCAGCGGTCAGCTTTGCACTAAATGTGTTTACATCACTGTACCACTCTCTCCCGCAGGTCCTAGGCTCCTGAGACCCAAGTCATTTTTGCCTTGTAGTATTTTGGCTTTCTCTCACTATTGTCTTCAAGTCTCCCCAGACTTCTGATGAAGGCGACATGCCTCATATTTATGTTCTTTCCCTGGTCTCAGTCTCCGGTGGCGTCAAGGTGCTGAGAAAACACAGGTTTTCTACTCTGGCAGACCTCATATCTTGGCTGTGCCTCTCACTCTGTGGCTTTAGGCCAATTATTTTGTCTCAAAGAGCTTTGGTTTCCTCTAGGACAGAGCTAGTGATGCCTTCCTCCCAGGTAGTGAGATTTTCAACATAGAGAGTGCAACTGATAGCTTACAGAGAGTTTTTACTTTGCACACTACATGTGGGGTCAGGCAGACACAAGTTCAAAACCGCACTTTGTCACCTGCTGGCCTTGCTACTCTGTACTAATTCCTGCACATTTCTGGACCTCAGGTTATTCATCTGTAATGTGGGGTGGGCCATCCTTCCCTCCTAGGGTCATAAGATGGTTCAGAAGATAGAGCCCAGCACTTGTGGCTACAGTTCCATCAGTGGTGTTTTGTCTTTATAGCTTTGTTTGTGGGTTAAGGCCATAATAAAGACCTCAAAAATTATATTTAACATGAGATATGGTACATTTTAAGATGTTCAATAACATGTGGTCTTAGCCTTGGGTTTAAATGGGTCTTAAGTGTTCCTCTTCTCCCTGCCTCAGGAGGGAGGTGAGAGTGCCATGTGGGTGACTGTTGTATTGGGGCTTGGCATCAGTTTGGAGGGCAAACCCAGGGGAGGAGTGTCGAAGAGGCCCTGAGCAGGGGCAGTGGCTCTCTGCCAGGAGAGTTCTGGCACCTGGACAAGTGGACAGGCCCCAGCTAGGCAACGCTGATGGGGATGCTCGGGGCTTCCCAGGCAAGCCATTTATTGCTCTCTGTGTGCCTGTACATCTGCTCTCATTGCAGTCGGTACAACTGCGAGATGTTTAGCCAGCAGCCGTAATCCCACCAATCATAATCCCCAGCTACAGGGACCACATTTCACCTTCCATTCCACAATAGGCCCTCAGCAACAGCTTGTTCAATGTCACATTCTCAGGGTCACCCATTTGATTTGGGGATGCTGGCTCTGCTTTGCCCAAAGGACCTGTGAGCATGAATAATTGGGCTGTAAGAGTGATCATGAATTCCTCAGTTGATCAGGGGCCAGGGCTGCCCACTATCCTCAACACCCTCACTCCTGCAGCCACGTGGGCAGCTCTGTGCGGGCTTGCCAGGTTCCCTGACATTCCTGTGAACTATGTTCCTTGGTAGGACGCCGACACAAGTTACAGGATATTTTCCCCATAGGGACAGATCAACTAGCACCAATAGCATCCCCTCTTTCTTATTGCTGCATTGGTGCAGAGGTAGCCTTACCCTTAAATGCTCTGAGGGGATTGGAGCAATGATGGAAACCTAGTCCATCATTTTGCATAAGGGTGCTCCCAGCACTGCCACTCACAAGGCATTCAAGGTAGACACAGCATGCGGAACACTATTATTATTACTATTACATATATATTATTACTATTACTGCAAAACAAACAACACACCCCAGTTATCATACGTAGAGTGCTTATTAAGTTTGAGTTCTAACTGCTTTACAAGCATCTCATCTAACTTCCTCTTCCCCCTGCCATGAGGTTAGCTACTATTATTATCATCATTTTACAAATGAATTAAAAAGTGGATCCAAAGAGGATACATAATTGGGCAAAGTTCTGTAGGTATGGGGAGAAGTACTGATTTAATCTCCAGCCTGTGCCTGACTCCTCCCAGATAAGAAAGTCTGACACAAGAATTTCTGGGTGTATCTATCACATGAGAAGTTATGTTTCTAACATAACAAATGCCTGACCCAAGAGCCAGGCATGGTGGATGGTGCCTGCAATCCCATCACTTTGGGAAGCCAAGGCAGGAGGATCACTTGAGCCCAGGAGTTTGAGACCAGCCTGGGCAACATAGAGAGACCCCATATGTGAAAAAATAAAAATAAAAAATTAGCCAAGCATGGTGTAGGCCCACCTACATGTGAGGCTGAGGCTAGAGGATCATGATTGCTTGAGCCTAGGAGTTTGAGGCTGGGATGAACTCTGATTGTGCCACTGTACACCAGCCTAGGATAGAGAGTCAGACTCCCATCTCAAAGAAACAAAACAAGCCACCCCAAAGACAAATGCCTAAACCTCAACATAAAATGAGCTTTACATGTGAGGATTTTTGAAAAACATCATGTTTATTATAACCTGTTTTATATTAAAAAAATCTATTTAATGTGCATAAAGTATAAATAGAATATTCCTAATAAAATTAGACATAGACAACATTATGTATGGTGATCTGGGACCAAGATCAATAGGAGGCATGGAGTGGGAGACAGCATTAGGGTGAGAAGGCATGCTCAGATTAGCTTTTAGAATGATGTTCCCAGAGGGACCAGGGGAGAAAAAGAGGGATGGAAGACTGTTGTAGGAGGTTAGGAAATGATGAACTGTGTAGTCAAGGAAAGGAGAGGAAATCCTAAAGCAGGGTTAATGGGTCATGATGAACGCATGGATAAACTGGGTGTTGCGGGTTGAGGCTGTGACTCAGTTTCCAGCTAGTGCATCTGGATGTTGTTGGCTGAAGAGGAGAGGCTGACCTCCAAGGGGACAGGCTGGGGCTGAATTCAGTATAAGGAGGCAGGTCAGCTCTCAGCAGCCGTCTAAATAAGCGTATCCCAGAAGCGAGGAGTGTGCTGTGTGTGGTACCAAGAAGGTTTTCAGTGGCACTTTGATGCACCCTTAAGAATTTAACAATTTCACATTTATTTTTATGGTTAACATTTATTTAAGATGTTTTCCTTTTATATATTTATGTTTTCTATTAGATGCATGTATTTAAATAAGACAAGGGAGATTGATGTAAAGAAAAATGTTCTCTAAATTATATTGCCTGTGTCAAAAATCATGATGGCAGTGATTGAATGGTGGAGATATGTTTGGAAAAGCTGTGTTCCCTGTTGTAGCAGAACATGTACCCCAGCTTCCCGATGGTCTCTTCAGAACCCTTGTTTCTTGCCTGCATGTTTTGCAGATCCGGTACATGGCCCACAGAACGTGGAAATCGTAGACATCAGAGCCCGGCAGCTGACCCTGCAGTGGGAGCCCTTCGGCTACGCGGTGACCCGCTGCCATAGCTACAACCTCACCGTGCAGTACCAGTATGTGTTCAACCAGCAGCAGTACGAGGCCGAGGAGGTCATCCAGACCTCCTCCCACTACACCCTGCGAGGCCTGCGCCCCTTCATGACCATCCGGCTGCGACTCTTGCTGTCTAACCCCGAGGGCCGAATGGAGAGCGAGGAGCTGGTGGTGCAGACTGAGGAAGACGGTGAGCAAGGGAGGAGAGCTTACATGGGAATGGGGATATTGAATCTATTCACAGGGCCATGGCAGTCAGTTATGAGGCTTTTATTTTTCCTACATTTTTAATTCCCTCACACACACCTTTCTTTTCTTAGGCCTTCAATGAAGGACTATGTAAACTGTGCATTGCACAACTCCAGGGAGTGCTTTCCCATCACAGTGACAGTTCTGCCATAGACTTGCACTCAGCTTTGGCCCTTTTGTACCCCCATCCCTCTTCTTGCTTTATACCAGTGTATTAGACCATTCTTGCATTGCTATAAAGAAATACCTGTGGCCAGGTGTGGTGACTCATGCCTGTAATCCTAGCACTTTGGGAGGCTGAGGCAGGTGGATTGCCTATCTCAGGAGTTTGAGACCAGCCTGGGCAACATGGTGAAACCCTGTCTCTACTAAAATACAAAAGAAATTACCAGGCGTGGCAGCGTGTGCCTGTAGTCCCAGCTACTCAGGAGGCTGAGGCTGGAGAATTGCTTGAACTTGGGAGGCAGAGGTTGCAGTGAGCCGAGATCGCACCATTGCACTCCAGCCTGGGCAACAGAGTGAGATTCCATCTCTACCAAAAAAACAAAACAAAACAAAAAAAACACCGGAGACTGGGTAATTTATAAAGACTGGGTAATTTATAAAGAAAGGAGGTTTAATTGGCTCACAGTTCTGCAGCTGTACAGAAAGCATAGCACTGACATAGCTTGGCTTCTGGGGAGGCTGAGGAGCTTTTACTCATGGTGGAAGATGAAGTAGGAGCAGGAACACTACGTGGCCAAAGCAGGCGCAAAAGATTGGCGGTGCCACACACTTAACCAGATCTCCGGGGAATTCACTCACTGTCGCGAAGACAGCACCAACCCATGAGGGATCCACTTCCATGATCCAATCACACCTCCAGCACTGAAGATTACAGTTCAACATGAGATTTGGGAGGGGACAAATACCCAAACTATATCAACCACCTTCTCTGTCCAAGGTTTGACTGCACTGATGCCTCCAGAAAGATAAAACATGTATCACATTGTTTAAACATGTTGAATTTGGAAGTCAGACAATGCTGAATTATGTAAGAATTAAAAACAGAAAATAGATATAAAAAGCTTAGCGTACACATTGGATCCACCCAGAACTGAATATTCATCTGGCTGGATGACAGTCATCTCAAGCTCAAGGTATCTGAAATTGAACTAATCTCCAATTCTATACTGACTTTCCTGTATTCCTTATCTCAATGAACTGCACCTAGTAACTCAAGATAGAGACCTGAAAGCCAGCCTAGGAGCCTCCATGTCTCCCTCCCAAACCCACCCCACCTCCATACCCCCATTTCTAATGGGTATGCTTCCTGCAGTTTATCTTCCTCATAACTTGAGACTCCAAGAACCTAGAGCCACTACTGCTAGAACACATAACTTTTCCTGCCTCTCTGTCCTTACCCATGCCATTTCTCCTGCTTGGAATGACCTGTCCTCCATGTTTGCAAGGAAACCTCTATTGACCTTTCAAGTCTTTGCTCAAATGTTACTTCCTCCAGGAAGCTTTCCTTGATTGCCCCAGATTGACTTGGATGTTTCTTCCCAGGCTCACCGCAGTTACCTTAGTGATAGCATAGAATTCGCCAGTTCCAGGGCTTACCTAAGAAACACTTCCCCATGACCATATTTCAGTTTCCCCTCCAGCCAGCCCAGGCTGCCTCTTGCCTTGTGGGATGGCTTTAGATAGTTCCTGAGAATCAGACTCAGATGAAGATTCGTGTGCATGTGACTGATTAAGAAAGTTTTCCCAGGGGAGACTGGGAGGGGAGTGAGGGAAGTGGGACAAGGAAGGGGAGAAAGCCAAGGTGCAACTTTTGGCCAAGTCCAGCAAAAACTGGCTGCAACCTGAGCCTTCAGGGAACTGTTCAGGGTGGGCCATGCATCACAGATGTCCTAAGTTAGGCAAGGAAGCTGCCAGCCAACAGTTAGGGTCTGGGATGGGGAGGAGAGATTCAGAGGTAAAATTTCAGTAACTTTTGTCTCTCTGCATGTGCAGGTAAAGGATAGAGTCTCACAAAAATTGTATAAAGAGGTCTGAAAGGTCTAGCCAGAGCACTGGCATTGTCAGCTGCATAAAGAAAATACCCGGCTTGACTCAGATTAGCCTTAGAACTTGAAGACAGAGCCTCTACTGTGGCAATTCTGTTTAGGACATGTTTTCTTTTTTTCATTTTCATTTTCTTCTTTCTTTGTGTGTTCCTGGGATTCAGTAGGATCTAGTACTCTTGTTTCATCTAAGCGAGTTCTAAATACTTCAGAGTTATGACCCTGAGTAGAACCCAGATTCACATTCTCAGCTGCAAAATCTCATGAGAAGACAAGGGAAATAGTGCCAGCCTCTTCTCACCCTGCCCCTAATTCTCACTTCCACCATGTCCCATCCTAGATCTGGAAGTTTTACACAGTCTACTTTGATGATCCATCCCTCCCTTACACCCTTCCAGTTCATCCTCGTAGCCATCCTCTTTGCAGACCCCACACACTGGTCTTTGGGGTCATCCTTGGAGTAGACTCTGTAAAACTTCCAGTTCTAGGAAGATTTCCCTAGATCTGACTTCATTGTTTCAGAAATCTGTAGCCCCTTCCTCCAGCAGGTAGAATTGTGCGCTGTCAGACAATGTACACTCTGGAGCCAAGCATGCCTGGACAAGTTGTTTAACCTCTTAGTGCCTTTGTTTCCTCATCTGTAAAATGGAATTAATTGGCCAGACATGGTGGCTCACCCTGTAATCCCAGCACTCTGGGAGGCTGAGGAGGGCAGATCATGAGGTCAGGAGATTGAGACCATCCCGGCTACTGTGGTGAAACCCCATCTCTACTAAAAATACAAAAAATTAGCTGGGCATGGTGGCACATGCCTGTAGTCCCAGCTACTCAGAAGGCTGAGGCAGGAGAATCGCTTGAACCTGGGAGGCGGAGGTTGCAGTGAGCCGAGATCGCGCCACTGCACTCCAGCCTGGGTGACAGAGCGAGACTCTGTCTCAAACAAAAAAGGAATAATTAAAGTACTTATCTTATAGATTCTCGTGCACATTAAGTGGCATGGTATATAAAGAAATTGGACTAATACCCAGCATGTTATAAGGTACTATATTTGTGGTGAATCACAGGAGAAAAAAAAAACAAAAAGGTATTCACAAAGGAGCATCTATCCCCGGCAGTTGAGAAACTTCCCAGCTCCCCTAGGAAACCTCTTCAGAGCTGTAGACATGTCCAGACATCTAGAAATCTAACTGGTTGTGGGAAATACACTGTAGATGCTCAAAAAGTGGCAGTGTGCTTGGTGCCTGATATGAGAAACAGAGTCAGGGCAAAAGGATGGTTTAGTGACTCATATTCACAGGGAATTCCTGGTTGTTAGAGAGGGAGAAGTCACTGCTGAAAATCAGCATGAAAATTCAGGACTCAGGAGATGAACAATAAGGTTTTCCCAAGGAGCAGCTCAGGGCACCTTTTTAAAGATTCTTTGCCCACCTTGAGCTGCTCTTTGAGGATTACCTCCCTGTGCCTCAGCAAACCCCAAGTCCAGCTTTAAGGCGTTCCTTAACTTCTCTCTTTCTTCTTCCTGTCACCAAGAAAAAAAAGCCTTTATCAAAACAACATGAGAGCAGGAATGCTTTGAAATTAAATTTTAATTAAACATCATTAATAAAGCATCAATTCCTGCTCTATGGAGATGTGTGGACATTATCATTACTAAAAACACCAACATACGAGACATGATTCCTCAGTTCTGTATTCTGAGGCTCTGCCTCAAAACCCACTGGACTGAAGGAGAGTCTCAGTGTAGGACCCTGCTGTATGCCAGGGTTAAGTTCCATTCTTTCTAAAGAGAGAGGAAGCACCACTTCTGTTGGCTGGGTAACTCGTTCACCTCAAGGACAAGATGAGGCTAGAGCGTGGCTCTAGTAGATTAACTGAAACCCCCCTCCGGGAGCCAGCAAGCAACCTTTAGGATTGAGTTGGCTGAATGGCTGAATTCATGCTGCTGTCATCCGTGCCACAAAATTGTCTTCTGGGGAATTTGCAGAATTTGTAATTTCAGCACCTCAGTGCATTTGACGGCCTGCGAAGAAATCCAGCACTAGAGAGCAGCTCATGGCTGCTGAGCCCCATGGCTTCATTTGGGTAGCAGCTGTTCATAAGAAACTAAACAGATTCTTTATTTTTCCCTTTTCCACAAATGTCTCAGACAAAACCACAGTTCGCTTGCACCTTGAAAGATGAAAACCATGTTGATGGTTTTGCTTGGCAGCTCACTTTGACTGCTATTTATTGAGCACCTACACTGTGCTAGGCACGGATAGACATATTATATACAGTGGCTCCTGTACTCCTTTAGCCCAAGATTTTATTGTGAAAATTTTCAAAGCTAGAAAAATCGAAAGAATAGTACAAAGGAGACTTATAAACCTCTCATCTAGATTCAACATTTGTAAACACTTTGCTGCATTTACTCATGTGTGTGTATCTTATATCTACATGATAGGTGACATATGCTATGTAAATATATTTATGAATACATACAATATTTTAACCATTTGAAAGTAAAGTGCAGAAATCATGACAGTTGATTTCTAAACCAATTAGCATACAAGACCTAAAAATAAGAACTTTATGCTACATACCCACAATGCTATTTAACCTCTAATAAATTTTGCATTAATTTTAAAATCATGTAATATACAGTTTGTTTACATTTCTAATAATATTTAACCTGATTCTATGTGACAGAACCAGGGTTCCGTATATCTTTGGCAAAACCATTATGTTGGCGATGTATATTTCTCATTGTATTTTGTCAAGAAGTTCATAATGTCAGGGAGTCCCAGTACTGATGATGTCACATATGGTCACTTAGATAAGACAAGAACTGCCCGGTCCCTCCACTGTAAATGTGGCACCTTTTTTCTTTTGTAAAGTATCCTTGGAGTGAAACTTTGAGATGGAATGAGTATTGTATTCCCCTAAAGCTTTCACTCAATGGTTTTAACACGTCCTGAGAGTCTTCACCTGAACCAGTTATTACGTTGGTGCTTACAAAAGGGTGATTTAAACATCTATAATTCTCCCTACGCTTACTAGTTAGCCTTCTTCTTTAGAGAAGAGTTGTTTCTCTCTTCATCTTCCTCCCTGTTTTTGGTCTCCCTGTTGATTCATAGATCATTTTTGACTCCGTGTATTGAAATCCTCTACTGCCATTCTCTGTGATGCTCAAATTGCCTCAAATATGGCCAGTGGCAGTCTCTTCAAGCTGATTCCCAGGTCCTTTTGACATGTTCTCATTAGTCTTCCTTGCTTCTGGCACAACAAAAATATTCTAGACTATTCTTTTAATGTCCCTGCCCCAGACCTGAGGCCAACCACTTATTAGGGATTTGTGGTTGCTTTCAATGGGGAGTGGTATTTTGGCACTAAGATATACATCTTAGGTGTGCTCGGTGATGCGTTATTGCCTGTAGGTTCTTTCAGTAGGTAGAGCTAGGGAGTATAATTTATTTTTGTTTTAAGTCATGAGCTCATACTGATTCAAATTCAACACATTTTATACATATATCTTCCTTCTCCTGCAGTGAGAACCCTGGTGCTCAACATCCACATAGTTTTCATTTCCTGAAACACACATAAAATAGTTTCAGAATTACAACACCAATCCCTCTAAAAAACAATAAAGCTATTATACTAAGTTAGGTTAAAGATTTCAGTTTTTATCTCCTTAGGCTGTATACCACTGAGGGTATGCAGTGAGAATACTATGTTCAAAAGTTCAGTTCTTTTCTCTGTATGGTTATATTATCAATTTGATACCCAGTTATGTTCATTTGTTTCCATTTAAAGGTTTGCCTTCCACCTATGCTTTTTAATTCAATTTAATTGTTTTTAATATGCAAAACAGTTGCATGTTTCAAAAGTAAAAACTGTGTCTCATTACTGGGTATATACCCAACAGAATATAAATCATTCTATTATAAAGATACATGCATGTATATGTTCATTGCAGCACTGTTCACAATAGCAAAGACATGGAGTCAACCCAAATGGCCATCAATGATAGACTGGATAAAGAAAATGTGGTATTTGCAGCCATAAAAAGGAATGAGATCATGTCCTTTGCAGGAACATGGATGGAGCTGGAAGTCATTATCCTCAGCAGACTAACACAGGAACAGACAACCAAACACTGCACGTTCTCACTTGTAAGTGGGAGCTGAACAATGAGAACACATGGACACAGGGAGGGGAACAGCACACCCTGGGGCCTGTTGGGGGAGTGTGGGGAGGGAGAGCATCAGGATAAATAGTTAATGCATATGGGGCTTAATACCTAGGTGATGGGTTGATAGGTCCAGCAAACTACCATGGCATGCATTTACCTATGTAACAAACCTGCAGTTCCTGCTCATGTATCTCAGAACTTTAAATTAAATTAGAAATAAAAACACCATTAAAAAACTACATTAAAACGTATATTCCAAAAAATATTACCGCCATTCCTGTCTCTTTTCACTATTCCAATCCACACTTGAAAGGTAGCTATTTTCATTCCTTTCTGGTTGATCTTTCTTAGAGTTCTTTTTGCAAAAAAATATGTAATACTTTTCTTCTTCCTACTTCTTATATAAAAGGTAGCATAATTGATATACTTTGCATCTTGTGTTTTTGTTCACTCAGTATATCCTAGAAATCACTTCATATCAGTTACTACAGAATTTGCTCTTTATTTTTTATGACACTATGGTATTTCATTGTGTTGATGGAAATACTGTAATTTATTCAACCAATATCCAGTGGACACCCAGGTTGTTTCCGTTATTTACTATCATAAATAATACTGTAGCAAATAGCATTGTGCATATGTTGTTTGGTACTTGTGGCAATGTATCTTTAGGGTAAATTCTTAAAAGTGGGATTGCAAGAGTCACAGAGTAAGTACATATGAAGTTTTGTTAGCTGTTGAGAGGTACTCTTCCATAGAAGTTGTATGATTTTGTGTTTTCACTAGCAGTGTAGATTCATTTAATCTGAACACTAAATGTGAAGGAGCAAAGAGTGTTTTTTTTTCTATTTTACAAATAAGGAAATGTAGAATCCCATATAATAATTACATATAATGTAATTGATTATAATTAATAACTTAATATATACCATAATATTATTGATATTTAATACAGTTAATCACATACAAAACATATATTATTTCATTTAGCATCATACTTTTTAAAAAACTCATGTACTTGAATTGTAAGGAAGACTGACATGCCTCAGGAATGAGTACCTTTATTAAGTGTACATTTCTAATGAGCCAATGATCAGGTTTCTCAGGTCACAGTAAGCTAGAAGGAGGCTGCATGTTGCTAAGGATGAGTACATCTGTAGTAACAAGATGTGGCATGTAAAACCGGGAAAAGGGAAAAGTGAGAGAAAAAGCAGAAAAAGCAATAACAACAAGGCAATAAGTAAAGCAGTCCAGAGTCATTTAGTGTAAGAGTGAAAGCTATTCACACCTTAGTGAGTCCTGAAGGCATCACTGTATTAGAGCTCAGTACATTTGAGATGTTTACCAAGATGGTCTTGAGATATTATAAAGGGCAAAGAGAAATGCAATTATGTTTTTCAAGTGCACACTATGAACTAGGCATTGTGCTGATACTCTCCATTCTTACAGTCAATTCCCAAATACTTTGATGTAGATGCTATCGATACAGTTGTGCAGAAGAGGAGTAAATAGAATTCAAAATCTTACCTGAAGGGCATTCCCTGACCACCCAATATATAATTCTATACCTGGCCAAAACCTCTACCGCTGTTCTCTGTTTTATTTTTCTCTACCTCATGCTGTATATTGATTACTTTATTATCTCTCTTTGAGGGATATAAGCTTAATGGGAATAGAAACTTTGTTTTGTGTTGTTCACTCTGGTAATCCATAGTATGGGCTCGTTGTTGAATGAATAGATGGATGAATAAATGACCATTCCACATAAAAGTTCATGCCCTTTTCGTGATACCATAGTGTCCCATTTATGGGTATTGTTTGTGAAGATGGGGGATATGTATGACGTCTTTTAGCTATATTCAAAGCTAACTCAGACTTGCTTGCATCTCTTCCCACCTCCAAGTTCAGTAGTACCACATTCGTTGCTTCAAATAAACCATGGTGGAAATATTTACACCATGGAAGTTGGCAAAGTTTTTGTTTTTATTTTTCCCTGGAGAGCAGGTTGTGAAACATTTAGTAGCATACAACTGTATAGTTCAATTAAAAGGCTATAGTTAATTAAGATGTAAAGATTTATCTGGAACAAATGTATTTTCTCCAACACGACTAGGAAATATGAGACTAAAATTATCTAAATCTCTCTTATTAAGTTAGTTCCAAGCCTCTGTATAATGAATGAATAAAGAAATATGGCAACTGAAGTGGAGAGACAAAAAAATGACATAGACAAGTATCAAGGGAAACTCCTGTTGAATTGTACATGGCTATCTGCTTTTATATATACTACCTTGGTATTCCTCATATCTACCCCCAAAGTTCACCATTGTTAACCCCTTTTCAGATGTAGAAATGGAGATAAAGAGAGGAGAGGAGGGGAGGGGAGGAAAGGGGAGAGGAGAGGAGAAAACTTCCCTTGATAACACTCTGTCCTCCTTTATGTTGAAATGAAAATCTTCCTTAAATTACCACCTGACTTTAAGGCACAAGAAAACATCTGGTTTAATTACAGTGAATTTACATGAACCCACTGACAAGAAGCACAGTTAAAATTAGCAATTTTAGTGTGCTTTTTTTTAAGAGAATGAAATTATAAAGTAATTAACCTTTGTTGTAGAACTCTGTCAAAAGGATGGAAAGTTCCATGCTGTTAAATAGAAGAAGAAATGAAATTGTGGAAAGGGAAAATGTGGATTCATTAAAGAATTACAAAGAAAAAGGAATGGAAAAGGGATACAGAATTAGAAGATAAGACAAAAAAAGGAATTTTTTGCCGAGAAGTCTTTTTACAATGAGAGAGAGAGAGAGACCTAGTTTAATCAAAGGAAAGTAAGTCTATCTCCTTGCAAAGGACATCTTGACTATGGAATGGTAATGTGGTGGGTGGAAAGAGCCTCTTACTTGGGGTGAGACATCCTGATTTTGCTGCTTAAAGATGCGATGACAGCCTTTTAGCCTTCTGGACCCACAGACCTACCAGGTGATAGAAGAAAGGGGTGATTTGGGAAATGCCTTGGAAATAGAAGAGTTTGAGCTATATCCAGGCTTCATCCACTACTTCACTATGCAACCTTGGTTTAAGGACTCGCATTCTGTACACTTCAGTGCCCCATCTGTAAAATGGCTCGCTACAGAGGCTGTAGCACATGAAAGTCTGTGTAAAGCCCTTAACTTACTGTCTGCCAAGAGCTTTGCTAAGTAGTGTGTGGCCAACATCAGACATCATAGAGAGCTTTTTATTTCAGGGTGTTCAGGAAAAAACAAAACAAGAGCTCTATCCAAAATTTCCGTTTGCCCTGGGCAAAAGGCCACTTTTAAATAACCTCTAACCCCTCTGTAATCTCATTTTAAACATTTCACTCTGACCACATCTCTTCTCTTTTCAATTTATTCCCTCTAGTATTGTAGCTCCAAAAATTCAGCCCCACTAGGACTTGCTACCTTGTTCATTGCCCTCATTCCCTTCTCTACCCAGCTTAAATTCCTTGACTGATCATTCCAGTTACATCCTTGCATAATCCCCCAACACCTCAGCCTCATTCTCATTTCCAGCTATTCACAACCCTAGCTCCATCTGATTTCCTGCCTGTGCTAGGTCTTTCCTTCCGTAGCTGCTGCACACCACTGCGCTAACCACTCTCACTTGGAAGCCAGAAGCACCACTGGAGCTGGCTTTTAAAGCTGCCTGGCAATACTGTCTTTCCCTGGCCCATTCATCCCTCTAGTCTCCCAGAGAATATTTCTCCTATCTTCAGACTAACAGCACATCCACCTGTTCTCACTTCCACAGATGACCTTGTTACCTAATAGACTGAGGAACTGAAACCATTCAAAGAAATTCCCTCCAGCTCTCATTGCCCACATGTTGCCCACATATTTGACCTCCCCCTCACCTCCTTGTTTCTATGGATGAACCATTTGCTTTTTAAATAAAGGCCAGTTTTGCTACTTAATGCAGCAAATCCCACTTACTTTTTTTTTTTTAACTCAATGTCATTGCTCCAGCAATTGTCCCCTTTCCACCCTACATCAAAATTTCCCTTTGTAACTGGATATATTTCTCACCCTCCACACAAGCTGTATTTCTCCCATCTTTAAAAAGATTAAAAAAAAAACCCAGAAACACCCAGCTCTATCTTCTCCTCAAGCTATTCCATCCCCTCCTTATGCATCCATTCTTTCTATTTGTTCTTGAATCCATTCAACCAAAGTAACTCAGATCCCTGCCATTGCACCAAAACAATTATTTCAAGATCACCTATGACCTTCAAGTCACCAAATCCAATAGTCATTACTCAGAAAGTCAGATCCTCTTACTTAACCAGTTGGCAATATCTGACACAGCTGGTTGTTAAATCCTCCTTAAAACACTTTTTGTACTTTGCTTCCAATTCATCACACACTTCTAGATTTTCTCCTTCTGCAGTGGCTTCTCCTCTTTGTTTTTGTTTTAAAGATAGGGTTTCACTGTGTCTCCCAGGCTGGAGGGCAGTGATATGATCAGCTCACTGTATCCTCTGACTCCTGGGCTCAAACGGCCCTCCCACCTCACCCTCTCCAGTAGCTAGGACATGTGGGATAGGCACATATAGGCATGTGCAAGTGTGCTCAGCTAATTTATTTGTTTTATTTATTTTATTTTATTTATTTATTTATTTTTGAGACGGAGTTTCACTCTTGTTGCCCAGGCTGGAGTGCAATGGCACGATCTTGGCTCACCGCAACCTCCGCCTCCCAGGTTCAAGCCATTCTCCTGCTTCAGCCTCCTGAGTAGCTGGGATTGCAGGCATGTGCCACCACACCCGGCTAAATTTGTATTTTTAGTAGGGACAGGGTTTCTCCGTGTTGGTCAGGCTGGTATCGAACTCCCAACCTCAGGTGATCCACTGGCCTCGGCCTCCCAAAGTGCTGGGATTATAGGCATGAGCCACCATGCCCGGCCTATTTATTTTTATTTTTACTTTTTTTGTAGAGACAGAGTCTCATTGTGTTACCCAAGGTGATCTCAGACTCCCAGCCTCAAGCCGTCCTCCCACCTCAGCCTCTCAAAATGTTGGGATTACAGTTTGCTGGTTCCTTTTAAACAGCGTGTATTAGTCCATTTTCATACTGCTATAAAGAACTGGTTAAAACTGTGTAATTTATAAAGGAAAGAGCTTTAATTGACTCATAAATCAGCATGGCTGGGAGGCCTCAGAAAATTTACAATCGTGGCAGAAGGTGAAGGGGAAGCAAGGCACTTTCTTCACAAGGCGGCAAAAAGGAGAATGAACGTTGGAGAAACTACCAAACACTTATAATAACATCAGATC
Source organism: Homo sapiens (assembly GCF_000001405.40). Taxonomy (NCBI): domain Eukaryota; kingdom Metazoa; phylum Chordata; class Mammalia; order Primates; family Hominidae; genus Homo; species Homo sapiens. The sequence goes on along the minus strand of NC_000020.11, from coordinate 42,460,675 downwards.
TCCTGAGAACTCACTCACTATCATGAAAATGGCATAGGAGAAATGGCCCCCATGAATTAATTACCTCCACCTGGTGTCTCCCTTGACATGTAGAGATTATGGGGATTACAATTCAAGATGAGATTTTGGGTGGGGTCACAGCCAAACCATATCACATCCCAACCTTATTGGCCCAGTTCTTGGGACTCTTTCCCATTCGTATCCATACCAGAGGTTGGCCAGGTCTTAAAGTATAGGCTTTATCCATGAGAGGGTCTGTAGCAGCTACTCGATGCCACCATTGTAGCAGGAAAACAGCCAGGGACAATGGATAAACAAATGGGTGCGGCAGTGTTCCAATATAATTTTATTTACAAAAACAGGCAGCTGGTTGGATTCAACCCAAGAGCCATAGTTTGCTGACCCTGGATCCACATTCATTTCCCTAATTATTTCTTCTAGTCTCCCGGCTTTAAAATCCATCCATATGTTAATAATTTTCCCAATTGATACCTCCAGGCCAGGCCTCTGCCCAGCCCTCCGGAGTCATTTATCCAGCTGTCTCCTCAACCTCTCCACCTAGATTGCTAATCAGCCCGTGGAATTAAACACATTCAAAACTGAGCCTGTGATCCTCCTTCAACTTGTTCTTCCCACTGTCTTCTCCATCTCAGTAAATGGCAACTCTGTTTTATTAGTGTCTCGAGCCAAAAACCTTGACTTCTCACTTTTGTCAGAACTGAGGCCCTGGCTTTTACATCTCCAAAGAAAATCCCTTCTGGCTGGGGATGGTGGCTCACCCCTGTAATCCCAGCACTTTGAGAGGCCAAGGCAGGTGAATTGCTGGGTGTGGTGGTGTGTACCTATGATCTCAGCTACTCAGGAGGCTGAAGTGGGAGGACTGCTTGAGGCTGGGAGGTCAAGGCTGCAGTGAGCCATGATTGTACCACTGCACTCCAGGCTGGGTGACAGAGCAAGACCCTGTCTCAAAAAAAGAAAAAGAGAACCTCTTCACCCTTTATTGCTTTTGATTGAGACCCCCTGGCTTTGTACAAAGCAGCAGTCTTGCTGTTCCCCACATCTGAACCAATAACATATTCTCTTGGTTCATCCTGCAATGTATGTCAAGACCTTGACCATTTCTCACAGCCTCTACTACTACCCCTTAGGTCCAAACCACTGTGCTCTGCACCCCAGATTATTGCAGCAGCCTCTAAATAATCTTTGCAGCTTCAGCTCTGGCCGCTGCATTCTTTTCTCAACACAGCACCAAAATGATCTTGTTAAATCATGAAGCAAATCATATCACTCCCTCTGCTCCCAACCCTCTGATGGTTTCTCTTGTCACTCACATTAAAAACCCGAAGTTTCACGGTAGCTCACATGCTCCAGGTGACCAGAATTCCCACTTTTGTTTGCCTCTGTGTCATCTCTTGCTACTTGTGCCTCACTATGCAAATTCAGTTATCATTCTCTTCACATATATCAGGGACATCCCTGCCTCAGGGCCTTTGCACTTGCCATCCTTTTTGGCTACAGTAAGGTTCTGCCAAATAAGCAGGATGGTTCCTTCAGCTTCTTCAAGTCTTTTTTCCAATGTCACCTCTCAGCAAGCTCTTCTCAGACCATTCTATTAAAAACTGGAAGTCTCCTACAGCACACTCTTTGTCTCTCTTTCCAGCTTTGGGTGTCTCCTTAGCAATTATCATCTGACATACTGTATATTTCACTATATGTTTTATTATCTGTCTTCTCCCACTAGAATGCATTCCACAGAGACAAGATTTTTTCCTTGTGTTTTTCTTACTCTGCTTCCCAAGCACTTAGAAGAACAGTGCCAGGTAGACAAATAAGGACACAATAAATACATTATTGAACGAATGAATTCTGAGTCCTCAGAGAAAAATTAGATTTAAGATCATTTACCATAGAAATCAGAAGAAGATCGTAGAAAGCTCAGTAAGCTATGAGAAGATATAGCTTCTATGATTAGCAATATAACATCATTCGGATAGAGCAGATTGAGGTAAGGACATCACAGGAAATAGCAACAATCTTAATTGTCTCTACAAAAAAATCAAATTAGTGATCTCTAGGCTACCCTAGAGCTGTTCTCAGAGTGAATGCAATGGGGCCAGGGGGAGGATCAGACAAACATAGTATTTACTTTGTGCCAGACACCTAGGTAAGCACTTTGTGTATATTAACATATCAAATCCCCAGGACAACCTATGTAGTAGGTAGTATTTTTATCCTCATTTTAAAGTAAGGAAAATGAGACACAGAGACATTAAGCAGCTTGGCCAAGGTAATACAGTGGTGGGAACAGGACATAAACCCAGGCAGTGTGGCTTCAACCCTTGATCATTGTTTAATTCTACAATACTGCCTTTTAGGTCTCAGTGATGACAATAAGACTTTTGATTAGAAATGCCAATTTGATCACTCTTCTTAAACTACTGTCCTAAAGAAATATAGAGAAAAACACCTTTGTATCTGCACTGACAACTGTAAAACGATGCCATGGCTGCTCCTGAAAGAATTAATGCAAGACGTCATGGGAGAGGGAGTCCCAAATGGGAAAGAGATGACTAGGCTGAGACTGCCTGGAAAGAAAACCCCTTAGGGAATTGGAGGAGAAGACTTCCAAGTCTACATGCATAAGTACCTCCAACTTTGACCAACCAGTGCTAAAAACAGGAGTGGGCGTTGGAGCTGGTGGATGGGAGTGGGGAAAGGAGAGAGGTCAGTGCCCTGGTCATCTTTATTTGCTAGTCCATGATGCAGAGAACGAGAGCTCCCCCTCCAAGCCTACGTCCAGGGCATATGGCAAACAAGAAAAGGGGCTTCAGTGGAAGGATCTCATTGTAAAGAAACAATTACAGGAAGGGGTAGTGTCTGTGGTAACTAACTTCAGGCTGCCCCTCAAAACACCTAAAAAGCCCTCTTGCCACGGAGAATCTTCCTGCTGCCTAATTATTTCCCTTCCTTAACTGCCCCTCATACCACTGCCCCACAGGTCAGACAGAACTCTTATCCAGCCAAGTAATGTATGAATATATCTAAATTCTTTCCTTTCCCTGTGAGTTGGAAATATTTAAAATAAGGACTTACATGGTAACTAGCAGAATGACCCATTAAACCAGACCATCACACACCACTTCTTATGAGGTTGCATGCGGAAAGGTTACTGGACAGATTTTTAAAAATGCTTTCATTCTTATTGTAAAGAACAAATCTGATAGTGCAAAGTAAATACCCCCTAACAATTGAAGCAAGAAACAAGATTTTTAAAAACAAAACAAAAAAACTAATACGCATGCTCAGTAAGAATATCTAAATAAATCCTGGGATAGAACATATTCATGGAATGGAAGTTAAGATTGTAAAGGTATTAGTTCTCCCAGACTGGCCTTTGTAAAAGAGTTTAGCACTATTTATTATTCTTATTTATTTGATGATAAACTCTATTGTATTTAGGGATATGTGCTTAAGGAGTGAAAAGTATAAGGAAAAGCAAGGTCACAGTATGAAGTTCAGTACTGAAAAATTAATGAGATGATTGTTTTATGCTTTTGTGTTTATTTCACAGTAACCAAGATAAATGATGATAGTGTATATAATCTTATACCAATAAATGTAAAATTTAGGTGATATGGCAAACTATTAATTAAAAAACTTGACTTAAGGAAAAGCAATTCTGTATAGTTTTACAACAAATAAAGAAATAGAATCAGTAATTTAAACTTTTGCAACAAAGTACACATCAGTCCCAGGTGACTTCACAAGTGCAATCAGTCAAACACTCAAGGAGTTTGTAATCCTAATCTTACACACTTTATGAGAAAGGAAAAAGAAGAAGCACTTCCCCCTTCAATTTATGACAAGACTATAACCTTGATATTAAAAGCAGAAAAGCTTATGAGAAAAAAATGTATGCAAATACCTAAACAAAATATTAGCAAATGATCTGAAACTGCATAAATATGCAAAAAAATAGTTTAAAAAATTAGTGTTAGTCTAACTTTAGTAAATCTGTTTGTGTAATTTGCTACAGTAACATACTAGGAGAGGGGAAATACATATCATCACTACAGTAGATACAGAAAAAGCATCAGTTAATTCTCAGCATGATTTAAAAAACAAAATATTCTTGTATGCCTGGAATAAAAATGGGCCCCCTCAACCTGATAAAGATAACTAAAAAACCTACAAACATCATACTCAAAGATGAAACAATATCATCATTATCTTTGAAATTGGAGATAGACATATCATCATTTCTATTAAAGACTGTATTGGTGGCTATCATTGAAGATAAGAAAATAAAAGATTGGAAAAGAGCAAAACTATTATTAACTACAGATGCTACAATTATCTCTACATAGATAACCCAAAGAAATCTGCAAACAAATTATTAGAATTAATATAAGAATATAGCATGTTTGCCAAGACATTAACATTAAAAAGTCAATTCCATTTCTATTAACCTAACAAGTATGTGGTATTTTCTTAAAGACATTATGTACAATAGCAATAAAAATATAAGGTATTTAGTAATACATTTAACATAAGTTTTCAAGATGTACGTATAAATCTATAAAACACTGAAAGACGTTAAGGAAGGCCTAAATAAAAGATATACCATGTTCATGGATGAGAAAACTATTATTATAAAGACATGATATTATCTCCCATTTGATCTATAATACATGCAACTAAAATTCAAAAACCAAACATTTTTTGAAAAGGTACAAGCTAGTCCTCAAATGTTTATGTAAAGAGAAAAGGTAAGAGTACCCAAGACAGTCATGAACATGAAGTACAAAGTAGTAGACTTTACCAGATAGCAAGACTTACACCTCATTGTTAATTAAGATGTGGTATTGACACAGGGAAAGTCTAACAGAAACAATTGAATATAATAGAACATAGAAGTAGACCCATACATATGTGGAAATGTGACAGAAGTTAAAATTATCAGGCAAATCAACTGAGGAATTAAAAGTATTTTTTCAATCTCCCTAGGATGAGGAGAAATAATTAAAATTGGATTCCTACCTCATGTTATACATAGTAACACAGTTGTAAATGAATTGAGGACATTTTATTAAAAGAGTAACTCTTAAATGTCAATGAAAATTTAGACAAATATTCTCATGACTTCAGGATAGAGAAAGTGTTTCTTATGTAAGAAAAACTCTTTTGTGTGGGTTTATTCAGAAGCAGACCCTGAGATAAGGATACAAATGGAAGTAGTTTATTTAGGAGATGGTCTCAGGACACACTCATAAGAAAGAGGGAAAGTGAAACAGGAAAGGGAAGAAAGTCAATACAAAGTTTATTAACAAAAAATTACCATGTGAATAACTGAGTTCTAGAACAGTGCTATTCCCAGTGTGGTCCAAGGACCAGCACTGACTCATTGACTCTCTAATCCATAACAAGACAAGTACAGAAAGAGAAAGTATTTAAAAAGAAGGAGCTTAGTATTTTTCTTTTTTGCTTTTTCAATTTCACTTTTACTTAAAAATTATACTTCCCTATTAATTCATTTTTATTGTATTTTATGATATCATGAGTCCACAATGGATTTGGAATTATCATTATCATCATCACAATGGTTTCAGTGTTTGAAATAGTTTGAGAAGTGCTAGTAAAACATGTCTCAGAGTAACCCAACCAAGTAGTAAGGAAACTGGGATGTTCATCCATCAACTTCCTGTCTTTCATTGCTTGAAGGATGTCTTCGGGGCATTAACTCTCTGGCACTTCTTGCTTCTTCTACGTGGAGAACAAGTTGGCTCCCACAGCATTTAGGTAAATTTGTACTTTGCAGTAAGCATTATTCAGTGGGATATAGGCAGGCCATCAACAGTGTCTGCTACTAAATTTGTCTCTCTCTTTCTCCCATACAAAAACTAAAATCTGATCAATTTGAGTACATTAAAATTAAGAACTGATCCATATTCAAAGGTAACATAAAGAGAAACACAAGACACAAATTAAAAGAAGTTTTTCAGTAGCACATATAGCCAATAAAATGATTAGTATCAAACATATGCAACAGGAAAAGGACAATAATATCCAACAAACATTAAAAGATGCTAGTAAATAGGTAAAAGCATGTAAAACCTTAATGAAGTATTGTTTTACACTTACTAGATGGTCTAGAATTTTAAAACCTGATAATACCAAATATTTATAAAGATGCGGAGGAGTAGGAACTTTCAGAACATTGCTTGGGGCAGTGCTGCCACCACTTTGGAAAACAATTTGGCATTACACTGTAAAAACAAAGATAGATAAGCCCTTCAGTCATAGGAATAGACCCTCTCTTCCTAAGTGTACCTTAGTAAAATCTTATATATATGTTCAATCAAATATACAAAAGTATTCCAATAAATTATATTGTAAGAAACCCTACCTGGATACAACTCTACTGTTCATATACGGTAGAATGGTGGAATAAATAGGAATATATTTATAAGATGGGGATGAATTAGATACAACTATGTGCATCAAAATAGATGAATCTGAAAATGATGAGTGACAAACGCAAATCATATAATAGAAAACACTCAATCCACATAGATTTAAAAGAAACCAAGAAAAACTAAATGATATATTGTCTTGGGATATATGTATATATTTAGAACTCCGAATAAAAATGAAGAGAATGATTAAGAGTAAATTCAGGCTGAGCGCAGTGGCTCACACCTATAATCCCAGCACTTTAGGAGGCCAACACAGGTGTATCACCTGAGGTCAAGAGTTCAAGACCAGCCTGGCCAACATAGTGAAACCCCATCTCTTCTGAAAATACAAAAATTAGCCGGGTCTCAAAAAAAAAAAAAAATTAGCCGGGCGTGGTCATGGGTGCCTGTAATCCCAGCTACTTGGGAGGCTGAGACAGGAGAATCACTTGAACCTAGGAGGCGGAGGTTGCATTGAGCCAAGATCACGCTGTTGCCCTCCAGTCTGGGTGACAAGAGTGAAACTCTGTCTTAAAAAAAAAAAAAGAAAAGAAAAAGAAAAAAAAGGAAAATCAGGATAGTACCTGTAGTACCTATTTTATTTATTTATTTATTTAACGATGGAGAAAGAAAAAGGAGACAATAGTGATGGGCATAAACAGTGCTTCAATAGTATAGTAATGTTTTATTTCTTAGAGCAGATAGTGGGCACATGTGTATTTAATAATTATTCTTTGAACTATTCATACATTATTATGTATACTTTTTAATATATTGCAAAACACTATAAAAGAAACTTTTTAATACAATACAAAAACAATATGAACAATAATAAAGTCCTAGAAATGCAATTTGTAAGAAATAAAAGAAAAACATTTTTAACTGAGGGGCATAAAAAGAAGCATTAATACATGAAGATTTATACAGTTTACTGGATAAAAGGACTCACTTTAAAAGTGATACTCTCTGCTTCCCAAAAAAGAGAAAAAAAATGCAACTGCAGTAAAAATTGTGATGAAATATGTTTGAAATTTTATAAAACTCTTCCTAAATTCTTCTGGAAGAATACATGGGTAGTGATACCTCAAAAAGCTTTGCAAAAGAAGAATAAGACTTGTTCTACCAAGTATCAAAACATGTCATTTTAATGCGATAGAGAAATACTGTCACAGTAAAAGCTACAACTTAGTGAAATAGAACAGAAAGCCAAACAACATACACTAGAATATAAAATAATTTAATATGGTAGTAAGATGGCATTTGAAATCACTGGGGCAAGTTTTGACTGGTCAATTAATTGTCCTTTACAATTGAGAAAATTGTAAGGAATTATAGATTTCTACCATGTATGGTATACACAGTAATTTCAGAAATATTAACGTGTAAGGTGTAAAAAGAAAAAGATGGGAATAAAACAGAAAATAAATAAATTATAGAACAACTATTCATCTGTACTTTCCATTCATCTGATCTGGTGTGAGAAAGAGAATTTTCCCCAGATTGGAAAGACCAAGATCTATTAGCTTGAGTTTCATGCTCACAGTCTTCATCAGACAGACACTTCTTATTGTCCATCAGACACACCCTCCTCAATTTCCGTCAGATAGACCCTCAAATGAATGAATAGAATTTTCATCTCTCTATTCTGCTTGCCTTCTACTCTGTGATTAAAGCTTCTCCTGTCTTTCCAAATTCTTGATGTAATTCGTCCCCCACTACACTTTTGGTAGATGGCTTCACCCCACTTCTCAAGAAAACAGAGCCATTAGGACACTTCAATTCCTCCGTACAAAGCATTAGCACATTTCCATCCTCTCCTCTTCTCTCACAAAAGGAGAGAACCCTTCTTTCAACCCACCCTTGCTCTTGCTTTCAGGACCCTACCATTGTAAGTTATCTCCTCTTTCTTTCTCACTCTTCTTCTTACCTCTATTCTGAATTTTTTTTTTTTTTGAGATGGAGTCTCAGTCTGTCACTAGGCTGGGGTGCAGTGGCATGGTCTCGGCTCACTGCAACCTCCACCTCCTGGGTTCAAGCAATTCTCCTGCCTCAGCCTCTCGAGTAGCTGGAACTACAGGTGCGCGCCACCATACCCAGCTAATTTTTGTATTTTTAGTAAAGACAGGGTTTCACCATGTTGGCCAGGATGGTCTCAATCTCTTGATCTCGTGATCTGCCCGCCTTGGCCTCTCAAAGTGCTGGGATTATAGGCGTGGGCCACCAAGCCCAGCCTCTATTTTGAATCTTTTTCTTAGTTGCTTTAATCATAACCTCTCTTGTCTTTAAGAGAGTCATTATTTTGGCTCCATATCTCATTCTTGTTATGGTTTGAATTCCCCTCCTTTTCACAGCCAGCATTGTTTACTTGCCTCACCTCACCTTCCCCTCTCTTCTCAACCCTCTTCAGGATGGCTTGTGATGCCAACATTCTCCCTTAAATTACTCTTGCTTGGCTCACGAGTCACCTTGAGGACAGTAGGTTCAATGGGCAAGTTTAAAGCCACATCTTACTCGACTACTCAGCCATATTTGTGACTGCTGACCAGTACCTTCTTGAGCCTCTTTCCTTCTTTGGATGCTACAATGACGGCTTACCTTCCTGGTTTTCTGGTTGCCTCTCTGAACACTGACTCCCAGTTTCTCCATTCATTTTCCTCCTAATTGTTAATTCTGGAGTTCTTCTTCACTTAGTCTTAGACCTATTTTTTTTTCTCTGCTCTATACTCTTGCCATCTATTCCCTGCCTACGGTTTCCATTTCCAAACATTGGCCCCAGTCTTCCCATATCCAACTGCTACTCAGCATTGCCACTTGGATGTTCTATGTATACCTGAAATAAAGTATGACAAAAACTGAGCTCACCAGCTTCCTCTCCAAAATTGGTCATCCTTTAAGGCTCCCTCTCTATAAACAACATTTTGATCCCCCAGTTGTGTAAAACAAAAGGGTTGCAGTTCTCCATGACACATCCCTTCCCTCCTTCACCCTTATCTATCACCACCAAGTCATTGATCTTCCATGTTGCCATCCTCTGAGTCCACATCTGTACAATCTATTTCACTTCTACACTACCATCATTCCAGTCCACGTTACAATTCTTTCTCCCGAGGATGACAATGACAGCCTCCTAACTGATTTTTCTCCTTCCACCCTCAACCTCACAAAGCTGTCCACCACACTACAGCACCTCCTCCCCATTTTGCCCTGATAACTTCTACTTATCAAGCAACTCTAACTTATGTGCCATTTAATATCCTAACTTGCCATTCTAGGTTGTTCTCTGCTTTTAATAATTCTCCTAGTACCATATCCCTTTATGTCAGAGTCCTGATTAAAAAAATGTAATGAATTAGTTTTGAGTATAATCGCTTAATGTCTGTCTCTCTTTCCAGAATACAAGCTTTACCATGGATTTGACTACATCTCTCTTTGTTATTGGTATATCTCTAGTGTCCATCGCTGTCCCTTCATCATATTAAATACATAATAAATATTTCTGGAAAGGAAGGGTGGATAAGGGAAAGCAATAGGATACCTGACTAATTAAAAGCTTCTGCATACCTAAGTGATTTCAAAAGCCAACAAAAAAACTGGCGAAAATATATTTGCAACCTATGCAAGAAAGCTTACGTCCTTAAAATGAAATTACAATGACGAGCCCATAAGACAAAGATGAGCAAAAATGAAGAGCCATACAGGAAAATGAGCACAAGGTATAGATAATTTGTTCATAAAAGAAGCAATGTGAATGGCTAATTAGGCTGAAAACAAAATCTGTACTCTCCAGTATTCTAAAAAAGACACACATACACATGCACTTAATTTTTTAAATAGTCAGTGTTGGCAAGAACAGACATAGTCTTCTGTTGGGGAGTCCAGAATGGTACAAACTTTCTGAAAGGCAATCTGGTAATATATGTCAAAAGCCTTAAAAATAAAATAGTTCATTTACTTTGGCCCAGTAAATTAATTTCCAAAGCATTAATCTTAAGGTCTATCTGCAGAGTTGCATGCATACTTACCTATAAGCATGCTCATTCCAGCATTGCTCAAAATCATGAAGAATTCAAACCAACTTTAATGCCCAATAATAAAGGATTAGTGACTATAAAGGGGCAACGCCCCCTCTAAGCAGCCATTAAAATGCATGGCCCCAGAGAAATGTATGGCCCCAGAGAAGCCTGCAATTTCTTTAGTGATAAAATAAGGTCACAATGAAATATGCACAGTAGGAGTTAACATTTTTTTAAAAATAAAAAATATATATATGCATAGGCATATCTTTTTTTAATAAAATTTTATATGCATAAAAAGATTGGAAAATAATATTTGAACATGTGAATTATGAGTAATTTTGTTCTTTTCCTTTTTTAACCTTTTTATATATTCTTAATATTCAACAAATTCTGTATAGCATGTCCATAATGAGCAAAACTAAACATATTTTAATTTAACAAAGGGGAACTGATTGCAACATATGGCCAAGGCTATATGTAGAGAGGCGTAGCGTGATGATTAAGAGTATATGCTTTAAAACTCACAGACAGGTGTTTAGTTCCCTCTTTACAACTTAAGAGCCATATGACCTTCAGCAAGTTATTCCATTTTCTCAGCCTCAGTTCTCTTATCGACGCAAAGGAGATAATACCTACTGGGCAGAGGTGTTTTATGGCTTAAGTGAAATAATGTAGGTAAAATTCTAGTCCAAGAGTAAGTGCTTTTATAATACCAAAATATAAATAGATTTGGCAACAATTTACTGAAATTCATTATTTCTAAGGGGTTACAGCAGAAAGTTTGGGGAATAATTTGTTTTCTGGCTCACCGTCTTCCAGACTGTTGTAAGAATAGTGAAATCCAGCAGGAGGATGCTGGCAGGAAGACTGACCGGCTTATAGAAGGAGCCCCAGGAAAGGTTGCACTTATTAGTTCAAAATGCTGGCGTAGGTCATTCATTCACCTATTCATCCAACCAACAAATAGTTATTATGCATCTACTTCATGCCAGGCATTGGGACTCAACAACAAGTCAAGCTAGCTGCCTTCTTGGAGCAAGGCGAGCTTCTTCTAATTGGATTGGGGTTTCAAGCCACATAGTTCATGTTGGATTCAGGAATTAGTCAAGAAACTGATGAAGCACTCCTAAAGTTAGAGAAAACTTGGCAGAGTGAAGAAAATGATACTTGGTAAGATGATGGGAAGCTCACTTTGCATTTCTCAAATACAAATCCTAAAACAAGCTTGTCCAACCAGCAGCCCCTGGGCTGCATGCAGCCCAGGATGGCTTTGAATGTGGCCCAATACAAATTCATAAACTTTCTTACAACGTTATGAGATTTTTTTTTTGTAATTTTTTTTTTTTAGCTCATGAACTATCGTTCGTGTTAGTGTATTTTATGTGTGGCCTACAATAATAATTCTTCTTCCAATGTGGCCCAGGGAAGCCAAAAGATTAGACACCCCTGAAGCAAACACCTCATTTCAGATTCCCACCTCTGGCAGAACTGGAAACTGCTCATGTCCTTTCTGCCCTTATCCGGTTCAGTTCATAAACCGACTTGCTCAGTCTGCAGATGAAAAGCCTGATCAGCCTTCTGAAAATGGGTTAGCAAACTATGGCCTGTGGGTCAAATCCAGCCCATTGCCTGTTTTCATAAATAAAGTTTTATTGGAACGCCACCGTACTCATTCATTTATGGATTATCTATAGTCATTTTTGTGCTAAAATGACAGAGTTGAGTAGTTGTAACAGAGAACGTACAGCCCATCAGACCTAAAATATTTACTATCTGGTTCTTTACAGCAACTTTGTCAACCCCTGTTCTAGGTCAGCGGGGCTGGAGAAATGATGTGGAAGGTGACATCAAGTTCATAACTTTTCCATTCTGTAGTTCCAGGAGCTGTTCCTCTAGAATCCATCCAAGGGGGGCCCTTTGAGGAGAAGATCTACATCCAGTGGAAACCTCCCAATGAGACCAATGGGGTCATCACGCTCTACGAGGTAAGGAGGTCCCTTGTGCTGCATCCATTGGCTTAGCTTTATTCAAGTCACTTCAGCCTGACATTGGTGAATACCCATTCTGCTGAACGTATAAAGGTGAGTAAGATGAGACATACCAAAAGGTTTCTGACAGTACAATGGGGTGCAAACATAATGGCACACAGTGGAGCTGTCCTGGTAGCCCCAAGAACAAAGAAATTTGTACACATCATGCATTGAAGTGACTATGGTGACAACTGACCTCATCCACAAAAGAGCCAAAACCCAGGGAGTCAGATTGTTCTTATGTGGAAGAGAAGGCCCAGGCCTGGCAAACAGTACTGAAAGTTCGTCTGGGAAACTGCAATACCCACATGATGCTCACTTTACGAATATCAGTCTCTTTGCTTTGAAAAGAATCCCAATGTTATTCTCTGCACCAGGGACACAGGATTCTTCAGATTTAAATTGCTCTGTGCCCAAGGCATATTTTGTCACCCAGGTGATGGCATCCAAAGCCCCCATTCCAAGCATTAGCTGGGCCTTACCATATCAGAGATGAACCAGAACCTACTCAAGCAGGAATGTACCCATCAAGCCAACACAATGTGCCTTCCAGAAAAGTTGCAAAAATAAGACAAACTGTATGAAAGTTTATTGCAAAACAAAACAAAAAAATCTCCAACAGAGCTGATATAGCTAAGATTCAAGTATTGCAATACGAGTAAGGTTGAGTCTCCTCCCACCCCTTGTATTCTTACACAACATAAGATTACAATACTAGATCAAGTGGAAACACACAGGAATGCAGAGGGAAGGGCATGGATACCGAAGCTGGAATGATGTAGCCTAGTGTCCTAGTAGCTCCACCTTTTCCTGAGTTACCTTTGGTAGATTCCTCCTCTCTTTAAGCCTCATTTTTCTCACCTGTAAAATAAAGGTGGTAATCACTTCTTCAGGGTTTCTCTAGGGAATCTGACGAGGGGGAAAGACACAAGCATCCCAGACTGAAACATGTACCACAGGCCCACGAAGAGGCTTAAGTCACTGAGAGCTCATGCAGAAACATGCATGTATAGGGAGTGGGCTTGGGGGAAGAATATTGCTGCCATAAGGAAAGGTGAGCTCTGGGGAGGAAAGTCAAGGAGTATTTGATGAAGGAAAAGTACTCAAGATTAATCTAACAGACCGATAACCTCTCTAGAGAGTCACAGGTGGTCCTGAGAACTCTCTGAGGGAGAAGATTATCCAACATGTACAAGGTGCTTAAGAAAACACCTTATCTCACTAAAACTAGCATTCCTCAGGAGAGCTAACATCTCCCTCTTAGAAGTTGCAGGGAGCTTGGCGCAGCTCTCAGGATTACCAGATGGAAGGAGGAAACAGACATCCATCCCCATCACTTATGAGTTTTCTCAGGCCACACGCTTGGGAGAAGCTTTCTTCCTGGGGAGTACCCCGAGAGGAGGGCAGGTACTCATACTAATACACCTTGCCTAGCACATTTTCAAAACTTCTTTGGGAAAGAGAGGTTCGAAAATTTAACTGAAACAAAATCCAGTCACTTCAAATCTACATGTTCTTTGTAAAGCAGAAACCACAATCTCTCTCTCTCTCTCACACACACACACACACACACACACACACACACACACACACATTTACATGAAATAAAGATGTGTTGTGCCTGGCAAACTTTTCTTTGTAAAGCAGAAGGAAAGGACCCATGATTTAGGAAGTTAAGTTACTTGATACTGTTATGTAAAAGACGCTGTGTGCCAGATGTTCAAGACTTTTGGAATTCACAGGCCAGTAGCATTTAAAAAGGCTTGGGGGACTAACCTAGGGTACTTCAACATCTTTTATTTACATCGTTTTATAAAAGACATAATTCCAAAAATATAGAAAGGATATAATTTCAGAATAAAAGTCCATCCTTCAAATTGAATAAATTTATGATTTTTTACTAACTCATGACAGTCACATTATTTTTTCTAATTTTGCACTGGATTGATGGCAACTTTGTCATGGAAAAGCCCTGGTCCTTGTACATACCTGCATTTGGAAACTACTACTGTAGGGCTATGTTGCAGGTGGAGTCATATCTCTGCACATATTATTCCTTGAGAGTAATATACTTTTTCCTCTAGTAGGATGATGCATTAGATTGGATCCTTGAGAGTAATACACTTTTTCCTCTAGTAGAATGATGCATTAGACTGGATGAGAAATATCATGATTAAAATTCCATGACAAGAAGAAAGAAACAGAGGGAGAGCAAGGGTCTAAACACAACTGTGAGTTAGACTCTGTGTTTGAGTAGAACCTCCTGCAATTGAGGCATTATTATATAGTGCACTCTCTGAAGCCCCATGCACAAAGGTGGGTACAGATTAGAGCAGGTTGTCCTTCTCACTTCTGTGTGAATCTGATGCCTTGTGGATTTTCAGAGACCAGATGCCAGGGATGTTGGCATTCCCATGGATTCTATGGGAGACAACTATGATGAAAGACATCTTCAGGTAGCTTCTTCGCTGTGACTTGGGCTATAATTTGCAGAGAACCGGAACCAGAGTATTGTAACTGGTTGAGTTGTTTGTAAGCATTTGAGGCTACTTTTGCGGAATATGCCAAAATTATTGAGGGATGCTGTAAAGACAGCTAAGGAGGTTGTAGATTTAGGCCATTGTATTGTGAGCATAAACATGAGTGTAATCTTGTGTATCAAAAGCTAGTGAGGCCTAAGAAAATAAGGATGGTGACATTTGAGCCTATATAGCCTAGATCTGAATCCCAGCTCTGACATTTACTTGCTCTGTGACCTTGAGTACATCAAGTGGCCTCTCAGAACCTTAAGTCTTTTATCAGAAAAATCAAGGTAATAATAAAATGGCCTTATAGGATTACTCTGAAGATCTGATTAAATTAGGTTTTGTACAGTGTTTGGCATTTAGAAATAACATTATAAATGTTAGCTGTTATCATTACATAAAAATGAGGAAATTGAGTGCAGAGGGTTAAAATGAAAAGACCAAGTTCATATTACCCAGATGCCAAACCCAGGACTCCTAAATGCAGGTACAGATGTCTTGCCCCTTTCTGCAACTTAGCGTGGTCCATAGACCAGCGGCATTAGCATGACCTGGGAGCTAGTTAGAAATGTAGCAGCTCAGGCCTCTCCAGTTTAACAAGATCCTTGGGTGATTCCTATGGGTATTACGGTTTCAGAAGCACTGTTCTGGAAAATACTACTCTTGAGAAACTTTTGGCAATTGAGAGTATGTTCTCTTGAGTAGAGAGATGAGAAGTAACTGTTACTCTGGGCTCAACCCAATCCAGCCCCAGACAGTAAGCAAGAGACCTTGCTTTTAAAAACATTTATAACAAAGCATGTGTTTATGAGGCAATTTACAAATTTAATTAGATGAAACCAATTTGATTTTTAAAATTAGGTTCTAGTTGTAATTTCAAGAGAGAAATTCATAAATTACAAATTACCCTCTTTTGGCCTCAAAATAGAATATTTTATTACAAAGAAAAATAGGATAATGCAAATGGAAGAGAAATTCAGGATTGTCTGTGGCCTTCTATATACAACCTTGGCCTCAGCAAAGTTACAAGCAAAGAAAAAATAAGGGAGGGGAAGGAGGGAAGTTTCATTACTATAACTATGTTATTGTTAAATACAGCAGGTCCAAGTGGTTCAGATTAAATTTCCTTCTGCACAAGTCCAAGTCACAGCCTCTGAGTCCATCCTCAGACAATTCTGCCCCCCAAAATGTGAGTGGCTTTAAGTCCCATTCTGTCTCCAGTCTTCAGTCCTCTGTTTCTAATATGAAGGTGTCAGACTGTTCTTGGCTTCAACTGGGTAAGAATGAAGGGGAAAGTAAATCTATGTCAAACCCATGAAATCAAAAATTCTACCTCTTTTTGGAGTTGTTTAATTCTTGCCTATAAGCCAGCCAAAGTCTCTGAAGGTAAAGTAGTGAAGATGAAGACATATGAATAAAAACAGTGAGTGCAAAGGCCCTGAGGTGGAAATGACTTAGGCAAGTCTTAAAAATGTAGTAAAAAGGAGACCGGAGTGACTGGGGCCTCCTGAGCACAGAGGACAGTGATGAGACTGTGTGGGGGAAAGGGTGGGTAGGGCCAGGGATGGCAGGACTCCTAGAACTTGCATTTTATCCTGAAAGGAATGGAAAGCCCTAGGAGGGTTCTACACAGAGGAATGAAGGGATCCAATTTATATTCTTAAAAGGTCATCCAGCTGTTGTGTGGATAAGAGATGGTGGGCACACAAGCATCCTGGAAACATCTGGAAAATGCACCAGGAGGCAAGGACATTTCCATCATCTATGATATTAAGATGAACTATTTATTAAAAGACCTTATACCTGAGCAGAAGATGTGAAAGTGTTGTTACAGCTGCCTCTTTACTGCTGCTAGCCCAGCTTTGACACCCTCTTTTTAGTAATGAGTTATTATCTTGATGAGCACCCTGGAGCCATGGACCTTTAGATCCTGGGCCCACCTTCCCTGAAAGATGGGTGTCTCACCCTGACCCTATTACCACTCCAGGGCTATGAAACCGTCTCATTCTGCAGCAGCCTCAAACTCTCTCTCTGCCCACTGAAAGGGGAGCTCAGAATCCTCGTCAGAGCCCACTGGTTCCGGCCTCATCTGAGCTGCAACAGGAAGTATTAAGATGAATTAGACCATGGCCTCAGATCTTTGGGGATTTGCACTTTAGTGGGAGATGCAGAATGCAATTCTATGATCATTCCCCTAACAGAGTGACAGATCATGCACAGATAGAGGCAGCACCAACGGCCTTGTGTCCACAAACTAGCATCATTAACATCACTTGCAGGCATGTTAGAGATGCAGAATCGCAGGCCCCAGCCTGGACCCACTGAATCACAGTCTTCTTAACAAGATCCCCAGATAATTCATGTGTACATTAAAGCATAAAAAGCACTGGTTTAAGAAACATTCTCAAATCTCACAATTGTGATCAGCACAAGAGGGTGGTAGAGGTGGTAAGGGAATATCAACTGGTCTGGAAAGCTCTGCCTGATGAAAACATTGCAGTCATTGCATGAATAACGTGATCATTTAATGCAGTAAGGAATATTCCTGCTCACCTGACGTCTAAACAATATTTACATCAGGAATATGGAAATCATGACATCTGCATAGACTCTTCCAGAACCCTGCTTTTGGGTTTGATTAAGGCATCAGGGTTCCCTAATCAGGGTGTGGATGTGCAGAAGGGTGGTGTGGCCTCTCTCATTCTGACTCAGCTCTTGGGAACAACCACAACTCACCAAGAACACAGACCGTCGCAATTGCGGACAGGCACTTATAGCCAGAATGAGGTCACCAAGGGAAGCAATCCAACCAAACAGTTGTCTAAAAACCCTTCAATAAAATCATTCAGAGACAAGCTGTTCAGAGTTCATGGAAAACAGTAATCAATATGTGTTTCAATTCAATTAATTGTTCTCGTCTTCGTCCAAAAATAAAAATCACACAGTGTGAGGGAATTGGGCCAGAAGATGTTACACTTGCAACTGGGTTAACGAAGTGTGAAAATATTTAAAATTCAGACATATGAAGCCTCCCAGTAAGCCTTTCTGTTTAGCAGTCAAAATCACCAAGTTTCTAATTACAGTGTATAAATCTGAGAAGCTTAAAGGGAATGAGAAGACCCTAATGAGGCAGGAATGGGTGTCTTGATTATGCTAGAGTTGATTGGCATTTATCTCACAAGCTATTCTAGGTGCCTGGCATTCAGAGTTAAATAAAACAGACTTCGCTTCAATAAAACAAGGCGGCATTCCTGTATGGGAGCGCCTTTAAAAGGTACAATAGGTCAGAGGGTTTGTCAATATTTTTTTCAGCACACAGATGGTTGGATTCAATCTGAACAAAAAGCACGGGCCCCAGGAATCAACAAGCCATCAGAGTGCATTACAAGGAGGCTGGAGCGTCTTCCGAGACAGGAGTTCTGAACAGAACGAAAGCCTGAACACAGACATTGATGGAGAGAGGGGACCAGCTGGGTGGATAAGCTCACGAGGAAACTCTTTAAGACAGAGGCCCAGAGAAGGTTCCTGGCTCTGTCTGGATGGATGAGCATGCCTCCTCCCATCCCTCAGCTTTGCTGCACTGACCACTCAGGGCTCACTGACCCCAGACTGGCTCATGACTCTGGTCCACAGAGGAGCAGTGTGGAGAATGGGATGTGTTCCAGATGGGCAGGAGGTAGTCTAGGCAGGAGGAAATCAGCTGGATTGTGACTAATACAGCCCAAAGCAAAAATTTGCATAATTCAAACTGGATCTACGTTAATTAGGACACATGATTTGCATAATGCAGGCCGCTATTGAGTATAACTCGAGCCAGGCTGGTAACAAGGAAAAAAGCTCTTGTTTCCTCTAAATTGTTCAAGCCAGAAATGAGAGCGTCATCCGTTGCCCCCAGCAGCCACACAGCTAATCCGCCAGAAAGTTTGATTATTTCTCTTGCCAAAATAGACACAGGTCAGGCCGCATGGCACCATCTCTGCTGCCACATCCTGTTCTGAGCACCCCTCAGATGCTTGGAGCATTTCAGTTCCTCCCTGCCCACCCCCTTCCACACTTCACCTGTTCCATATGTCCACACTGCAGCCAGACAGAACATCTTAAGAGGTAAATCTGATCCTGTTCCTCGTCTGCTTTGGCTTCATCTTAACTTCGAGGCACTGAAGGATCTGGCACTGGCTGCCTCTCTATCTTCACCTGCCGCTCCTCTTCCCATTGCTTACTGCAGTCCAGCTTTAGCCTCCTGGCATTTCCCAAGCTCACCCAGTTCCTGGCAGCCCTCGCCACTCTGTGTCATTCCTTCTGCCTGTAATGCTCTTCACTCTACACTCGTCAGGGCTGGCTCCTTCCTCTTCTTCACCTCCAAGAGGCTTTTTCCCTCCACTGTCCACTTGATCTAAAACAGGTTCCCCTCTGTTTCCTCTCTTAACAACTTGCTTTCCTTCATACCATTTCCACAATCTGCACTTGTTTCATTTGTGTACTTTTGTATCACCCAGGCCCGCAACAGACTTGAACCCTCGTGAGGGTATGGGTCCTGTATTGGTGAATTTTATGTGTCAACTTGGCTGGACCACGGTTTGACAGATTGGTGGTCAAACCATAGTTTGGATGATTTTGTGAAGGTGTTTTTGGATGAGATTGACATTTACATGGGCGGACTTCGAGTAAAGCAGATTGCTCCCCATAACATAGGGGAGCTTCATCCCATATGATGGGCTTCATCCCATCAGCTGAAGGTCTGAATAGATCAGAAGACTGAGCTCTCCTGAGTAAGAGGGAATTCCCCAGCCGATGCCTTTCAGACTGGAACTGCAACATCAGCTTTCCCCAGTTCTCTAGCCTGACAGCATTTGGTCTTGACATAACTAATACAGGCCGGGCATGGTGGCTCACGCCTGTAATCCCAGCACTTTGGGAGGCCAAGGCGGGCGGATCATGAGGTCAGGAGATCGAGACCATCCTGGCTAACACGGTGAAACCCCGTCTCTACTAAAAGTACAAAAAATTAGCTGGGTGTGGTGGCGGGCACCTGTAGTCCCAGCTACTCGGGAGGCTGAGGCAGGAGAATGGCGTGAACCTGGGAGGCGGATCTTGCAGTGAGCCAAGATTGTGCCACTTCACTCCAGCCTGGGCAACAGAGCGAGACTCTGTCTAAAAAAAAAAAAAAAGAAAGAAACAACTAATATATGCTATATTTATTTTTGCCTTTCAGTGTGTCCTGAGGACCTAAAATAGTAGCTTTCACATAGTATGTACTCAATAAATATTCTTTGGATAAATGTATGGATTTGTGCTCTATCCTAGCAAGGGGCAATGATGATTATTTTTGTCTAACTAATTTAGCTGTTCTCAAGCTTGGCTGAAGATTAGAATCACACCTTGAGATACCTTCTGCTCAATTTTGCTGTGAAGCTAAAACTGATCTGAAAAAATAAAGTCTAGTTTGGCCTGGTGTGGTGGCTCACACCTGTAATCCCAGCACTGTGGGAGGCCGAGGTGGGTGAATCATGAGGTCAAGAGATTGAGACCGTCCTGGCCAAGATGGTGAAGCCCTGTCTCTACTAAAAATACAAAAATTAGCTGCTTGTGGTGGCGCATGCCTGTAGTCCCAGCTACTTGGGAGGCTGAGGCAGGAGAATCGCTTGAACTCAGGAGTCAGAGGTTGCAGTGAGTTGAGATCATGCCACTGCACTCCAGCCTGGCAACAGAGCGAGACTGTCTCAAAAACAAAACAAAAATAAACAAAAAATCCTACCTTGAGAGCTTGAAACAATGTATAGATAAATAAATAGGCGTCTAGTTACCTGAATGAATGCAGGGATGGATGGATGGGCCTTATTGCGGTCCAAATAAATCAGAATCTCTAGGGGAGGGGGCGCTATCCATATGCTGTATTTGTTTGTTGTTTTTAAGTTCCTTGAGAATTTCTTAAAAACATCCAGGGTTGGGAAGAAGCATTGCATGAATTGAATCCAGTCGGTCTCCTCTGATATGTAATCCTAGCTAAACACCTTCTAAATAAACCCAGTCTTGATCCTGGCTTAACCTATCTTCACTCTCACTCTGCCAGACTCCACCTCTATCTGATGTTACGCTACAGCCAACTCACTCATACACAGGCAGTTGCTAAGTGTTAATTTTTTTAAGGATTAAATTCAAGAAACATTGGTCTTTTTTCCCTCAAGGTTGCTAAACAGTGTGTGGAGTAATTGAAGAAACATAGGGAGGTATCGTTCTGTCAATATCCCTTTGCATGTTACTAATGGCATCTTGCAACTCTGATGCCAGAGCCCACCACAGACCTTCCCTTGCAAATCTTTTTCCCTCTCCTGAATAGTGGAAGTCAGTCCTGTTGTGGTTTTTTTTGTGAGATTAAAAAAGACATGTGCACACACAAAACAATAGATTTGCCCAGAGGCCTTCCCTAAATCTTAAAAGTCAGGGCCCTGGGATGTCTAGGAGCCATTTGTTCTAGTCCACAGCTCATCATTCAACCTCCATAAGATGTTTCCCCTCCAGAAACTTGAAAAATGCAGGCATCCCTGGTTAGATGCCATATACAGGTCATTCGGGCTGACAGGGAAGCTGACAGGTGTTTCAGTAGCAACAGCTCTGGTTGAAAAGAATGATTTCTGGCACTCAGAGTCTGGAAGGAAAAGAAGTTGCATTCTGATGTGAGTGACTTGCATTTATGTACCTGGTCGCATTAGAGCTGCTGGTCATCCACTTGTGGTATATTAGGATTGCCTCTGTATTTGCCTTGGGGTGTTTCTTCTTTTCTATTACGACACAGGTATTTGTGATGGAGCCAGGTAACTTGACAGTGGAAATCAACAGATGTGTAGCACTTGTTACCTAAGGATAGCAAACCATGTTGTCCTGCCAGTGAGGTTTTCACAGTAAACATTAATCATTCAGTTCAGCTGTGGAAAACAATAAAGGTTGCTGCATGAAAAATATTCCTGCACTGCGCACATGTGAATAAGTATGCTTGTCTTGGGGTGTGTGTATGAGCATATGTTTTTGTGAGTTTATGTAGTTCTACACTGTCACATGTATACACTCATATAATTGTATGTTTGGTGGCATGTCTGTGTGAAGCTTTCATCCTTTGATGTATCCATTTTTCCAGCTTCATCCTTAGGATTGTTCTATTTCATTGGAGAGTTAACTGACAGAGATATCAGAGACACAGGGCTATGTCTGTTTTCTCCTAAACTAGGGGGGCCTGTGATCACCTCATATCCGTGCCATGGTAACACCAGGGGAGAAACTTTCTTTCATTTCAGTGGGCTCCCAGCTGTTTAACATGAACGTCTGCCATAATTTGTCTCCAGAGTTTTGCTAAAGAAAAATGTTGGATTAAAACAAAAGTCTCCCGGTTAAATTGAATCCTATGCATCTACAGTTGTCCTAGGAGAGAGAAGGGAAGGAAATGAAGAGTGAGTTCTGCATTTGTCAGGGCGTGGGCTTTCTTCATGTTTCTTATCTGGGAGGGAAACTGCATTTTGCTGCACTGCGTGTGCACCCAGAGGCCTTTGTAGGGTGTCCTTCTGTGCACATGGCCACATGGCTAGAGATGGAACTTTCTCCCTGGCTGCTGTGGTCCTTTCAATAAACTGTGCCCAGAGGCAGCACTTAAGTTGTGAAGTGTCTCTTTAAACATCACAAGTTGTTCTCTTTTCATCTCGGATGTTTTACCGTGTTACCCCTGTTGGAATTCCGCCTAGGCTGGGCAATGCAGCATGAATTTGCTGCTTTTAACTGGCTCTTTCGCTTCTGTTTTGGTCAGAACAAAATGAAAAATGTTTGCATATTTTCATCTATCATCAGGACATTTGGAGCCTCTGTTCTGAAGTCTCTGGAGGCTGGAATTCCAATCTGTGATTTGTTGCTTGTCTTTTCATTAGCTCGGGAGCTAGCAGGTGGTTTTTCTCCCCTCACCTTAAGTCAATGGGCATTTTTTCTTTTGACTGCTTTTTCTTACTCTTTACCAAGAGAAAAGTAATTCCTTAAAACTGACACCCAAGTATGAGATCTTGGTCTACCTCATTATGGTTTCAATACATACATACATACGTACATACATACATACATACCATGTCTCCAGGGTCCTTCAAGATGGCATAAAGAAAATTCACTGCTTTCTTGTTCTGTTTTATTTTATGCACGTTTTTAACGTGTGTATCGCTGCACGTCAAATAGTGGGTTGTGCAAACAGTAAATTTAAGATTGACCTTTGGTTAGTCATTGCAGAGTGTACTTGAACTAGTTGGCTTCTTTCCCAACCTGGGCCTCAGTTTCCACATTTGTGGCTTAGGAGGCTTGGACCAGGGAGATTCAAAAAGCTCTTTCTGCTATGAACTATCACTTGGGTGCCCAAAATGAGATTAATCTCACTCCTAGTTTCATGAAACTGTTTCTGTATTGGTCTGTGCATGGGTCTCTTTTCTTTTTATTTACTCATTAATTTTTCAGTAACACACCAACTAAAAGACAACCAGAATGCTGACAACACCTAACATTTACTTATGATCTACATAAGCACATCTGTTTCTACTCACTTACGTCTCCCCATCCCATCTTCCTGACCCCTCCACTCTTCTAAATCTTGTATATAATTCCTGTATATTTTATATAGTTTTGCTACTTGTGTGAATTCCTTATAAGCATATTGTTTTTTAGTGTTTTAACTTTTAATAAAGGATTTTAAGTTGTGTATAAGCTTTTGGGACGTTTTTATTCCATATTGTATTGCAAATGTTCATCCCCACGGATGAGTGCAGCTGTAGTCCATTCATCTTGACTGCTGTCTACTACTCCACTGCACGAAGATACTACAAAACTTTCACTCATGATCCTTTCATAAACATTGGGGTTGCTTTCAGAATGTTGCCTTTATCAGCAGTGATGAAATGAGCATCCTTGTGCCTACCTTCTCCTGTATATGTGCAAGATTTTCTCCTGAATTTCTATCTAGAAACTAGGTCAGATGGTAAATGAATGTTAAGTTTTACAAAAATACTCCAAACTCTTTCCCAAACTGGTTGCACTAATTTACACTCATGCCAGCAAATTATGAGTGCCTATGATTTCAAACCCTCTCCAACATTTGGTGTTGTCAAGATTCTTCATTTTGACTAAATAGATATAAAATGGTATCTTGTTGTCTTGCTTTGTATTCCCTCTATTATTAATGAGGTAGAATATTGTATTTCATTTTCTGTGGGATATCTGTTCATGTCTTTTGCCTACTTTTCTACTGGGTTATATGCTCTTTTCTTTATTGATATGTAATAGTTTTATAATATACTTTTGATAATATTTTGCCAGTTACAAATGTAATTTGCTGTTTTTACTTCTTCTAAGGTATCTTTGAAAAACAAAAGTCCTTAATTATAGCCAATTTTATCACTTTGTTTATATAGTTAACACATTTTGTGTCCTTAAGAAATTCTTCCCTAAACCAAGGTGAGAAAGATGATTGCCTATATTTCTGCTAAAAGTTGCATAGTTTTGCTCCTGAAATTTAAGTTTTTGATCTATCTGCAATTAATTTTTGCATAGGGTGAGAGATGGAGTGAAAATTTTATTTTTTTATTACATTGATAAACACTTTATCCAAGTCCTTTTTACAGTCTCTCCTTCCCTGCTCTACCAGGCCATATCTGACTTATGCCAAAATTTCTTATATGCATGAATTTTTTTCTGAGCTCTCTATTCCACTGGCCTCCATGCACTGTAACCATGCATAGTCATATTTATTACAGCTTCACAGTGTCCTGATCTCTGGTAGAGAAGATTCCTCCTCCTCATACTTGTTCAGCAATATCTTGGTTATTCTTGCCCTTGGCTCTTTCATTTTAGTATCTACTTATCAAGTTTAATGAAAACATCTGTTGTTTTTATTAGAATTGCCTTGAATGTATAGAACAATATGTGGGTAATTGACATTTTATGATATTCAATCTCTGTATATTTATTTAGGTTTTCTTTAATATCTCTCATAGTTTTATTACCTTAATTTTAGAGCTATTGCATTTCACATAAAATCCAAACTGCTACCTTAGGTCTGAAAGACTTGCACCTCCCATTCTCTTTTTCCCTCTGGTCTCACTGGCCTTCTTTTACTGTGCTCTAGCATGCTAGGGGCCCCTGTCTCAGGCTTATTGCACGCAGAGTTCCTATTGCCAGAAAGCTCTTTCACTTCCTCTTCCATGGCCAACTCATTCTCCTACTACAGGTATTGATGTGAATGCTACCACCTCAGAAGGGCCCTGCCTAATAGCCTTCAGGTAGGGCTTTGCCCACTCACCACTGTCTCTACCATTGCTTCCCATTTTTGGATAACATGGACCACAGTTCACAATTATTTTTTATTTCTTTATAAATGTCTAGCCTTATATTGTAAGTGCCAAGGGATACACACATTTATAAACAAAGGGACTCACAATATAGGGATACACATGTACAAGCAAGTATGTGCATATAAATACACACACACACACTCCTATATATATACATAGCTCATCTCTGGAAAGAACTCAGTACCTTACCTAGTACCTGGAACACAATAGGGTCTCAAATTTGGTGGTGCTTTTTTTCTTTTCTTTTTGTTTTCTTTTCTTTTTAAAATTTTCTCTTTTTTTTGTTGTTTTTGTTTTTTGTTTTTTGTTTTTTCCTTTGAGATGGATTCTCACTCTGTCACCCAGGCTAGAGTGCAGTGATGCAATCTCAACTTACTGCAACCTCCACATCCTAGGTTCAAGAGATTCTTATGCCTCAGCCTCCTGAGTAGCTGGAATTACATGCACATGCCACCATGCTTGGCTATTTTTTTTTTAATTTTTAATAGAGACGGGGTTTCACCTTGTTGGCCAGGCTGATCTCGGACTCCTGACCTCAAGTGATCCACATGCCTCAGCCTCCCAAAGTGCTGGGATTACAGGCATGAGCCGCGGTGCCTGGCCTCTTTTTTTTTTTTTTTCTTATGAAGATGGGATGGGCTTTTCTTATGAAGATGAGATCCCTTTGAAGGCGTAGGTAGAGTAACAGAAGTATCTCTTAGCATCCATTAGTCCATATATATGACCTTATAGGACCATCCAAAATCATAAGATTATGTCCCAAGTCTTATAATAATCTCTAATAGACTATATGAGGTTCCAGTGACCAGTGAGTTTATACTTAACTCATAGAATTAATTTGCTAAAGTATAAACTTGTTAAGGTTAAAGATCTGTATTCACAGGTATATCCCCGGTGCCTAGAACAGATCCTGGCACAAAATAGGGTTCAATAAATATTTGTTTAATAAATAAAAATGCATTCCAAACTTGAGTCAAGGTTAAGGCAACAGGCGTAAGAGATATTCAAATATCGACATCGCTATGATGGCTTGATTTTTAAAATAATTTAGTTTTCATTAAATGTTAGTGACAATATAACAATAGTATATAGTGTTAGAAAAATAGGGAGTGGAAATAACACACTAGCCATCTTCATGTGGGTTTATTTTCTTTCTAGTTCTTGTGCATTTGCAACAGCTTTGACGTGGTTATGGTGACTTTTTTTTTTTAATTTTCACTATGCCCAACATATTCTCATTTCTGTGTAATCTATTTATTCCATTTAATGGCTCTCCATTCCCTGAACATATGGACCGTATTTACTTTCAAATCACTTTATTCGGGATGTGTTGATTGATCTTACTAGAATGTTAGATATAATTTTGGGGGTATGATAAGAGTGAACTGGATCTTTTTAAGCAGCTGGTTAGGAGAGTTTGAATTTCTGCTTTCCTTTTCCCTCTCAATAGATTTTTCAGTAGCAGGCAGTGGCATTCACATGCGTTCCATTGATTGTAGAACTGTGGTCTAAATAATAGCTCACTATGTTCAGTAGACATGGATCTAATGGAGGAGAGTCAAACAATACATACACATTTGGATGGGATCCATAAACTCGAGGTTAGAAGTGG
Source organism: Homo sapiens (assembly GCF_000001405.40). NCBI lineage: Eukaryota > Metazoa > Chordata > Mammalia > Primates > Hominidae > Homo > Homo sapiens. The sequence continues at coordinate 42,433,670 of NC_000020.11, read as the reverse complement.
TGGTCCTGTTTTCCTCCTTGTTTTAAAACTTGAATTTCAGTTTGCTTATTTCCTAGCAGAGGGAGATGAATATAGGGCAAGTGTGTGCCCTGACTCCTCCCTAATACCATTCCCATGATGGACATCAATAATCAATCAGGGCATGCTCTTCCACTGCACTCCAACATGGCCTCAGAATCCCTTTCATCATGGCACAGCACTGCAGCTGGTCATTTCCAACAGAATGGGGTTAGCCTGCAAGGTATACCCTGCCTGCTGTCTCTGGCCTCTTCTCAGAAGGTTGATAGGGGGATAGGTGAAGCTCTGCCCTCACTCATTGGTTCATCCTACAGAATCTGTCTTTATGGTAATTAGGTAATTTCTGGATTTCTTTTTTTTTCTGCAGTATAAGCATGTTGCAGTTTCCAATCCTTTTCACAACAGTTGTAATCCTAGTGGACTGTGTTGCAGTATCTGCAGGGACGTCAGCATTATGGGCCAACAAGAAGATAAAGCAGATGGTGTGAGGTTCTGGGGAAACTTCCCACACACTGTATCCCCCATCGGCAGCTGGGTTTCCATTTGCCAGTAGATTAAAGCAAAGTCCAGACATGTCCGTGTCAGAGTCCCACCCATCTCATGACTGAACTCAACATGGTGAGTCAAAAGTGTTAACAGAAAAGCCAAACTTTGCAAAATCTTTTAAAAAGGTTTATTCTGAGCCAGTATGAGTGATCATGGCCTGGGAAAACAGTCTCAAGAGATCCTGAGAAAGTGTGCCCAAGATAGTCGGATTATAGTTTTAGGGTGGCAAGATTTACAGGCAAAGACATAAATCAGTGCATGGAAGGTATATATTAGTTTGGCCCCAAATGACGAGATATCCTGAAGTGAGGGCTTATATGTTATAGGTGGATTCAGAGATTTTTAAATTTGTAATTGGTTAAAGGAGTAAGGCTCTGTCTAAAACTTGGAATCAGCAGAAAGGAATGTTTTCAGTTAAGATAAAGATGCTATGTAGCTGGATTGATGGCCTGCAGCTGTGACTTAACCCTTGCTTTGCATGACTTTAGGCCTTGTTCATAATTTGGTTTTGTATTGCCACAAAGAGTCTGTTTTAAAATTAATGCTGGTCAATTGTGCCTAAAATCCAAAAGGGAGGGAATGTAGTAACGTGTGATTTCCTTTCCCCCATGGCCAAGAATTCCGGTTTTCAGGTTTCTCTGGGGTCCCCTTGGCCAAGAAGGCGTCCGTTCAGTTGGTTGGGAGCTTAGGATTTTACGTTTAGTTTACAAAAGTACCAAAGATATTGGAAGTGAAAACAAGCAGTGGTCTCAGGTCTCTGAGGATCAGCCTAGTGACAGCAAGACCCTAGCCTGTGTGTGGAGGTGCAGAGAATGTGTCAAGACTCTTGCAAGCAGGTTTGATTCAGCAGCCTCCCAGGAAGGGCTATGTTAGGCAGACTGGTGCCATAGGCTCCTGGGTATCAAGTCCTAAGTGAGGCTTAGACTGCGATTATCTAGGAAGACATGGGGAAGGTGGGAACTGAGGATGGCTTGGGCGTCTCCCTTCTCTCATAGCTGTTTTGTCTCTTAACAAGATAGAGTTAGTTCTACTCTCTCCTCATCCTATGAGCCATGCCCCTGAAGACTAGCCCTTCACTCCCAGCAGCAGCCATGCTGTCAGTTGCAATGCCTAAAGGCCCTGTGTGTCCGTTCCCACCTACTGTATAAATGTTCTATCTGCTGTTGTGAGAGGCAGTTCTTTTTGATGATGCTTACCTGTGTTACCACTTGGATAAAGAGACCAGAGCTATAGAAGCCTTCCTGAAAATGATGCCAGAGGTGAGAGAGTCTATGTTAGAGCAAGTCATCTAGAGAGTCTTCATGACTGAAGGGCAGAACCACAGGAAGATAAGGCCAGGTGCAGAGGTCTCAAGATTTTGTAGGAAATCCCGTTAAGGATCTTGTATGTACAATAGGCTCTCTGCTCTCCCCACCAACAAATGCATTCTGTTATCTTAGCCTTTCTTGGCCAATTTTTATAACAATATTATAGAATGTTTGGATATCAGAGAAAAAGATCACCTATAATCTCTTCTACCACAGTGCTAATTTTGCCTTGTATTTTATCTTTGTTAATATGCACACATCTTTTACCTAACTATAATTACATAAAATTTGCTATTGTAATTTTTCATTAACTGTTTAATCACAATCATGATGCCTTTATAGAACCATGGAAATAGTTCATCTTTTTTAATGATGGCATAATTGTCCATTAGTGTATATACCGTAATTTTCTTATCCATCCCTTTATTTTTTATATATTTGATAACACTATGATAAACTTCATGTTTATGGTGGCATTGCATCATGGTGGAAAGAACATGACCTTCAGATCTGGTTGACCTGGATTCAAATCCTAGATCTAACGTTGCCTAGGTGGCTGACTTTTGGGCAAATTAACCTCTGAAATTGAATGATCTTATTGGTTTAATAAAATTGTGTGTAGGAGAAGCAATATTAAGCCTACAATTCAGGAATATTATAAGAATTCAAAATGTATTGTAGTCCTAGCTGTCCAGTATCCATTCAATGTCAAAGTTCGTTTTCTTCCTCCTCTGTTTAGAGTATTTGTGTATTAGACACTCCCACCCCCACCGCACACACGAACATGAAATTACTGGGTTGAATGGAATGAATACTTTTGTAACTCTTGCTACATATTGCCAAATTGCACTGCACATAGATCTCACCTGTGTGAGTGTGTGTTTTAAGTATTGTGTTGAGTTTTTATGCCAGTCATCATGTCTGGGAAGAAGGCCTTTGGCAGCCCACCAGAGATTTATGTCAGCTTTCATGATACTCTCAGAGCAGGCTGATGTGTGAAAAGCGTATCATGCATGTTGGCAGATCCATTTGCACTCTCCAAGGACTTGCTGGAGACACTCTTGCCTCATCAATTCCTGTTCACTCCCTTTCCCCTTTGCCCTTCAATAGCAAGTAGATTGCCTGGTCCCCAGTCATCTCCCAGAGGGTCCTGGAAGCCCCATGGGAACTCTGAATTGAAGGACTCGCAGCCAGGTTTCTACAGTTCCTGCCACCAACTTTATGATACATCACCAGCCATGCCCTTCCACAGCCTCTGTTAGCCTACCTGCAGAAGAAGAGGTTGAAGCAGTTGGGCCTCTCAAGCTGAACCTCTCTGTGTTCTTCTGTTATCAGCATCCCCTGGGAGCTTTTTAGGAAAGTGCTATCTCTGTCCCCACCCCAGGTCTTCTGAGTCAGGGTCTGCACTGTTACAAGATCCCCAGGTTGTCACTGTGCACGTTGAAGTTCAGCACGTACAGTACTGAGTTGTCTGCAGGCCAAGCATTTTCCATCATGCCAGGAACATTTACTGGAGCCTCAGTTTTGGAACCAGTCTTTCCCTGAACCATGCTCTTGCTACGTCAGGATTTCCTCACCCTGCTGTGAAATTCCTCCCCTTGCCCAGTTATATCTGTGGACCGTGGACCCTGGACCGTGGACCGTGGGGACCTTGCTCATGGGTTAGAATCAGAGAAACCAACACTTCCCTCCCTGAAGAGACCAAAATCATTTTGCTAAAATACAGATTATACAGACACTGTACCATTTAAAATCCTTATAAATCCCAACAGCTCTGAGGATAAAACCTAACCTCCTCTTTAACTTGGCCAACAGTTTCCTCCATGAGTGACTCAGCCCTTGCGGGCTTGCCCAGTTCCCTCTCCTGCTTTTCCATCCCCACTCCCAAATGCACAGACTTTACATTACAGCCACACTACACTCCCCTTGCTATCTTTTCCCTCTTCCTCCTTTCTTGCATCCTCAGCACCCTGCTCAAGGGTTCTTTGGGGCATATTTTGACCCTCGGCACCTGGATGAGGGCTTCCTACTTGTTAGTTTATAATAGAATTTATTCCCCCATACTGTGATTGTGGATTTCTACATCTGTCTACAACTTGGCTCAGAATTCTTAGACTTCCTGGCATAGGATAGGTCATCCATGAATGGCAGTGGTGCTGCTACCTGCCCTTCCTTCCTTCATGTCTTCCCTCCACCTTTCTCTGCCTGTGCCCTGGCACAGGAGATTGAGTCTCAGACATCACTGTGTTGCCTTGCCTTCTGTTCATCTGAAAGAGCGCCTTGCAGGGGATGAGGAGAGAGGGAGGAGACCAAGGGAAGGGTGTTGACTGCTGCAGCTTTCTCCCCTCCAGAAAGGTCACAGCTCCTCCCAAGGTGACCTTTCAGGTTCTAGGACCTGCTCCCTCCTCCACCCCTCCCACTCTCGCTTACTTAGTTCACTCCTCCACGATACCTCTGCCCCGATTCTCTCAACCGGCTCACAGGGTTGTAAATAGTGCCTTTAGTCAACTCTGCTTGAATTATCTGTCTATTTCCTGCTCGAATCCCATGGAGACCCCATTATCTTTACCATGTATCACTGAGAGTGCTTATCATCATGCATTTTGTCTCAGCCCTTCAAGGTAAGGATCACTATCCCCATTTAATACTGAGCCTTAGAAGAAGGAAGTTACTTGCCTGAGATGACCTGACTACTAAACAAAACCTAGATTCCTACTAAGTGTGAATACAAAGCTTGCCCACTTAACTAGTTAGCCACAGTGCCTTTTCCAAAGGCACTCAATAAATGATGGTGAAATTAACCTGAATTTCCCAATCATGATCAATCCACTTGATTAGGGTGGCCATAAGCTTGCAGATGTAGGGTGGGGAGGAGTAAAGGCGCAGTTTTGGAATGAAGAGGGTGACTGAGGTCTGGATCTAGCCTTGGCTTGGAAACCATGTAGTCTACATGGTGTCCCCCAAGCTTGAATTGCCAAATCCTTGAGGAGGGGTGCCCTGTCAGTATTGGATGAACAAGGCTTGTGTAGGGAAATGAGTGGGAAAAAACAAATGGGATGAGTTGAGTTTCATGCCCACAATGGAGGTGACTTCATCGTCATGATTGTATTTGCAAATTCCATTCAACCTGAACATTCCTGCAACTGAGTAGACATATTCAGAGCCCATCCTTCCCCTCCTGTGAAGCTGAGTGGCATGCTTGACCTGATGGCTTTGGGAGGGCTCTGACACAAATAGGCACTGTCTGGTGTGTCAACATCAAAGGAAAATTGCAAAAGGCAAGTTGGGCTAATATTTTTCATTACTGGAAAAAAGTTTCCCATACCAAGTCAATTTTGAAAAAAGAATTTCGTCTCTTACATCTGCACAGAAATGTCAAAATGGACAGGGCTGTCTGTAAACAAGAACCATGGCAGTTCATGAAGTTTCTCACTTTCAAATTAATAATTATTTAAAAAGAAAAATGAAAAGAAACCTAACCTGGGCCACCAGGATGACTGCTTCTATAACCTCAATGTTGATGGGTGAACCCAGTGACTGTAAGTGGTAGTATGGTCAAGGTAGCATTTCTCCAACTGTAATCTATGGAACCCTTTGGCATGAGGTGTCCACACATTTATGCCTGGGGGTGGCCATAGTCTGAATGTTGGTGTTTCCCCAAAATTCTTATGATAAAACCTAATTCCCAATGTAGTGGTTTTCATGTGCGTCCGTGTGAGGAGACCACCAAACAGGCTTTGTGTGAGCAACATGGCTGTTTATTTCACCTGGGTGCAGGAGGGCTGAGTCCCAAAAGAGAGTCAGAGAAGGGAGATAGGGGTGGGGCCATTTTATAGGATTTGGGAAGGTAATGGAAAATTACAGTCAAAGGGGGTTGTTCTCTCGTGGGCAGGAGTGGATCTCACAAAGTACATTCTCAAGGCTGGGGAGAATTACAAAGAACCTTCTTAAGGGTGGGGGAGATTATAAAGTACATTGATCAGTTAGGGTGGGGCAGGAACAAATCACAATGGTGGAATGTCATCAGTTAAGGCTGTTTTTACTTCTTTTGTGGATCTTCAGTTACTTCAGGCCATCTGGATGTATACGTGCAAGTCACAGGGGATGCGATGGCCTGGCCTGGGCTCAGAGGCCTGACAGTGGTATTAAGAGGTGAGACCTTTGGGAGATGATAAAATGCTTGGATGTTTGGGAGGAGTCTGCCCTTATTAATGGGATTAGTGCTCTTATGAAAGATGCTGGAGGGAGCTTGTTCACCCCTTCTGCCACGTTAAGACACAGCTAGAAGGCGCCATCGATGAAGAACAAAACCTCACTAGACACTGAATCTGCAGGCACCTTGATCGTGGATTTCCCAACCTCAATTGTGAGCAATAAATTGCTGTTGTTTATAAGTTACCCAGTCTGTGGTAATTTGTTATAGCAGCCCAAACTAAGACAGATTTTATAAGTTTTACAGGTTTGCAGGCTAACAAGTTTTTAAGTTTGAGAAACACTTAAAAGGATGAAAGACCTTCCCTTTTTGTGTATTCTTTAACTCCCATGGTACTTCTTAACCTCAGTAAAGTATTGCCATGCAGTAGGTGCCAAATAGACTGTTACAGAAAGAAAAGAATGGGGGAGAAGAGGAGGGATGGATTTTACTTTCTAAATCAATGGCTTTCAAATCTGACTGAGCTTTCAAAGCTCTGGAGGCTTAAAAGACAGGCAGATCCAAATTCTTCTAAAAGCTACTGAATCAGAAACTTCAGGGGTGGGGCCAGGAAATATTTATAAATGGAGCCCAGAGGAGTCTCTTGTGCCACCATGTTTGACAGCTACTGTGGCAAATCTGTCTGCACTGACCTCTGCCCTCCTACCTTTGCCCTGGTTGGGATCTCAAATTCTCAGGACTCCTGCATCCATCACCTGCTGGCTTCCCCTGGTCCTTTCTCCAAGATCCACCCTCCACATCAGCCATCTGACCAACCTATTGAAACAAGAGGGTTCCCTGACCCCCCTTGCAGGACACACAACAGGGGTGTGACTCATCCGTTCAGCCACTGTGCACATTCAAACCCCTTACGGGAGGGGGAGCTCACAGACAGGCAGGTGCAGGAGCTCGGGCTAGCACTTTTGGGCTCTGGCCCCACAGCAGCATCCAGGGGTGGGTGTCTGCAACTCCCAAAACCTCAGTGGGCATGCTACAGTGCTCTTTTAGCTCTGCCATCTGCAGACGGCTTAAGTGTTAACCAATTCAGTGTCCTCTTAGTACCTGGGTTCTTGTCCAGTGTCCAGGAAGAATCAGTTCACACATGGACTTGAAGGATGGTAAATGTGGGGGTCTTATTGTATGGTGGAGGTGGCTCTCAGCAGGTTGGATGGGGAGGTGGAAAGGGGATGGAGTGGGAAGATGACCTTCCCCTGGATTTTGGTCATCCAGCAGCCGGTTTCCTCTCTGAACATCCCCAGCTGAACTCCTCTTGATGTTTGGATGCTCCTTCTCTTCTCTCCTCTGCCATGCCATTCTGTTACTCTTCTTCTCTTCTGTTTGTCTGCTTGTGGAGCCCGGGGTTTGGGTTTTATATGGGTACAGGATAGGGGAGTGTGGTGAGCCAAAAGGCCACATTTGGGCATGAAAAGAGGAATGCCTGTTCCCATTTAGGGCTGTGGGTTTCCAGGCTTGAGGGTGGGGGTTTTGCCAGGGAACCCTCTTCTACCCAGTATTTCCCTGACTCCTATCCGTATCACTATGAAACACACAGACAACTTTCACGAACCATACAGCTCTTTAATCCAGCATTTGGGTACCCCTGGACTCCTCATGACCTCTTTAGCTTGCTTTCTGATCATCTGCTTTTTCCACCTCTATGTTCTGGCAGCACCAAACTGCTTATTGGCAGCCCCTTCCAGAAGCTCCTCTTTACCTTTGTACTTCTTTGCACATTGATAACGCTGATTTGCCTTCAAGGCCTCCCTCTCTCATCCACTGGCTGTTTGCTGGGATAATGTCTGCTTGCCTCAATCATCTCAGTCATTACCTCTCTTTTACCCCAGCTTTATTGAAGTGTACTTGACAAATAAAAATTGTATCTGTTTAGGGTGTGCAACATATGTATACGTTGTGAAGTGATTACCACAATCAATCTAATTAACATATCCATCTCCTCACATAGTTATGATGTTGTTCATGGTGAGAGGACTTAAAATAAGCTCTCTTAGCAAATTTCAAGTATAGAATACAATATTATCAACTATGGTCACCATGCTGTAGATTAGATCCCCAGAACTTATTCATCTTGCATAACTGAACCTTTGCATCCATTGACCAAGATCTCCCCATTTTCTTCACCCCCTAGTTTGGAGGACATTATGATGAGTGAAATAAGCCAGGTATGGAAAGACAAATATTGCATGATTTCACTTACATTTGGAACTTAAAAATTCAAACTTATAAGTCACCGAGTAGAATGGGCATTACCTCTTTTCAAAGAGACTTCATCTCACCTCCTCTAACTGGTTTATGCACCCCCCTCATGTAACATTCTGGAGTATTTTTGTCATTGCAATGACTGCATTGCGTTATAGTAATCTTTGTGTGGGTTTGCTTGTGTGCATCTCACGCTCCAGGCAAGGATTTTGTCTTGTTCATCAATGTTTCCCAGACATCTAGAAGAGTACCTAGCAGAGAGTGGATGCATACTGGATGTTTGAGTAATACAGAACCCATATTACTCATAATACGTAACTCACAAAGAAAGAATTGGCCTTTCTTCCCCCTCAACCTGTCCTATTTTAGCTGAGCAGTAAATTCCGTAATGTCAAAGAAATATAGAAAACAAAAAGCATTTCTTGTTTTCTTTTTCCATACACTTTTGTCAGCCGTGTCTATTTGCTTAAATCCATCTTTTTCCACGCATACGTCAGAGAGAGGCAACTCTCTTTAACAGGATTCTTACTGGAACCATCTCCCTACATAATACCTTAAAGGCATCCTAGATTCCCTCTTGCGTTCTTGTCTTGGGAAGAAAGATGTTGCTAAGGACTGTTTTATATTTGTGTTCTCATCTGACAAAAAGATGTGCCATGGCTGCTATGGCAAAGTCTGTTTCACAGTGCCCAGGAGCACTGCAATTTGCTGTAATTTCACTGCACTTGGTGTGGTCTGGGGGCTGCTGCATCCATCCTCATAGACAGTGACTTCCAATTACACCAGCTAATTGTACCAAACTTGAGCTGCTTGTGTAAATGAGTAAATCATTCCCAAATTAGGCACAGGGAAGCTCATTTTGCTTGCTGTTTAAGGCTTTTGAGGCACAGCGAGCCCCCTCAGACAAGTATCCCTCAGTTTGAGAGTGGGAGGCAGGTGGAAGGTGTTTACTACCAGCTCTGGTGTTCTCTGCCCAAGGCTCTGGAATCCACTGGTAGGAAACTTACAGCCTGACCCATATGGGTCCTAGGATAACAATGCCCTTGGAGTAACCTTGAAAGCTGCAATCTGGGCTTTAAGTTTCTGTCAGTAAATTGGGAGTATTTTTTGCACAGAGAAAGTGCACCTGTGACATTGGATTTCAGCTGGGGACAAAAAGGTTTTGTTTTTTGAGGTTTGGAAAACTTGAGTGTCCAAAGTCATGACAAGAACAAAAATGTTTTAAGGGCCAAAAAATAAAAAATAAAAAACCTAAATGCTTTAAGGTTGGTCCCATCAGCATCTCAAGAGCATTTGGTTCTTTTAGCAGATGCCAAATAAATAGAGATTTACTGGGGGCTAAGTCACAGTTTAGCACAAGCTTTAAATTTGTTTTAAAAAGTTAGTTGTTTATATTTATAAAATGTAGTAACAGAAAACAAATTATCAGTTACTCAGAATCTTACTTTTGTTTCATTTTTTTCTCCTAGTACCTGTCTATATACATATGAAATTTTTCTGTAATTATTGCATCTTTATTATTTTAAATGCTTTTTCCTCATGTAAAATGATACATAGTTACATTGTTAGCATTTTAATGGCCACATTCTGTCCCATCAAGTGACACTATCATGATTTATTTAACTACCTTATGTGACATTCACATAGCCTCTAACATTTATCCATTATGGAAAATCATAGAGGTTTCCATGAACATTTTTATGAACTTGCTTTTTCCTGTCTTGTTAAATTATTTCCTTCAAATAAGTTTCCAGAATTATGATTGTGATGTCAACAGCACAACCCCCTGATGTTTTTCTGGGTTTATGCTTCCCCTAGAGTGGTGCATTGCATCAACCCAAGCTCTGATCAAAGGGGCTGGAAATAAAGAGGCTTCAGCTGGAAGAAGGCTGAGACCAGTGAGGGGCCTGGGCACAGGATGAGGCCACAGGCTGAGAGAGTTGGGGCCAGACTGAGGGTGTATTAGAAGGGTTGTGGGCAAAGAATCACATAAAAAAGGGAAATGCAGTCTAACTGTGCCACTAACCCTGGGTGACGTGTCATTCCCTGGGGCCTGATACCTAGCCTATAAGCAGGGAGACTAACAAGGACTCTGTGAAGTTTGCCACATGGTGGAAAGGGATACTATGCAAAAGTCCCTGGCAGAGAAATTGACTCATTTCTGATTCTTTTATTAGTCTTTCTCTTCCTTTTTTTTTTTTTTTTTTTTTTTACTTTTAAGGTCAGGGGTACAAGTGAAGGTTTTCATGGGAGCTAATTGTGTAGATTATTTCATCCCCCAGGTATTCAGCCTAGTACCCATTAATTATTTTTCCTGATCCTCTCCCTCCTCCCACCTTCCACCCTCTGAAAGGCCCCAGTGTGTGTTGTGTCCCTCTATGTGTCCCTGTGTTTTCATCGTTTAGCTCCCACTTATAAGTGAGAACATGTGGTATTTGGTTTTCTGTTTCTGTGTTAGCTTGCTAAGGATAATGGCCTCCACCGCCATCTGTGTTCCTACAAAGAACATGATCTCATTCCTTTTTATGGCTGCATTGTATTCCATGGTGTATATGTATCACATTTTCTTTATCCAGCCTATCATTGATGGGCATTTAGGTTGATTCTGTTGGCTATTGTGAATAGTGCTACAATGAACATCTACATGCGTGTGTCTTTATAATAGAATGTTTTATATTGCTTTGGGTATATACCCAGTAATGGGATTGCTGGGTCGAATGGTATTTCTGTCTTTAGGTCTTTGAAGAATCACCACACTGCCTTCCACAATGGCTGAATTAACTTACACTGCCACCAGCAGTATATAAGTGTTCCTTTTTCTCCACATCCTCGCTAGCATCTGTTTATTTTTTGACTTTTTAGTAGTAACCATTCTGACTGGTGTCAGATGGTATCTCATGGTGGTTTTGATTTGCATTTCTCTAACGATCAGTGATGTTGAGCATGTTTTCATGTTTGTTTGCCGCCTGTTGTCTTCTTTTGAAAAGTGTCTGCTCATATTTTTTGCCCACTTTTGTATGGGTTTTTTTTCTCTTGTAAATTTGCTTCAGTTTCTTATAGATGCTGGATATTAGACCTTTGTCAGATGCATAGTTTGAAAAAGTTTTCTCCCATTCTGTAGGTTGTCTTTTTAGTCTGTTGATAGTTTATTTTGCAGTGTAGAAGCTCTTTAGTTTAATTAAATTCCATTTGTCAAGTTTTGCTTTTGTTGCAATTGCTTTTGGCATCTTCATAATGAAATTTTGGCCCATGCCTATGTCCTGAATGGTATTGGTTAGGTCGTCATCCAGATTTTTTATAGTTTTGGATTTTACATTTAAGTCTGTAATCCATCTTGAGTTGATTTTTGTATATGGTGTAAGGAAAAGGTTTAGTTTCAGTCTTCTGCATATGGCTAGTCAGTTATCCCAGCACCATTTATTGAATAGGGAATCCTTTTCACATTGCTTGGTTTTTGTCAGGTTTGTTGAAGATCATGTAGTTGTAGGTGTGTGGTCTTATATCTGGGTTCTCTATTCTGTTCCATTGGTCTCTGTGTCTGTTTTTGTACCAGTACCATGCTGTTTTGGTTACTATAGCCCTGTGGTATAGTTTGAAGTTGGATAGTGCAATGCCTCCAGCTTTGTTCTTTTTGCTGGATTGTGTTGGCTATTCAGGGTTTTTAGTGGTTCCATATAAATTTTAAAATATTCTTCTCTAGTTTCTTGAGGAATGTCAATGGCCTTTTAATAGGGATAGCATTGAACCTATAAATTGCTTTGGGTAGTATGGCAATTTTAATGATATTGACTCGTCTTATCCATGAGCACTGTCTGCTCTCCTCCCCCAAACACACACACACACCCTGTCAGCCCATCACCCTCATGTGCTACCTCCACATGTCCCTGAAATCCCACAACTCTGTCTTCACTCCTACCACCTTAGTCGTGACTGTCAACGTCTCCTGGTTTCTTGTCCTGACTGTGATAATCTCCTGCCTGTTGTCCCTTTCTCCACACTTTTCCCAAATAAGGTCACATTCACAGATTCCAGATAGATGTATCTTTTGGAGACCGCCACCCAACCTGCTGCACTTGGCAACTCCTTTAAAAAAGTGTGTGTGTGTGTGCATGCGTGTGTGTGTGTGCGTGCGTGCGTGTGTGTGTATGTTAGGGGGTCAGGAACTTGCTGGAAACACCACATGTCATTACGTTGAGAAGAGAAGTGCAGACTGCATCTAATTTTTCAGAAAGATGGGAGGTAATCAGACTTTACTTTTTGAGGGTTTATATGGGATCTACCTGATTCCAAGGAGAATTAAAAGATAAAGAAGAAGCAGTTCTGGATCAACCAAGAACAGACACCTGGGCTAATATGATTCACCTCTGGGTGAGCTATGCATGACTTAGGGCAAGGTTGGAGCTTTTAAACTCAAAAGAGGCAGTGGTGAAATCCCCTGTCACCAATCCTAATCCTTTCCTAAGGTTCAGAAGTGCACTCTGGGTTGCTTCAACTACTGACAGGGGCTTCTTCCATAGCTGCCTCACTTATCCGCAGCAATTCCCAAACCCCACTACAGTGTTCTCTGCAACACCCCCAAATGTTGTGAGGTCTTGGCGGGGGTTGGTCCTAGACCCATGTTGGTAGGGGTTGGTTTCAGAATTGCTTAACTACTAACAATTTATTGGGCTCTTCACACTCTGGGGACAGACGAAGACAGACCAGAATCCCCCTCAAAAGGTGGGGGCTGTGAGGACTACATCAGTGGCTCAGACATCAGTAACCAAGTGAGTATGTGCTGGACAGCAAGGTGAGTTGAATCCCTTGTGAGACCAGCGTAATGAGGAAAGAGGAAGAGAACATAACACAACATCAACAGTGATTAGCCTGGCGTAAGGAGAAGGGAGGCAAATTATTTTCCCTTTATGATTTGTTTGTTTTTTCTCTCTCTCTCTCCGGGTTTTCTAACAAGCATGCATTTTGTTTGCAATCAGAGCAAAGAAGCATTTGTGTGGGGTTGAGGAAGTGGTGCACGGCCAGAATAAGCACCGGAGCTCAGACATTTATCTGAGTCAAAACGAGTTCAGCATTCCTTTTTCATGATAACCCCAAACTCAGAGATTATAGGCATTGGACAGTCGTATTCAGGCCCTCAGATAAATGTGTTTACATAATGGTTCACTTTTTCTCATTGAAATTGTGCCTGTTGGTAACCAAGTCACCTGTCATAACTGATGACAGACAGACATAGCAACCCGATATGATTTTCCCAGGGCTGCCATAGGAAAGCATCACAAACCAGGTGGCTTTAGACAGCAGACATTCATTCTCTCACAGTCTCAGAGGCTGGAATTCAGAAATCAAAATCGAGGTGTCAGCAGGTCCCCACCCCCTCCGAAGGCTGTTGGGGAAAACCTGTGCCGTGGCTTTTTCACAGCTTCTGCTGTTATGAGCAATCCTTGGCATCCTGGGCTTGTGGCTGCATTGCTCCAGTCTCGCTTCTGTCTCCACGTGGCGTTCTCGCTAGGTGTGCGTCTCTTCAGTGTCTCTCCTCTGCTCTTTATAAGGACACCAGTCATATTGGTCTAGGGCCCACCCTAATGACCTCATCTTAACTTGATTATAGATGCAAAAACCTTATTTTCAAATAAGGTCACTTCACAGGTACAGAAGGTCTTCAGGTGATCCTCTACTGTCAGGACAGAAATTATAGGAGGAAGTAACCAGAACCAGGGAGGTAGGGAAGGGGCTGGAGGAGAGGAAATCCTAGGAGAGGGAGAAGAAAAGAGGGCATGAGGGGGATAAAAGGAGTACTCAAAGCTGCCTTACCCCAGCCTCAAGTTCCAGCATCCACAGTGCTTAACATCTAAACCACATGCCAGAAAGTACTATTGCCTGGAGGGGAGTCTTAGAGTTGTGAGGCAAAGTTCTAAGAAAAGGAGGTGGTTCAAAGCAGAGACATGCTAAAATAGAGGAAGCCATCTGTTCATGTTTCCCCCAAAATCTAACCTTCCCCTGCTGCCCTGGTACTGTAGGCACCTTGAAGCTCCTCCCTCTTCACTCTTTGCTAAAGCAATGAACCCCTCTTTCCCTCATGCTCGTGCAAATTGTGTGCATGTGCAACTGAGCTTGAACTTTATTCCAGCCCTGGTGAGCCAGGCTCAACCTCTGTCTTGGCCACATATTGGGTGGGATGGACCTATGTGTACAGTTGGAACACTGACACTGAAAGTCAGGGGCCTCATGCATCAGAGGGACACACAAAAGTCGTCACAGAGAAAACCAGGCTCATTGTAGCTGTTACAGTGTCTCACTATTGGCAGCACCCTGTGGGGGGAAATCAACCCATTCATTCATTTGCTAGTTCATTTGTTCAGTGTTTCTTCAACACTCATTATATGCTGGGAACTGTTCTATGCAGTTGGGATACGCTGATGGACCAAACAGACAAATCTCTCTCCTCTGGGAGCTGATGTTTTACTTATAGTGGGAGGCAGCTTGTATGAAATTTGGGAAGTCTTTCTCAAAGGCAAGAGGAGATAGGAGATTCATCTTTAATAGCTTCCTCCTCCGCCGGGGGAGGGTGTCCTACAGCCAGGACAGCCTCTCCTGTGGTCAAGACTGGGGTATGTGCTGCAGCAGGGATTTCCCATAACATGACCCGGCCCCTATGGTCCTGGCTGAATACCCTACCCCTCTCCAGATCTGAGCGGCAGTACATACCTGAGAGCCTGGGAACCCATCTTTGTGTCCAGGTAATTTGCGTCTCTCTGTTCTGCTCTGATTTGGACATTGATTTTGAGTGCAAGCTATTGGTCATCTTCCTATTGTCTTTCACATATCAGCCATAAACCACACATTTAATGATTATTGGCTAGATTAAATTTTTTTCCATGTAGTTGTTAACTATTTATGTGTTATTTCTGAAACATTGTTTTCTAACTCATGGTCCTTGCTGTGGAGGCAGAGACCTAAGTAAGGCTGATAATGTGGTCAGTTTTGGAGCCCTGAGCCAGAGTCTAAGCTAGACTCATCATTCTCAGTTCTGTCATTTTAGACTGGCACCTTTTAGTAGAAACATTATGTGAGTCACATATGTAATTTAAAATTTTCTATTAGCTGCATTTAATTAAAAAACAGGTAAAATTATTTTAATAATGTATAGTTTTAGTAATATGTAATCCAAAATTGTATCATTTGACCATGTAATTTAATATAAAAATATGAACAAGATATTTTATACTTTTTATACTAAGATTTGAAATACAGCGTGCATTTTCCACTTACAGCATGTTTCAGTCCAGACAAATCATACTTCAATTGCTCACTTGACAAATTTCAGTTTCCTTATTTGCGTAATGAGGGGATACAAATACCTGTTGAATGTCACTCTGAGGATAAAATGAGCTTATGTGTGAGAACTTCTGGAACATTGTAGGGGATCAAAAAATGTCGAGCAGCCTGGGAAACATATAGAGACCCTTTCTCTACAAAAACTTTTAAAACATTAGCTGGGTGCAGTGGCTCATGCCTGTCATCTCAACTCCTCAGGAGGCTGAGGTGGGAAGATCACTTGAGCCCAGGAGTTTGAGGTTACAATGAGCTATGATCATGACACTGTACTCCAGCCTGGGTGAGAGAGTGAGACTTTGACTCTAAAAAATGAATAAATAAATAGACAAATAAATGTCAAGCCTTCCTCATCTTCATATTATTCATTCATCTTGGGCATGCTAGATACAGTAAATGTTTGCTTCAAAGTATGAATGAAGTTTTAAAACAGATATTAGCTTGTCCATTTTTTTTTATTTCATTATTTTTCTCTAACTGTTATTTTCCTTTTATTTTCTCCCTAAAAATTCCAGGGAGATTACTCTCCTGGAGGATTGAATTTTGTCTCCCCCAGCAAAATATATATTTAAGTTCTAACTTAAAAGAGGAGAAGGAATATAGGGGTAGCCTCTTTTTGTGTTTGCAGGGAAACAACGAAACAAGGCATGTTCAGGAAATAGGGAGGAATCTCCATGAAGAACAACATATATATAGGGTTGGGGGAAGAGAATGGCAGGAGGCTGCTTGGGTAAAATCCAAGAAAGCCAGGTCATAGGAAGGGCTGAGGTGCGGGGTTATTTTGTCTGCCATTGTATCTTATCCAGTGTTTGCATTTACCTGGAATCTGCCAAGAGGAATTTCAGCTTCATTCAAAAATGAATTTGAATCATTACTCAAAAATCCAAGACTTCATACTGTAAATGGAGGTGCCCAGTTCTCTATTAGGACAAAGTTTGATAGAGCTTCTGTACAGGGCCCTTTACTTGGAGATGATAGGGCATCCTTTCTCCCTCTCCAGCTTCTATGCACCCTGTGAGAAACTGTAGGCTTTGGTGCCTTTTTTGTTTCCATTTTTACTATAGCACAAACACCATTATAATAGCATTTCTAAGACTCTAAATGGAAGAAGAAACACCCACAGTCCCACAGCCCAACATATCCACCTGTTTTAAGTCCTTGTCCACATCTAGGAAGAATTTTGTCCTGGTTGTTATTATATTGTAGATACAATCTGATAACATACTTTCTTCCACTTAGCGTTATGTCAAAGACCTTATTTTTTCCACATTGCTTGTCTTAATCATTATCTTATTCAGTCACTATGTAATATTTTATCAAGTTGATGGACCCTAATTTACTTACCCAATCCCCTATTATTGGACACTGTTACTCTAATACAGATAACACCTTTATCTCTTTAACCAGGAGATCAAAAGCTGACAAAGCAGATACAGCCAGAGTCAGCCATGAATTATGCATAGGGCCAGGTTGCAAACAATTTCTTCTATTTAACTTAGGGGCAGCAAATAGAAGGCCAGTCGGTCCTTGGAGGTAGGGAGAAACTGAACTGTGAGGTGAACGAGTGGATTTTCAAAGATAAATACTGGGGTTTGATGATGTTGGGAAGTACAGTTTTTTCCTGTGGCGGCTGTAACACATTATCACAAACCCTATGGCTTCAAACAGCAGAGATTTATTCTCTTACAATTCTGGAGGTCAGAGGTCTAAAACCAAGGTGTTTGCGGGCTTGATTTCTTCTGCAGGCTCAGAAGGATAATTTGTTCCATGCCTTTCTTCTAGCTTCTGGTAACTGCAGTGACCCTTGGCTTCCCTTGTGTCATTGACACATCACCCCAGTCTCTGCCTCAGTCTTCACATGGCCTTCTCCTCTGTGTGTCTTTCCTCTTCTCCATTTATAAGGACACTTGTCATTGGATTTAAGGCCCACCCTACTCCAGGATGATCTCATCTTGAAATCCTTAACTTAATTACATCAGCAAAGAGCCTATTTCCAAATAAGATCACAATTCCAGGTTCTGAGCAGATGTATCTTTTAGGAGTCACCATTCAACCCACTACAGGAAGAGAAAGCATTTAGATTTATGAACACAGTTCTACATTGCAAGTTTGTGCTATATACATGTTGCATTCTAACCTCTTTACTCAACAAGATAACATTGTCTTTTTGTATCAATATATAGAGGTCTCTTATGTTCATTTTTCTTAGTCATGTGGATCAATAATGTTTCACCCCTATAAATAATGATGGAGATGACCATCCTCATACAGCATCACTCCCATGTACACACTTTGTCCAAGATAGCTAACTAGTTGTGCTAACAACTTCTTTCCTCTACAAACTTAAAATAAGAATTTCATATATGTATGCAGGTATGTATGCTAGCATGTATTGACTATTTCCTAAATGCCAAGTCCTATGCTAGCATTTTTATAGATTATTTCATGTAATTATATCAAAACCATCTGAGGTCATTACTATTATTATAATACTATTCTTCCCCACTACCATGCAGGAGAACAATGTTTTCCAGAAAGGCAGAGCAACTGGGCTAGACATGGTGGCTCACACCTATAATCCCAGCACTTTGGGAGGTCAAGGCAGGACTGTCGCTTGAGGCTGGAAGTTCAAAAGCAGCCTGGGCAGTGTAGTGAAACCCCGTATCTACAAAAAACAAACAAACAAACAAACAAACAAAAAAGACAAAAAGCCCAGCTGAGCTTGGTGGCACATGCCTGTAGTCTTAGCTGATTTGGAAGGCTGAGGCAAGAGGATCACTTGAGCCCAGGAGCTCAAGGTTACAGTGAGCCATAATTACACCACTGCACTCCACCCTGAGCAACAGAGCAAGACCCTTCTCTAAAATCAGTGACTAAATGAATAAAAGTAAGCAACTTGCCTATGGTCCCATAGCAAGAAGAGGCAAAACTGGGATTTGAACCTAATGCCCAACCATTGCCCTAGGCTCTACTGCTGCCTTTTACTTACATGTTCCTTCAGTTCTATTTCTGGACTCTATTCTGTAGTATTTTCCGTTGGGCTGTTCTGCACGATTACCATACAGTTTCACCTTCTGTACTTTTCCAATACATTACCAATATTTGATAGATCTATCTCCCGCTATCTTTTTCAAACACTTTCTGGATATTCTCACACACTTATTTTTCCAGATAAGTGGGAGAGAACTGTAAGTTGCAATAGAAATCCTACTGGATTTATATTCTATCTGCATTGAATTTATAGATTAATTTAGGAAGAATTGATACCTTTACAATATTGAATTTATTCTGACTTCATAAAATCTTTCATATTTCTGAGTAGAATTTCATAGCTTTATTCACATAGGTACTTCAGATTTCTAGTTTCACTTGCTCCTAGATTATTTTTTCTGATGACTTTTATGTATAGGATTCTTCTTGCATTACATTTTTGAACTGATCATTACTTCCTTTGCATTTTCTGTTTATTGTACATTGTGAAGCTACTGGCTTTTCATGTTAATTTTATAACCAGCTCCCTTAGTAAGATCTTCTATTTATTTTCTAATAGTTTTTCAGCTGATTCACCAAGGCTGACCTGCAAATAATAACTGTTTTTACCTCCTTTTTAAAAACAGGCATACCTTTTATTTCAGTCTCTTGTTTAATTGCTTTGGCACTTATATCTGGAATAGAGGACATCCTTGTTTTGTTCTGAATCTAATAGAAATGCTTGGATTATTTCAACATTAAACAGAAAGCAAAATTTGGATATGAGATACTTTTCTCTTTTGTCATTTTAAAAAGTAGCTGTTTGTTTCCATTTTACCAAGCCTTTTATCATAGATAGAGATTGAATTTCTTAAAACCCTTGTCAATATCTACTGATATTCATCCATCAAGTATTGGTTGAGTAGTGCTAGGCATTCTGTAGACAGTAAACAAAGTCTTGGCCGGGCACAGTGGCTCATACCTGTAATCCTAGCACTTTGGGAAGCGGAGGCGGGCTGATCACCTGAGGTTAGGAGTTTAAGACCAGCCTGGCCAACAAGGCAAAACTCCGTCTATACTAAAAATACAAAAATTAGCCGGGCATGGTGGCTCCTCGGGAGGATGAGGCAAGAGAACCGCTTGAACCTGGGAGGCGGAGGTTGCGGTGAGCCAAGATTGCGCCACTGCACTCCAACCTGGGTGACAGAGCAAGACTCTGTCTCAAACAAAAAATAAAGTCTCTACTCTCGTGGAGAGTGATGGTTCTGGGCTGGTAGGAAGGTGACATATCAAAGATAGTTCAAGAAGGCTAGTTCTCTGTGGAGGTGTTCTTTGAGTGAGGTTTGAATGCCTTGTAGGGTGAGCCATGTGAGATCTTGGGAAAGGTATAAACCAGTAGGATCAGAAATGATCAGGTGATTTTCTGTTGGATCTCTTAATGTGGTAATGCATGAATGCACATTTTCTAATATTGAACCATCTTGCACAGCTGAAATAAATCTCATTTTATCATAAGATATGGTATTTTATTGAGCTGCTCAAGTAACAATATTTAATTTAAAATTTTTGCGTCCATATTCATAAGTAAGATTGGCCTGGGGGTTTTTAAGCCTACCTTTTGTTAAGTTTTGCTATGGGGGTGAGAGTAGCTTTAAAAAGGAATTCCTAAATTGTCTTTCACTTTTTATGTCCTAGTACCATTTCATGGATATAGGAATTACTTTTTTCTTAAAGGAATGAAAATACTCTTTCCTAAAACTGAATGTCCTGGTGCTTTGGGGAGAGTATAGGAGAAGCACTCAAACCACTGGGATATTCTTGATATTCTTATGTGTTTTAGTTCATTTTATGATTATTGATTTATTTAGCTTTTCCATGTGTTTTCAGTCAAATTTGTTCATTTGTGGTTTCTTGGAAATCCATCCAGGTTTTCAAATAAAATGGTGGTAGGGTTGGGCAAAAATATCGTGCCGTATCACTCTAATGTCATCTTTGTTTCTGCTTGTTTGCCCAAATAAATAATTTTGTATGTGTTTAAGTTTCAAAAAATATTATCTATAATAAAATGTACCATTTCTAGGAGGAAAATTAAATGAATTTTGATAAATGTATAGTTGTATAACCACTACCACTATTGAAATAAAAAATATTTTCATAATCCCAAAAAGTTTCCCCATGCCCCTTTAAAATTAATTCTTCCCTGTGCTCGGCCCTGAAAACCAGTGATCTGCTTTCTGTCCCTATAGTTTTTCTGTTTCTAGAATGTGATGTAAATGATATCCCACAGGATGCAGCTTTTTGAGTCTGATTTCCTTCATGAGGCATCTTGCTGTCAAGGTTTAGCCACGCTACTGCATGTATTAGTACTTTACTTCTTATTTGCTGAGTAGTATTTGATTGTATGAATATATCACAGTTCATCCATTCATGGATAGAAATCTGTGTTGTTCCCAGTTTTGTCTACTATAGGTAAAACTGTTATGAATATTTGTGTACAAGTCTTTGAATAGACATACATTTTTATTTCTCTTGGATAAATATCCAGGATTTGATTTTCTGGGTTATATGTAAAGTATAAGTTTATAAGAAGCTGCCTAACTGTTTTCCAAAGTGGTTGTACCATTTTGCACTGTATCGAAGAGTCCCAGTCATTTCATAGCCTTGTGAGGACTTCTCATTGTCTCCCTTTCCCCTGCTTTGGCCACATGAGTAGGTGAGTGTGTAAGTGATTAGAGCTCATAGTGGTTTTAATTTGGATTTCCATAATGACTGATGCTGTTGGGAATTTTTCATGTGCTTTTTGTCCTTCACATATCTTCTTTGATGACATCTTTGTTCAAACTGCTTGCCTATATTTTAAGTTGAACTGTCTTTGTACCACTGAACTTCAAAGTTCTTTGTGTATTCTGGATACAATCATTTATCACATTTGTGTGTTTTGTATATATTTCCTCCCTGTCTGTGACATCTCTTTTTATCTTTTTGACAGTGCCCTTTGAAGAGCAGGAGTTTTTAATTTCAATGAATTTCAACTAATCAACCTTTCTTTGTTTTGTACTTTATGTCATATCTCAAAGTTCTTGGCCTAACAAAGGTCACAAAATGTTTCCCCTATGTTATGTTCTGAGTTGATTATTATATATAGTGCAAGGTATGGGTCTAGGTTGATTTCTTACATATGGATATCTGTTTAAGCACTGCTTCCTAAAAGTACTATTCTTTCTCTGATACTATTTTTTTTTTTGTAGATATTTGGTAGAATTCCCCAGTGAAACTGTTTTCATATGGATTTTTCTTGGTGAAATGCGTTACCTAATTCTTGAGTGAGATTTGGTAGTTTGTGTCTTTCAAATAATTTGTTTATTTCATCTGTGCTATCAAATTTATTGGCATTAAGTGCTTCTAATATTTATTTTTCCTTTTAATATCTCAAAGATCTGTAGTAATGTTCGTCCTTGTATTCTCGATGCTAACGATTTGTGTCTTCTTTCTTTTCTTTCTCGATCAGTCTGGCTAGAGACTTGTCAGTTTTATTGATCTTTTCTTTTTTCTTTTTTTTTTTTTTTTTTTTTTTGAGACAGGGTTTAGCTCTTGTTGGCTAGGCTGTAGTGCAATGGTGCGATCTCGGCTCACTACAACCTCTGCCTCCCTGGTTCAAGTGATTCTCCTGCCTCAGCCTCCTGAGTAGCTGGGATTACAGGCGCACACCACCATGCCTGGCTAATTTTTGTATTTTCAGTAGAGACAGGGTTTCACCAAGTTGGCCAGGCTGGTCTCAAACTCTTGGCCTGGCTAATTTTCATATTTTCAGTAGAGATGGGGTTTCACCGTGTTGGCCAGGCTGGTCTTAAACTCTTGGCCTCAAGTGATCTGCCCGCCTCGGCCTCCCAAAGTGCTGGGATTACAAGCATGAGCCTCCATGCCTGGCGTTCATCTTTTCAGAGAATCAGCTTTTGATTTTACCATTTGTTTTCATTAGTTTTCTATATTCAAGTTCACTCATTTCTGTTCTTACCTTTAGTATTTCCTTCTTTCTGCTTCCTTTACATTTATTATGTACTTCTTTTTCTAGTTTCTTAATTTAGAAGCTTAAATTATGGATATGAGAACTTTTCTGTTTTCTAATATAAGTATTTTACTGCCATAAATTTACCTCTAAGTACTACTTTAGCTGTATCCCACTGCCACACATAGTTTGACATGATGCGTTTTAGTTTTCAATCAATTCAATGTGCATTAGCTTTTCTAGTGATTTACTCTTTGATCCATGGATTAAGAAGTGTTTTGTATAATTTACAAATATTGGGGAATTTTTCAGATATCTTTCTGTTATTAATTTTTAGTTTAAATCTACTATAGTCAGAAAACACATTTCCTGTTATTGAAGTTCTTTTAAATTTGTTAGGATTTGTTTCATAGTATGGTATATGGTCTATCTCGGTGAATTTGCCAGGGGCACATGAAAAGAATGTATATCTTGCTGTTGTTGAATGGAGTCTGAAATAACATCACTTAGGTCAAGTGGTTGAAGTTTTGCTCAGATTTTCTCTAATTTTAATAATTTTCCCTCTACTTGTTCTATCAATTACTGGGAGAGGAAAGTTTTCAAATATAGTTGTGGATTTTCATATTTCTCTTTCCAGTTCTCAGTTTTGTTTTATGTATTTTTGTTGGTGGTGTATTTTTGTTTCGTTTTATGTAACTGCTGTTAGGTGCATTTGTACATATTTTTATATTTCTATTTTTATTGATTTTATTAGCTGTTGGCTCATCTACATTATTATCTAGATGGAAATATGTTTGATTTCCAACAAATTCAATCTGAATATGTCTTTTAAACCTACTCCTTTGTTACTTTTCTTTTATTAATTCCTCCTTCTGAGTACCTCAGAATTTCATGGTATGCTTTTTTCACCAATATTTTTGAATTAAATGCTTTCAATAATTTATTTTCACCCTTCCTATATGTAATGAAACAATGAAATATGCAGTTTTGGCAGTATTCCCTAAGTTTTTGCATGAAACATCATAGTTACCGTTGTTTTTCAAAATTTCTGGAACAAACCGAGATTTTGACTTCTTTGAATCAAATTTTTATTATATATTTAAAATTTTCCTTTTTTTCCAAGTGGTTTGGGTTGTTTGTTTGTTCTTACTTTCATGATTTCTTTTTAAATTTACTGAGTTGTACTCAGAGACTGCAGTCTGCTCCATTTCTAGAATTAAACAAGTTTTCTTTTAAGCCAAGTAGATAGTATGACAGCAGCTATAGACATTAAGTAACAAAAATGTGTTGCTATATTCTAACAAAACTTTACAAAGATAGAGCAAAGGTTGAATTTGGCCCATGGCCATGCCAAACTCTTTCCTGAAGGGACCAACCAAACTCTAATTTGCATCATCTTAGTTCCGTTATATTTCCTTTAACATTCTTCTAAAACTACATCAGAAACAAAATAGAGACACAATTTATTTCAGACTGCTCCACCTTTCAAATATTTTGCCTTCCAGCAACCTATTGGCACTTTTATAATGCAAGACATTGTTGATATATCAGTTTGTATAAATAATACTTTTTTTTTTTTTTTTTTTTTTTTTTTTTTTTTTTTTGCGACAGAGTCTCGTTCTGTTGCCCAGGCTGGAGTACAGTGGCACGATCTCGGCTCACTGCAACTTCCACCTCCCGGGTTCAAGCAATTATTCTGCCTCAGCCTCCTGAGTAGCTGGGACTACAGGCGCGAGACACCATGCCCGGCTAATTTTTTGTATTTTTAGTAGAGACAGGGTTTCACTGTATTGGCCAGGCTGGTCTCGAACTCCTGACCTCATGATCCACCCGCCTCAGCCTCCCAAAGTTCTGGGATTACAGGCATGAGCCACTGTGCCTGGCTACAAATAATACCTTCAATTTGACATTATTTTGGATTTTGTTCTAACTTTTTTTGATTGCAATGGTATAACTATTTCAGGATAACAAGCCCACGTTTAATAGATCTATCAGTGGTAAGGTCTGAATGTGTTCCTTCAAGTTTCATATGTTGAAATTTCATCATCAGTGTGATAGTATTAGGAGGTGAGACCCCTAGGAGGTGATTAAGTCATGAGGGCAGAGCCCTCCCATGTGGGGTTAGCGTTCTTATGAGAGAGATACTGGGGAGCTATCTTCCCCTTCACCCATGTGATTACCCAATAAGAGGCACATCTTGCAAGCGCAGAGCAACCCTTATCAGACACCAATCTGCCACTGTTTATCTAGGACTTATCAGATGCCAGAACTGTGAGAAAATAAATTTCTGTTGTTTATAAATTACCCACTCTCAAGTATTTTTTTATAGCAGCAGAAGGCAGACCGAGATAGTTAGATAATCTTTTTCCTTATAATTTCATTTTTGTATTGCAAGATGGATTGGTCTGTTATCAGGTTTAATTCTCTGTTCACCCATGTATAGCCAATATATAATTTTATCCTAATAGGAAAAAAAAAAACACAGGATAGATTTCACACAAAAGGTCCAGTTTCCTATCTAAAGGTTAGTTGTTTTGAAGTGATCATTCTTCATATGCCTTGTAGATTCCCTGACTGCATGCCCTAATTTTGTTGCCAGCAGAATACTTACTTTTTCTTAATTTTATCAAGAAAACATCACCTTACATATTAATCTAATTTCTTTAAATAAGATAGACACAGACACACATACACACACACGCACGGGTTTTACTGAATTAAAATTCCATATTTGTCACTTACTATATACTCATATAAAATTGAATCTCTTCTGGTATTTCTGTTTTATTCTACTAAATTATTATTTCTGGACCAATAATATACAATTTTATTTACTTTATTGTAAGCTTAATAAAGAAACATCGTGGTTCCTCCTACTTTTACAGTTTTCTTGGTTTTCTTAGACATATACTCTTCCATATACACTTTAAAATAGTTTGGTAGTTAATTTTATGAATTAAAATTATGAAGATTCTGAGTGAAATTGTATTTCATCAACGTATTGGTTTTGGGAAGACTGACATTTATAATATTGAGTTTGCTCATTCATACATGTGGTATTTTAAAAAATTTGTTCAGGACATGTTTTTATATGTTTCAATAAAATTTATTAGTTGTTTGCATTTTAATATCTTTTTAAGTTTAGAACCATTCCCATCAAATGTATTTTTTCCTTGTCTCATATTATTTAAGTCACATTATGATTGGGAGTTTCTTCTGATTTTTTTATTATTGCTCTTGATTTTTTATGTACTTAGATAGATTCTAGCCAAATTATCAGCTCCTGGATAAATTCTAGACATTTTTTAAGTAGTCACTCAAGTTTTTTAAGTTTAGAGTCACATCATTTGTAGATAAATTCTATTTTGTCTCTTCTTTTTAAAATATTTTTCCTGAGTATCTCATTTCTTTACTAAGTGCATTGGCTTAACCACCAAAACAATGTTAAATAGAAATGGAGATGGTAAGCATACCTGTCTTGCTCATGATATTAAAGGAAATGGTTTCAGAATTTTGCCCCTTAATAAGGGGTTCACTGAAGTTTTTTTCAAAAGTCTTTATTATATTTAAGTACTGCCCATCAATTTCTGTTTTGGTTAAAGTTTTCATTAGGAATGTCTACTGGATTTTATCAAATGTATCCTGGCATATACATCAATGAAAACTTCCTCTGTGACAAATTCCAGGAAATCTTAACCCAAATTGACTCCAGTGAAAAGTGAATGCATTGGCTTTTATAACTGAAAATGCTCAGAATGAGGCTGGCTTGAGACCAGCTTGATACAAGGGTTCAAACTGTGTTATCAGGATCAGGTAACTCTTACAGACTCTTCCCCCGTGGCCCCTCAATCAGCTGCAACAACTGTAAAACTCGTAAGCATTTAGCTTCAAATCTAGTGGTAGAGGAAGAGATAGGGATTCCTAGGGCTCCCAGAAAATATTTTATTGCATCTCTCTGATTGGTACGCCCATAGTCTTACCTCTAAATCACAATCATTAAGACCAGGGAAATGTGATGTGCTGATTGGCTCAAATGTAGATCACAAGCTTCACCCCTGAGCTGGGTAGGATCTCATCCCCTCTACATCTGCTTAAAGGAGATGAGCAGGTGGATTCCCAGAGGAAAGCTTTGGTATCAGTCACCAGAAGAAGGGAAAATAGCTACTGGGTGGCACAATAACAGATGTCACTTCACTGTCTATTGATTCAACCAGATGGCTTTTCCCATTAATTTCTGTTTGTAATACATTGTCTTAATATATTTGTTGATGATGAGCCATGCTTAGAATAATCCTTGCTTAGTCATGGTTTGTACTTTGGATGCACTGATTGATTCCATTTGTTTAACATTTTCCATCTGTATTTATAGGTAAAATTTATCTCTAGTTTTATTTTTGCATTATTTGTATCCTGTTTTGGCATGAAAATTATGTTGGATATATAAAATGAATGGAAAAGCTTTATTTTTATATGGACTGAGATAATTTAAATATTATCAGAGTTATCTTTCCTTAAAGGATATATTTTTAAAATCATTTGGAAAAAAAAGGATCTAGACCTGAGGTGGTTTTTATAAAGGTATTTAAATAACTTTCTTAAACTGTTACGTGATTTTCTTCTCCTCGGTTGAATTTCATTTTATTTACTAGAAAAATTATCACTCTCGAAATTCTCAAATTTCTTATTACAGAGTTATACATAATATTTTAAAATTTAATATCTTGTCTATTTATGGTTATACCACCTTTCTCTTTTTTAATATGTTATACTCTCTTATTTTCATTTGCTTCACCAAATGTACCATGTTTTTTCAAAGGACGACCTTTGATTTTATTTAGATACATGTTTTTTCTTTATGTCATTATTATTGTTTACTTCGCTAAAAAGAAAATAATGTCATTATTTTTAGCTCTTATATTCTTCTAATTTTATTTTGTTATTTTGTTCCTTTTTTTCTAATTTGTAATGTTGAAATGCTTGGATCACATTACTCTGGATATATCCCTAGCTGCCTCCACGTGTTTTGGCATGAAATTGTCTCTTTTTCTTGATTATTTTTAAAATAGTTTATAATTTACATTTGGATCTCCTGTTTGATCTAGGGTCTGTGTATTTAAGATAAAGTTTTTCAGTTTCCAAGAAGTTAAGGCTTTCTTTTTAATTGAATTATATTATGATTAGAAATGTGGCCTGCAAGTTAGAATGGTGATCATTAAAAAGTCAGGAAACAACAGGCGCTGGAGAGGATGTGGAGAAATAGGAACACTTTTACACTGTTGGTGGGACTGTAAACTAGTTCAACCATTGTGGAAGACAGTGTGGTGATTCCTCAAGGATCTAGAACTAGAAATACCATTTGACCCAGCCATCCCATTACTGGGTATATACCCAAAGGATTATAAATCATGCTGCTATAAAAACACATGCACACATATGTTTATTGCGGCACTATTCACAATGGCAAAGACTTGGAACCAACCCAGATGTCCATCAATGATAGACTGGATTAAGAAAATGTGGCACATATACACCATGAAATATTATGTAGCCATAAAAAATGATGAGTTCCTGTCCTTTGTAGGGACATGGATGAAGCTGGAAACCATCATTCTCAGCAAACTGTCGCAAGGACAAAAAACCAAACACTGCATGTTCTCACTCATAGGTGGGAATTGAACAATGAGAACAGGTGGACCCAGGAAGGGGAACATCACACACCGGGGCCTGTTGTGGGGTGGGGAAATTGGGGAGGGAAAGCATTAGGAGATATACATAATGTAAATGACCAGTTAATGGGTGCAGCACACCAACATGGCACATGTATACATATGTAACAAACCTGCACGTTATGCACATGTACCCTAGAACTTAAAGTATAATAAAAAAAAAGAAAAAAAAAAGAAATGTGGCCTGCGAAATCACTTGTATAACAGAATGTATGATGATTTCTTTTTAGCCAAATGAACAATTTGTATATATAAATTTACATATATTTATATTTATATCTAAGGACATAAAGACTGTACATTCATAGGACTTCAAGTTCTTTTAGTGCATAATGGTGCTATATGATATGTTATATATTTGTGTGTGTGTGTATATATATATATATAATTAATTGGCCCTCTATTCACATGCTTACTTTTGTCTCATTTATCTGTCATGACAAAAAATTAATCTCACTACTGGAAAAAATAAAATCTCATACTTCAGTTGTTTTTATCCAATTTTGTTTTATATCTTTGGCTTTTGTGTTGTTTATGACTGTTACGTTTTTCAAGATGTCTATTCAATTGGGATTTTCAATTGATATTGGGAATTTCAATTGACATTTTGAAAATTATAAGACATAGCAGTCATATTTAGTTCCTTACATTTGAAATTTTCTTGTAATTTGTCAAATCCATACAATGTTAGGGTTAGGAGAATTCTTATGTGCAATGTAGACTAGCCTCTTGATTTTACTAATGGGGAAGCTGAGGCCAAGAGAGCAGAATGGCCTTGTCTAAAGTCATACAGCTTGAATTTGATGAATCTGGCCTCTTTCCACCACATCACATTCTCTAAGTGCCCTGTAGTCAAATTTTTCTATTTGATGCTGTAAGAATAGATGATCTGGCACAGGCAAAAAATGGAAATAATGACCAGAAAACCATAATTTTTGTTTAAGAATGATGGTTGAATGAATGTTGGAGGGTGTGTGGAGGTGAGATCTTTACTCAGTCATTCAAGCACCCAGGCTCTTTTTATTTGGTGTCTTCATCATCCCCTAAGGCATTCAAGTCCCCTGCAGGGTCTGGATGGCTGACCAGGGAAAGGAGAGTGATGGATTCCACACAGGATCTCATGAATCAAGCCTAGAAGTGGTATAGTAACTTCCACCTCTTTTTCATTGGTGAGAACTCAAACATATGACCACAGCTACATGCAAAGCTTTGTCCAACTGTGTGCCCAGGAGAAGAATTAGCTTTGGTGAATATCTAGCCAGTCTCAACCATATCTTGTTCTTGGGTGAACGGGTCTGAATTTGAATGTGGAAGAAGCTCAGCTGAGTCCAGGGCTTCTGTTGATCTGGAGATCAGAATGAAGTTCTGAGTTTGAAGAACTGGAGCTTTTGTTGGAAATGGGGTCAAAATCCCAGAGGGCCTAGAGGGGTGAGGAGGTAGACTCCCATAGAATGAGGAGAAAAGAGCCCAGTATTTTTCTAAGTACAAAAGGCAGCAGGATAAGCCATCGAGTAGTGAGAATAGGTCACCTGTACCAACCAGGCAGGTTTGGATAGGGCCAGATTAGAAAGTCAGAACCATCACTACTGTGAGCGAATGTGGTGGAGAAGAAGAGTGGAGGTGAGAAAGCAGAGACCCACAGGTCCAAGTCCCTGCACTTTTCTACAGGACTTTGTCTACAGATCTGGTCATTGAAGAGGGTTTTGGTCCCTGTTGCCCAAGGTATTATGATGCTTGCATTTTAAAGGGAGCAATTGAAGACTGAAAGTCTTCAAAGCAGAAAGGGATTCATTTATCCAATATTGAAATGTAACCATGAGGTCAGATTTTAAATCCCACATACTTTAAAAAGCTCATCCACACAACCTGTCACCTTGTCTTCATATGTAGGTAGTAGTAGTAACTATTTGATGCACTTGAGGAAGGTATCTGTTTATCTGTGATATGCTTAACAGTACAAGTCCAACATAGGGTTAAAAAAACACTTGTGCTCACAAAGCTAGTCATTGTGGTATCATTTATAATTGTGAAGAAAAATCTATTGGAATATGAACAAATAGAGAAATGTTTAGGTAAATGATGGTATTTGCATACCATGGAATATTAGAGTCATTAAAAATGTTGATAAGGATGTTCAATAATCAAGGATGCAAGTTTACGAAATAATATAAGCAATATATGCAAAATGCAAAAATCGTATACCTAGAATGACTGAAACTATGTAAAAATGAGTAGGAAAAAGAAAAGGGGGGAGGTAACACATGAAAGTATTAAGATTTCTTGGGTAATCAGACTAAGACTTTTTGTTTTCTTTTATGTATTATCTACATTCTCTACCGTAAGTATTGCATTGAGAATAATTAAATAATGATTGCCTTCTTAAAACTGTGCCATTTTTATATATGTCAGCTGTATATTTTAACAATTCACAGAATCAGATGTTATAGTGGTCCTTGTAATACCCACATGCTCATGCATGAACATATACAAGCACACGCATGTGTATACACACACACACACATGCACATACACATGCACACACACACACCCCCAAACCACAGTCCCCCTGAGAGAGCAAAACACAAAGCGGCATGAGTAGCAGCAGATGTTTTCACAAATCCTGCAAGTTCCTCCAGATTAAATGCCTTACAATCCACACCAAGCATTATTATCGCTTTTTCTTTGTTGGAAGCCAGACTGTTGAGTCCCCTTTCCTCTTGTGTGCCCACACCACCGCCTCCCTCTCTGTCTTGTAAATGCCGCATATTATTGGATGTGGGTCATTGGGTCAGTCTCAATGCCTTTCAGAACTGGCTCAATACTGAAGTCTTTAGCTGTCGCTGACTTTTCCTTTTTTTTTTTTTTTTTTTTTTTTTAACTGCACTATCCTCCCTGAGCAAACAGGGCATCTTTCTGAGAATGATCATATAAATTTCTTTGCATTTTTCACAAATGTGTTGGTTGCATGCTCGCCTCCAGCCTCTTGGGCCCAATTATCTGAAAATAGGCCCTCATCTGTTTTAGCACAGGCTTGGTTGGTTACAAATAACAGAAACCCACTCCACCTGGCTTAATCAAGAGGACAATTTGCTGGAAAGATATAAGGCTAACACAAATCTCAAGTCAGGGATGTTTTGGGGAACCAAAACCCACAACAGAAACTGAGGCAGTGGCTGGCTCTGAGTCTCTGTCCTTCTCTCCCCATCTCCCACACCTCTGTGCTCTCTCTGCAAACTTGCTTCATTCACTTTTCTCTATTCTCTGCTCCCCTCCTTCACCTGGCAGAATGTGCCATTGTAGACCACCTAACAGTTCTTAGCCTGATTAGAATCAGAGCGAACCAATTTCAAATTCCCACCACTAAGGGTCTGATTGTCCCAGGACAGGACAGATGTCCACCAGCTGTGACCAGTAGGGTAGAGAGAAAGCTCTGGAAAACCAAGACACCCTGCTTCCCCAGCAAAGCAGCAGTTACAAAATATTTAAGATAACATCTTACAATGTAACACTGTGGCAATCAGTTTCAACGGCTTAGGCTTGTTCCAGTGATCTGTCTTCTCCACTTGGCTGGTGATCGGGCTGGCAGTGACAGAGATGATGCCTGGGGATTTAACATCCTTTGGTTAAGCCTGTACTGGGCACATCCATTGCAACATGCCATCCTCTCTGCTAACCCCATTTCCTAAAGGAGGGGATTGGGGCTCGGAGAGAACAATGTCTAAGTTCACATTGGGTTCATCAGCTGCAGAGAAGGTGTTTGAATCCACCTCCGGCTCTCTGTTCACTTGTTCTTCAGTGCTCTATGGCTGCCTTTCGTGTGTGTGTATGTGTGTGTTTCCTGTTCTGCAAAGTGCTGATTAAAAAATAATGCTTGTATTTTCCTTACAGACATTATTACTGTAAAATAATTAGGTAGAAGCAGTTTGAAGGCTATGGAATATGATATAAATATTATTATTATCATTATTAACACTTTTTCCACTACCTAACTCCGTAACCCCTGCCAAGGTTTACGTTAAACATTGTCTTGAGTTGGCAGAACTTTCCTTGCATATTATCTTGTCAGGGAATATTCAGAAGAGATGGTGGAGAGTGAGGGAAAAGGGGGATAAATCAGTAAGCTTCGGAGACATTAAACCTGTAATGCGTTAAGATGTCCATCCCGATAGAGACTTTTTTAAATAAAGGTTTGTTTATTTATTTATTTATTTATTTATTTATTTATTACTGTTTTGACATTTTTTAGTTACTCCAAATTGAAATCTGCGTCAACCTATCTGCTTATCAAAACTGTCCCTGCTCCTGTGTTCCTGTCCTGGTTAAAAAGTAGACCCAACACCCCCAAGCCAGAAACCTAGGGGGTCCTCGGCTCCACCCTCCTCCCGAAACCCACATCTGGCCACTAAATCCTCCTTCCTTCCTTCCTTCCCAGTATAGCTTCATCTGTTAAAAACCCGATCCCTTATCCCTACTGTAGAATTACTCCCACACTGTTTCACTGTCTTTCTTTAACTCGTCCTCAAGGTTGCTACCAACTTTCCAAGATGTGCATTTGATCATGTCACACTACCTGCTCTAATTCCCTCCATAACTCCATTCTCTAAAGCCTGAGGACTTAGTGTGACCAACAAGACCTTTCCTTTCTCTTCTTTTTCCTGAACATGCAAGCGTGCTTGGTATTCCCTCAATACACCATGAGCTTCCAGTTCTCACCTTTGCAAAGACAATTCCTCTTGCAGGGATGTTCCTTCATACTCTCTCTGCCCTGCACAGTCCACCTTATCCAGCAAGATGTGGCTTCTTGGTGGTGTCTTTCCTGACCTACTCAGAGACAGATAGTTCTGTTGTCCCCTGGACTCCCCAGTTTCGCATATATCTTTGTTTGTCCTTGCTCACAAATGTAGAAGTCATTTAAATACCATCTCCTCTCTAGGCTTGAACTCCTCAAGGGAAGAAATTATAACAGACTCATCTCCCTAGGACATAGCATAGGACCTAGCAAAATATGGCTTCTTAATAAAAATTATCAAAATAGTTGAATCAACCAATCAACTGTGCTTGTCTAGGGTCATGCTTGCTATGAAAAAAAAGTCATATGGAAGTCCCATATGATTTTTTAAATGATGTCCCTGAATTAGACACTGGAATAGTTTTGCCTTAAAAATCAATGATCAGTTTTACTCCACATTGCTGTCTCTTTAGTAAAAAGAAAAAATGTAATCTGGCACGGGTAATGCCCATGGCTCCGAGTTGGGTTAAAGACAACATGAGGCATCTGAGAACCATGTCAAACACTGATGTGGGCAGTACTGATGAGTGCATTTCAAAGTGGACCAGGCTGTGTTTTCTTGTCTGCCTGGAATGAACATCTGGACTCAACTGTTAACATTCAGTCCAATTTGTTGCTAAGGCAACCAAGTTACAGGCCACCCTCAATTTACAAAAGATGATATTGCAAAAGTCATCTTATAAGTCAGATATTTGAAAGACACAATACATTCTTCCGGGTGAAAAGTGATGTAAATGGTGGCTAGAATCTAGAGAATTGTATTTAACCCACATTGTTGTAGTACTTGTGCAAGATGAGTCAGTAAATATATCTCATGTCTCCAGGTCACAGCAATAGTCTCAAAACAATTTGGCTGCTAGGAAAAAAGGAGCCTCTCTCCAGTATTCCTCAAAATGAGTCTGAGCCCTCAGGATATCCTGTGTTTAGTGCAAAGATTTCAAAACCAGGTTAAGCATCTGGATTACCTGGGAGGGATTTACCAAAAGAGTTATTAGTCCAACCCCAGGCCTATCCCATTGAAATCAGAATCCTCTGTGGGCTCTAGGAGTAAGTGTATTTTTAAAGCTCCCCATCCCAGGTGATTCTGGTGCTATTTCTGAACTGTTATTTAGACTTCTTGGTTTGCACTGCCATTTTCTCCTCCCCTGCCTTGGCACTAAGGGTGGCTTCTCATATTGCTGCCCAAGCTTAAAGCTATGGTTACATAGGTGATAAACTCTGAGGGTGCCATAGTTCCTACCGCCGAAGGATGACCTTTGTGATAGATAATCTGTTACAATGCATAAAGTGTTATAGTAATGGTTCTCAGTGAATCATACATCCCTATGCCCATGCCCATGCCCCTTTGCAATGTGACATTGCCACTCTTCTCAGCAAGAGGCGGAGCCTAAGTCTCCAGCCCCTTAAATCCACACTGACTGTGAATCTTTTTGACTAATAGAAAGTGGTAGAAGTGATGATGTGCAAGTCTAGAAATGAGGTTTTCAAACGCCTTGACTGACTAGGAATGTTTGCTCTTGCCCTCCCAGTGTCTGGGGCCACCTTTCTGTGAAGAAACTCAGTCTGGTCTCCTGGAAAATGAGAAATTAAATGAAGAGAATCAGTGTCCTAACCAACAGTCAGGACCAACTGCCAGTTGTATGAGTGAGGCCATCTTGGAACATGCAGCCTCAGCTGAGCTTAGATGACTATGGCTACTTGAATGACATCGAGCAGTTCTAGCAGAACAGCTCAGGTTGCTAACTCAGAAAACTATAAGAAATAATCAATTATTGTTGTTTTAAGCCACTAAATGTTGGAGTACCAATAGATACCTGATTCAGCCCTATGTTTTTTTAAATTAAAAAATACATAAATTTAAAATGGAAAATTATTACACATAGAGTCTCTGTGAGGAGGTAATTATTGTTATTAAAGATGACTTCCTTCCAGAATTTTAATATTCAGATCAAGACATATACAAAGAGATTTTGTTCTTGTCGATGCGCCATTTGAATTCTGATATACATGCTATTTTGTAGCCTGCATATTTCATGAAATAATACACTCATCATTTTCACATCTCAAATAATATTTTGCATCATTTAATGACGATATAGTACTCCATCTTTGAGATGTACATACTTTATTTAACCTGCTCCTGTTTTTAGATAATTTTTGGCTGTTATGCTCAATGCTGTAATGAAAATCCTTGCACATAAATCTTCCCACATGTAAATGATTATTTTGTTAATACATTATGGCTACTGCTGCTTGATATTTTTGCCAATAGAATAGAAAAAAACCCATACCATTTTAATTTATTTCATTTTATTAACCATTAGTTTAATCAGATTTGTACACATCTATTGGTTATTCCTTTTAATCTATTGTTTTATTAAGGAATGATCCTCTCATGTATGTATTTTTTTTTACAATTTTTTTTGTGGAACAGACACACATACCTTGAGGTAGTATACCACAGACAATAGATCATCAAACCAGATACTACCTCTGCTACTTTCTAGTTATTTAATACAAAGTATGTTAACTACATTTTTCAAGCCTCAGTTTCCTCAAATTTACAGTGGAGATACTAGGTGCCTATTTCTTTGAATAGTTATGATTTTGATGACATAAGAAATTGCCCAAGAAAATGACTGGTACAAAGTAAGTGTCTACTGTTAGTGGAAATTAAAATTAGTCCAGCCACTGTGGAGAGCAGTTTGGAGATTTCTCAACGAACCAAGAGTTGAACTACCATTTGACCCAGCAATCCCACTACTGGGTATATACTCAAAGGAAAATAAATCATTCTGCCAAAAAGACACCTGTGATGTATGTTCATCACAGCACTAGTCACAATAGCAAAGACCTGGAATCAACCCAGGTGCTCATTAATGGAGGATCAAATAAAGCAATGTGTTACATATACACCCTGGAATATTATGCAGACCCGAAAAAGAAATGAAATCATGTGCTTTGTCACAACATGGATGCAACTGAAAGCCGTTAACTTAAACTAACACAGAAACAGAAAATGTTCTCACTTATAAATGGGAGCTAAACATTGAGTACACATGGACATAAAGATGGGAACAAAGACACTGGGAATTTCTAGAGGGGAAGGGAGAATGGAGGGTGGTAGCAAGGGCTGAAAAACTACCTATTGGGTACTACACTCACTACCTGGGTGACAGATTCATTGGTATCCAACCCTCAGCATCACGCAGTATACCTTTGTAACAAACTGGCACATGTACCCCTGATTCCAAAATAAAAGTTGACAAAAAAATTACATATCCAGTAACTATTGGCTTTCCTAGAGATTTGTTTCACAAAAACAAAAAATTGTTTATAACCTGTGTGCATTTTAATTAACGCAATATTTTCATTTATTCACCAAACACATGAATACGCATCGTAGGTCTAGCATTTTTCCAGGCACTGAAATGACAGTGGGAAAACTGACACCATCTCACTGGAGCTTATGTTCTAGTTGAGTGCGACAGATAGTAAATGAATATATAGTAAATCAGACGGCAATAATGCTGTCAGGTAAAAAAAAGCAGGATAATGGGGACAGGGTGTACTGGCCACCTGTGTGGGAGGGACATTTTATTTTCAATGAAAGACCTGGCTTTAAAGGTGGCATTTGAACAGAGACCTGAGGGAAGGCAAATTTCTGTCTGGAGGAAGGCTGTTCCAGGCAGTGAGAACAGAAAGTGCAAAGTGACCGGGCTCAGTGGCTCACGCCTATAGTCCCAGCACTTTGGGGGGCCAAGGTGGGCAGATAACCATGAGGTCAGGAGTTCCAGCCTGGCCAACATGGTGAAACCCCGTCTCTACTAAAAATGCAAAAATTAGCTGAGCATGGTGTTGGGTGCCTGTAATCCCAGCTACTCAGGAGGCTGAGGCAGGAGAATCACTTGAACCCGGGAGGCAGAGGTTGCAGTGAGCTGGGATCACACCACTGCACTATAGCCTAAGCAACAGAGCAAGACTGCGTCTCAAACAAAAAAGAAAGTGCAAAGGGCCTCACGGGAGAGACTGGTTAGCGTGTTCCAAGCCAGTGTGGTTGGAATAGAGTGAGTAAGGGAAAGAGTGGAAGAAACTAATTTGGCTTTTTGTTTAAATGGATCATGTTGTCTGCTCTGCTGACAACAAGCTAAAGGAAGGCAAGGATAGAAGTAGAGAGGCTGCTGAGCAGGCATTTTAATAATGCAGGTGAGAGATGGTGGAGGCTCAGACCAAAGTAGGAGGGAGTGATGAGAAGTAGTAGAATTCTAGATGTAGTTTTAAGATAAAGCCAATGGAATTTGGTAGCAAAGTAGGTTTGGGATGTGAAAGAAAGAGAGGAATCAAAAATGACCCCAGGTATTTTAGACTGAGCAAATGGAAGGATGGAGTTGCTATTAACTGAGATAGGAAAGACACTGGAATGAGCAGGTTTCAGAGAAAGATTGGGATTTAGGTTTGGCATCTGTTAAGTTTCAGATGGATTCCTGTTGGATATTTTGGGTGAGATATCAAGTAGACAGATATGCCAGTCTGGAGTTCAGGGGAGAAGTAGAGGACGGAGATGTTAGCAGGGGAGTCAGCCTATGCACGAGCTTTGCAGACGTAAAGCTGGAGGAGGTGAAAGGGTCTCAGTGTAGGTAGAATAGGGAGATTCTAGTGCTAAGCTTTGGGACCCTTGGATTTTTAAGGTGGAAAATTTGAGGCAGAATCATCAAATGAGACAGAAGTATCAGCCAATGAAGTAAGAAGAAAAATGAGGGCAGGGTCCAGGAAGCCAAGTAATAAAAAAAGAACAAAAGGAGAAGGTGATCCACTGTGTCAAATGCTGTTGGTAGTTCAGGTAAAATAAGGACTGAGAATTGACCATTAGATGCAGCAACAGAGAGGTCATTGGTGAGTTAACATTAGCAATTTATAAAGAATTGTGGGTACTGAAATCTGATTACACAGGCCCAAGGGAGAGCAGCAGGAGAGGAATTGTATAGAAAGATACAAAGAAGGCAGAGACAGGAGACAGTACCTGAAGATGTTCTCTGATCAAAAGGTGGGGAGTTGTTGGTATTTTATAAAATTTGAGAAATATTAGAACTAAAGGGAAATGATCCAATGGAAAGGGAAAAAGCCCCAAAGAGGATGGACACTGCTCTTGGGATGACGTTTGGTAAATGAGAGCACAGGGGGTCTCACTCACACATAGAAGAGTTGGTCTTAGATGCGGCATAGGTCCTTCTGCTGTAGAAAAAGGAGGGAAGACAGAATGTATGGGGATGGGTCAGTTAAGCTGACATGTGCCGTGTTCTCACCATGGAACTTCCATTTTCTCTATGAAACAGGAAGCAGGGTTATCAGCTAAGAGTGAGGAGAGCGTGGAGGTGTTGGAGGTTTGAAGAGACTCCATAAAGTAGGAAACAGTGTGGGAGTCTGAAAATGAGACTGAAATGGGGAAATGTAAAGGATCACCAGGAAATACCAAGGGAGCACTTGAGGTTAGCAGACAGGAGTTACAACGAGACCAGTTAGCATGGGTCACTGCTTTCCTCACACTTGTCCAGCAGACTCGGAGTAGGCAGAAAATATGGGCTTCAGCAGAGTTAATACTGTGACAAATGACTTAAATGAGCAAGAGGGGCAAGAACATTTTGAACATTTCTCAATATCAATGTATATTACATTTATATCACCTTCATT
Organism: Homo sapiens; assembly: GCF_000001405.40. NCBI lineage: Eukaryota > Metazoa > Chordata > Mammalia > Primates > Hominidae > Homo > Homo sapiens. Next base: position 42,394,882 of record NC_000020.11, on the reverse strand, counting down.
TTAATGGTTTCAGAGGATTCTGTAAAATGGGCTCAATCTATTTAGCCAGCTCCCTCATCTTGGGTATTTAGTTTTTTCTAGTTGTTCATTATTGCACTGAACAAATAATGATTCAATGAATTCCCCTTTATGTCACTCTTTGCTCATAGTTTTGATTCTTCTGAAAGTAGTATTGCTAAACAAATAGTAAAATAATCAGCTCTAAGTAACAAAGCCAACTCAAAATGACTTATACCATATGGAAAATGTGTCACATCATATAACAAGGTATCCAATCATATCCTAAGCTGCGGAATTGCTTAATTCATTATTTTAAAAACATCATGATTGACTCAGGTTTTTCTGCTCTGTCAACCCCAGTGTGTGGGCTTTGTCTTTAGGCTGGCCGTCCTCTTGGTCAGAAGATAGCTGCCATGCCCTCAGACATTTCCTGTGGACCTGGGGACATCCCTTCCTAAGAATCTCTTAAGCAAATATTCCCAGATGCACAATGTAAATTTCTGCTCACGTTTCATTGGCAAGAATGAGGTCCCATGCCCATAGGTTAACCGATCACTGGTGAAGAAAATAGTTATCATGATTGACTGAGATTCTTCAATATTTATTCTCGAGGTGGAATAAACCTTGAGATGGGATAAAGGGGGATCTCCTTTGATGAATGCATAGCCACATTAAAGAGTAAATACCACGCAAATCAGTGTTTGCCAGAAGTGAAGAAGAGGGCCGGGGAGAGAGATGGATATTACATAGACAAGTGTGTCTTCTGCTAAGGAAGATACACATTTTCACCATTTTTGAAGGCATATCCATCAAGTAGTAAAATTAAAAAAAAAAAAAAAAGACCTGTCACATCTTCATAGACTTTGTGCATTTTTACCTTCCTCCTTATTTGTTTTGGACAATCCTGCCTTACTGGGCATCTTGCAGGTTGTATTCGGGAATATAGGAAGCCGTAGTCTTCCCTGACTCTTCCATGCAATTCTGTTGATATCTACCCTCTTTACTCACCCAACGCTTGCGAATACAGTCAGTTCTGATGTCATGTGACCTATACATTCCTAAATATCGCCACGATATGTAAAATTGCACACTAAAAATTACAGGGCTTATAGGAAGAATGAAGTTAGGATACAATATTTAAAAACTTTATCAGTGACCCAAACAATAGGAACCTAGGAAAAATCTTAGCTCAGTTTTAGACATGTTAAATAGCTAAGGAATACATAAATACTACAATAAATATGGTACTTTACTTTGAAAGAGATGCAGTCTGTGTGTAAGTGGGCATCAGATTCCAACTTGTGTGTTATTGAGAAATGGTGTATGGAAGATCGTCTGAAATGGGAGGGAAAGTTGGAACCCCAGATGTGGCTGACACACACTGTAATCTGAGTGGGGAAGCAGATGTTTGAGGTGTATGAGTGCATACATTTTGTGTATTCCTTCGTGGTTGGTTCATCTGAGTGCAGTTTTCTCCAGTCACCTGCTTTTCTCTCCTGTGAAATGAGGCATAATCAAACATTTGTGTTATGTTCAAATTATTCCCTAATATACATGCATATTTTAAAAAGGGTTACAATGAAGATGGATTTACTGACTTCACAATCGATGGGGTTCAGAACATGCTACCCCCAAATATGGCACCTTGGCATTTGGGTAGACAGCAGAAGTAGGAGGATATCTCACCTTCCCCCAGCCTTCTCCCCTGAAGAAAGTCCTAAGACCCTTATTCCAGAGGTGCCCTTCCTATTCCCAGAGGAGAGGAACGTCCTTATCTCTGAAGACACAGGGGGATGGAGAAGAATCGTTACAAAATAGATCTTGCTAAATTCCCTTCAGTTTATCACCATTAGACAATCCCCACTTTTTCCAATTATATTTTGGCACAACTGTCCACTCTTCATCAAATGTAAGCATTAAAAAAAATCAGATTTTCCTCTTTCTTTGGGCCTTCTTTTCTGAAGACTTCCTTGTTGTGTAAAACATGTATTAAATAGATGCGTATGCTTTTCTCTTGTTAATCTGTCTTTTGTTTTAGGTGCCTCAGCCATGAACCTAGCAACCGATGAGGAAAGAAATCTTTTCTTCCCTGCACCACCCATGCCCTTTTCTGTCCTTTTCCATGTGAATTCCACCTTCTGAAAGCTGTTCAAAGTTTCTTGCATATGGATGATACTCCCTCTGAGTTTTCAGGGCCCGGGCAGGCTTTTCCAATCCTTATACTGTGAAGCCATAAATCTCTGAAGATAGGGGTAGAACTAAGCAGCTGTGATTATGTTGCAATCTTTTCTAGGAACCAAAGCTAGTTCTGCCTGACTCTGTAGCTCCTCACTTCTTCCTATGCCAAGCCAAGTGAACTGTAGGTCATTGCAAAATGGCAGTTATTTTTTTAAAAAGAAAGATAAATATGTGGGTTAAGGTAAGAAAAATGAAATGGATTTTTTTTTTTGAGAAATACCAAAAGAAAGATTAGTAAAGCAAACGCCCTTCAGTAGAGGAAAATGTCAGCCTCTATTTTCTTATCAAAACCTATTATTTTACTTTTTTCCCATTTTTCCTGATGTATGCTAATAGCCCTCTTACCTTTCAGGTTCTTAGTTGACTTACAGAATAGAGGGAGGAAACAAAGACATTTCATGCAAGGTCTGAGAAAAGGTAGGGCAGGAAATGTTCATATGTGTTAGAACTGAGTGAGTTTAAGTAACATTTTTTCCTGGAATTAGCTGAAATAGAAGCAAGACATGAGGGAAAACACAGGCTTGTAGGAGACAAATTAACTGTGAGGTAGGGAGTTGGCATCAGGTATAACAGTGGGATAGAACAAGGGAGGGCTTGGGGCAGGTGGGTGCAGCAGTACAGTGTGGTGGCAAGGACAGTGCACCCCTCTCTGGCCATTGCCCATCATGGCAGGGAGGAAAATAGAGCCCGTGGCAATGTTGTTGACTCCTGTAGGGCATCCGACATTAGAAGCTCTTCTGTTGGGGAGAACCTAGACAGTATCATCAATGATTAACTTGCTTATGCTCGGCATCTGAAAGAAAAGGAAATCCAATAGCATTTAGTTATAGGACAGAGCATTTACATCTGTTTTCAGTATGTAGGACTTGCTGGATGACACCAGGGGCAAGACATAATCAGGTTTCTTCTATTTTGATGAATTTAATAAAACATCTTGTCTTTCACCATTGTGGCTAGTGGCTCATCCAAGCTCTATCATTGTTGCATTCCCTTCCTCCCGCTCTTTAGGCTTTAAAAACAAACGAACAAACAAAAAACTGTGGCGTACCCTATCACTACAGGAAGTCCAAGAAGAATCGCTGGTCTTTGGTCCCTCCAGGTTGCCTCTGTGATGGGAGTCGTCCAGGCCTGAGGTGCCCTGGAACCTTTGCTGGTAGTGTCCGTGCCCCACACACTAAGTTTGGCCGCCAGGACATTGGCTATGGCTCCAGTTCCTGAGGCTGCCATGTTATGTGTTCAGATTGTGACATCAGGGGACCATGTCTGGGTTCTTGCAACTCAGGTAATCCTCCTCCAGCTTTTCAGACTTCTACACTTGTGTTCAGAATCAAGCCATGCCCCTCTTCTCTTGCTGCTGAAGCACAAAAGTCTCCTCCTCCTTTCCTGTGAGGTGTAGTCGAGGGATCTGAAAAGTGAACTCTTAATTCCTACCTGGACAAGCAAGCCCAGAACTCACAATGAAAAGGACATTTGCTTTTTAATTCTCATTTTAAAGAGTTCCTAGCCACGCTCCTCCCTCTTTCCTCTAAAAAATTCTCAAATACCTCTTAATTCATTAATAACTCACCCCACTACATATTACTCAATTTGTGTTTAATTGTGGCCCTTAAAAGTAGATATTATTCTGATTTTAAAAGCAATGAAAAGACCTAAGTAACTTGGTCAGGGTCAGTTATAACATCGGAGTAAACCTAAATAAAATAAGGTTGCAAACTCAATTCTGACTCCATAACCTAATTTCTTAGTCCTACCTGCCAGCCTCTCGGTCGGTACTCAAGAAAGTTCCTGTTCTTTGGTTAAATTTAAATTTCCTACCACTTAACAGATATTTATTATCTTAAACAGTTTGTGAGAGTCAGGAATCTTAGAGTGACTTAGCTTATGGTTCTGGCCCAGGGTCTCTCTTAAAGTTGCAGTTGAGATGTCAGCTGGGGCTACAGTCATCTGAAGGTTGGACTGGGACTGGGGGATCCACTTCCAATATGGTGTACTCACACAGCTATTGTCAGAGGCCTCAGTATGTTATGACATGGCACATGGCTTTCACTAGAGTAAGTGAGCCAAGAGAAAAGGGAAAGAAATTATAATACATTTCATGAACTAGCCTTGGAAGTAGCAGAGTACTACATCTGGATGTGAATAACAGGAGGTAGGGATGGTTGGGGACCATCTTGGGAGCTGACTACCACTGACATTTACGTTGGTTAATGGAAGCTGGCATTTACTTTGGTTAATGTTAGTACTGTGTGGGTCTGCAGCACCATGGTGACAAATGATTCCTGGTTTATACTTTCCTTAATCAATTAATCAATCAATTTATATTTTTCATCAATTTTTTCAACTGAAGTAGAGATGTAATTTCATAAGCATAATGTATTGACTGATTGCATTCTCTCTTTTACTACGTGTTGATTCATTCACAAGTCTTTACTGATTACATGCCCAGAACTTTTTAATTTTTTGTAGTGACAGGGTTTCACCTAATATGTGCCAAGTATTATACTAGCTGCTGAGGATACAATTGGGAGAAAATTGAATGCTGTTCCTCACCCTCCTAGAGTCCGTTGCATAGGGAAGAAAGCTATTAGATGGCTGTATAAGTCCATACTGTGCTGATATAACCGAATACCACAGACTGACTAATTTATAATGAAGAGAAATTTATTAGGTCACAGTTTAGCGCCTTCTTGCTGTGTCATCTTATGGTAGAAGGGCAAAGGAAGAGAGAGAGAGACAGAGAGAAGAGTTAAACTGGCAGCCTCAAGGCTTTCTTTCTTTTTTTTTTTTTTTTTGACAGGGTTTTGCTCTGTTTCCCAGGCTGGAATGCAGTGGTGTAATCATGGCTCACTTCAGCCTCAGCATCCTGGGCTCAAGCAATCCTCCTGCCTTAACCTCTGGAGTAGCTGGGACTACAAGCATGTACCACCATGCCCAGCTGTATTTCTTAATTTTTTTGTGGTGACAGGGTCTCATTGTGTTGCCCAGGCTGGTCTCAAACTCCTAGACTCAAGCAAGAAGTCTCTCGCCTTGTCCTCCCAAAGTTCTGGGATTAGAGGCCTGAGACACCATGCCTTGCCTCAAGTGCTTTTATAATCAACATTAATCCATTCAAAAGGATAGACACCTCATGACCTAAACACCTCCCATTAGGCCCCACCTCCCAACACTGCTGCAAGGGTAATAAGTTTCCAATATATGGTTTTGGGGGAACACATTCAAACCATAGCAGTAATCATACAAATAACATGTCTCTCAACATGTGATGTGTGCTGTGAAAGAAGAATTTAGTTTGCTGTGAAAACATAAATCGTGGAGGACCTAATTTACCTTGAGAATCAGATAAGACCCTATATCACGTTTCTTTTTTTTTTTATACTTTAAGTTCTAGGATACATGTGCACAACGTGCAGGTTAGTTACATATGTATACACGTGCCATGTTGGTGTGCTGCACCCATTAACTCGTCATTTACATTAGATATATCTCCTAATGCTATCCCTCCCCCCTCCCCTCACCCCACGACAGGCCCCAGTGTGTGATGTTCCCCTTCCTGTGTCCGAGTGTTCTCATTGTTCAATTCCCACCTATGAGTGAGAACATGCAGTGTTTGGTTTTTTGTCCTTGCGATAGTTTGCTGAGAATGATGGTTTCCAGCTTCATCCATGTCTCTACAAAGGACATGAACTCATCATTTCTTATGGCTGCATAGTATTCCACGGTGTATTATGTGCCACATTTTCTTAATCCAGTCTATCATTGATGGACATTTGGGTTGGTTCCAAGTCTTTGCCATAGTGAATAGTGCTGCAGTAAACATATGTGTGCATGCGTCTTTATAGCAGCATGATTTATAATCCTTTGGGTATATACCCAGTAATGGGATGGCTGGGTCAAATGGTATTTCTAGTTCTAGATCCTTGAGGAGTCGCCACACTGTCTTCCACAATGGTTGAACTAGTTTACAGTCCCACCAACGTGTAAAAGTGTTCCTATTTCTCCACATCCTCTCCAGCACCTGTTGTTGCCTGACTTTTTAATAATCGCCATTCTAACTGGTGTGAGATGGTATCTCATTGTGGTTTTGATTTGCATTTCTCTGATGGCCAGTGATGATGAGCATTTTTTCATGTGCCTGTTGGCTGCATAAATGTCTTCTTTTGAGAAGTGTCTGTTCATATCCCTTGCTCACTTTTTGATGGGGTTGTTTGTTTTTTTCTTGTAAATTTGTTTAAGTGCTTTGTAGATTCTGGATATTAGCGCTTTGTCAGATGAGTAGGTTGCAAAAATTTTCTCCCATTCTGTAGGTTGCCTGTTCACTCTGATGATAGTTTCTTTTGCTGTGCAGAAGCTCTTTAGTTTAATTAGATCCCATTTGTCAATTTTGGTTTTTGTTGTCATTGCTTTTGGTGTTTCAGACATGAAGTCCTTGCCCATGCCTATGTCCTGAATGGTATTGCTATATCACGTTTCTTAACCTTAGCACTATTAATGTTTTGGACTGGGTAAGTCTTTATTTTGGGGACTGTCCTATGCACTGAAGAATGTTAGCATCCCTGGGCCAGGCGTGGTGACTCACGCCTGTAATCCCAGCACTTTGGGAGGCCAAGGTGGGGGATCACGAGGTCAGGAGTTCGAGACGAGCCTGGCCAACATGGTGAAACCCTGTCTCTGCTAAAAATACAAAAAATAGCTGGACTTAGTGGTGGGCGCCTGCAATCCCAGCCACTCAGGAGGCTGAGGCAGGAGAATAATTTGAACCCAGGAGGTAGGGGTTTCAGTGAGCCAAGATTGCGCCATTGCACTGCAGTCTGGGCGACAGGGCGAGACTTCATCTCAAAAAAAAAAAAAAAAAGAATATTAGCATCCCTGAACTCTAACTTTTAGAGGTCCTTTACCCACACATACACAAGTTGTGACAACCAAAATTGTCTGTAGGTATATTCAAATAAGTGTTCCTTGGAAGGCAAAATCTCCCCCAATTAAGAAGCTAAAATTTGCCCTATAGGAAGTTTCCAGATTAAAAAGTGTTGGAGTCGGGAGAGCATTTCAGGAGAAGGAAACAATCTGTTAGTGAGATTTTTGTGGATACGGATTTTCAAATAATAACACAAAACAAATGACGACGACAACAACAACAAAAAGACCATGGTTACCCACCTCTACTTCTGAAGTTAAAATTCAAATCACTGTTGCCTGTATGACTTGTTGCTGCCCCTTTAAACAAAAATTCACACCCTGTAGCCAGCCTGCTTGTGCTGAATAAGGTGTCTTCATATAATTGTCAAGAAAAAAAGCAGGTCTGGCCTAAAGCTGTCTTCCAAAACATATTTTAACTTATTGAATCTCTGGGCTGGTTAAAGTTGTTTGGCCTTCAGCCTCCTGGTTTATATCACTGACCCAAGCAGCGTATTACCACTCAGGAATACATGGCCTCATTTTTATTGGAATGATATTTATAGGTACCGCTTATCCTCTGTATGAATATGTTTAATATGAAGAGAGTATATAACCAGGCTTGGTATAAAGTCAGATCATTTCCACTAAGACTTGCCTTATTTCAATTTCGAACAGATAAAAATTAATTTGTGTGCTTAGAATCCTGAAATCTGGAGCAAAAAAAGGAACTTAGAGGATCTAGTGGGAAAATCATAGGTTTCAGAATGCAGACAATTATGGGTCACATTTGGTCTCAGCTATATGATCTTGTGATCTTGGACACATAAAACAGCTTCAATTTTCTCATATGTAATGAAGATAATAATTCTTTTTTTTTGTTTGTTTGTTTGAGACGGAGTCTCACTCTGTCGCCCAGGCTGGAATGCAGTGGCACAATCTCGGCTCACTGCAACTTCCGCCTCCTGGGTTCAAGCAATTCTTTGCCTCAGCCTCCCAAATAGCTGGGATTACAGGCGTCCACCACCACGCCCAGATAATTTTTGTATTTTTAGTAGAGACAGGGTTTCACCATCTTGGCCAGGCTGGTCTTGAACTCACGACCTCGTGATCCACCTGCCTCAGCCTCCCAAGAAGATAATAATTCTTACTTTGCAGGATCGTTATGAAGGTATGAAAGATAGAAGCAATGTCAAGCATACCATAGATGTCCAAAAATGAAAGGTCCCTCTTCCCTTTGGTTTGTCCAGTTCCACTCCTCTCAGGTATCCCCAGTGGCTGTTCCCCTAAAAATTTGAGAGCCAGCCTGTCCTAAGACCATCCCTCATCCTGTACCTCCAGAGGATCTTCAAATTCTCTCAGTTTTACCTCCATTTTTAGTTAGGTCCCCGTATTTTCTTTTTTAAACTCCTGGGACAGTTTTTCAATTATACCACTAAAGCCAAAGACAAAATCTAACCCTGTCACTCTCTGTATAATACCTTTTATTAGTCCCACGGGTTTCTAAAATTCAGGCTCTAAAATGGGATTTTGGCTCACCTCTCCAGCCCCATTTCTCTTAGACCTTACCTTTTACATCCTGTGCTCTCACAGTGCCAAACTTCTGATGATGTCCTGCATGCTTTTCATATAATCATGCCTTTTCAACATCGTGTGTGTGAGTAAAATAACAGTGTTTTTGTTTATTCAAAGCTTTATATATGTGTATGCATGGCATAGAGTCACATGTTTTAGTTTGTTTATTTTAGGACAAAGGTATCTATTTATTTTATTTATATTGTGATAAGAAAACTTAGCATGAGATCTCTACTCTTAGCAAACTTTTAACCTTCTGATATGGTCTTGCTATGTCCCATCTAAATCTCACCTTGAATTGTAATAATCCCCACATGTCCATGGAGGGGGGCAGGTGGGGATAATTGAATCGTGGGGGTGGTTTCTCCCATACTGTTCTCATGGTAGTGAATTAGTAGAGCTGATGGTTTTATAAATGGGAGTTCCCCCTGCACAAGCTCTCTTGCCTGCTGCCATGTAAGACTTGACTTTGCTCCTCCTTGCCTTCCACCATGATTGTGAGGCCTCCTCAGCCATGTGGAACTGTGAGTCCATTAAACCTCTTTTTCTTTATAAATAACCAAGTCTCAGGTATGTCTTTATTAGCATGAGAACAGACTAATACACTGTGAAACACAGTACTATGAAATGTAAGTACAGCCTTGTATATCAGATCTCCAGAATGTATTTACCTCATATAACTGAAACTTTATAGCTGTTGAACAGCAAATCATGTCCTCCCTCTACCCAGCACCTAGCAACCACCATTCTATCCCTGTGCCTATGATTTGGCTAGTTTAGATACTTCATATAAGTGGAATCATGCAGTATTTGTCCTTCTATGACTTGCTTATTTCACTTAGCATAATGCCCTCCAGGTTCATCTATGTTGTCACATACGGCAAGACTTCCTTTTTTATTTTGAGGCTGAGTAATATGGATTAAAGATTTAATGTACTAATATTAATTAAATATCTCTCACATCTACTGCTGTAAGACACCTAGAAGAAATAGGGGGAAAGCTCCATGACATTGGTCTGGGCGATGATTTTTGGATATAACATTAAAAGCATAAACAACAAAAGTAAAAATAGGCCATTGGAATCACATCAAACTACAAGGTTTTGCACAGCAAAGGCAACAAGCAGCATAATGAAGAGACAGCCTACAGAATGGAAGAAAATATTTGCATACCATATACCTGATAAATGTAACATCCAAATTATATAAGGAACTCATATAAGTCAATACCAAGAAAACAAATAACCTGATTGGAAAGGGGGCAAAGAACTTGAATCAACATTTCTCCAAAGACATTCAAATGGACAACAAGTACATGAAAAGATTCTAAACATCACTAATCATCATGGAAGTGCAAATCAAAACCACAGTGAGATATCACACACTGGCTAGGATAGCTATTATTTTAAAAACAAAAAGATAAGTGTTGGTAAGGATGTGGAAAACTTGCACACTGTTGGTGGAGATGTAAAATGGAGCTATGAAAAAATAGTATGGAGTTCTCTCAAAAGATTAAAAATAGAATTACCATGTGACCCAGCAATCTCACTTCTGGATATATACCCAAAAGAATTGAAGTTAGAATCTCAAAGAGATATCTGCATTCCCATATTCATTGCAACATGATTTACAATAGCCAAGACATCGAAGCCACCTAAATGCCCACTGGTGAATGAATCGATAAAGAAAATGGGGTCTATTCTTCAAGCCATTTTGGATGTTGTTTCCTTAGATGGAAACACCCTCGCACCCTTGTCCACCCATCAGAATCCTACCGATTCATCCTCAAGGATCAGCCACCTTCTGACCTCACATTTGCCTCCTTCCCCACTGCCGTCACTTCTTTGCTTTGACACAACCTTGTACACATTTCTACACTGGTATGTGTGACACAGTGGTTATTTAAGAATTTGTTAATGGGTCTGTGTTCTTCACAGAAGAGTGAATTACTATAAAGCAAGAGCCACATTGTATTAATCTTTGTGTTCCCAGCTAGTATCACTGACCCTGTACTAGTGCATGGTCCATATGCATTTGATGGATGAGTCCACATTTAACGTGAAGCCCCACAGTGACAGGAACTCACAACATTGCAAGGTATTCACCTGATTTGGACCATGTGCCCTGTGTCAAACTTATATTGATAAATCTTCCATCCATATTGTCGTCTCTACGTCCCTACCCCATCTACCCACATATCCTACTTAGAAAGAATACATATAATCCGTCGTAAAATCAGCTGCTGTTTGATTACTAGAATGCAACCAACATCACCTAGCAATAACTTTTTCTCTTCTGGAGAATCCTTTCAATTATTCTTTGTGGGGCATAAAGTCTGCGTCACTCACCACTTTATCTCCCTGATGGAGATGAGGTGTGGGTCTGTAGCTAAACTCAAGATGTCACATCTAGAACTAAATTCAAGATGCTAAATGGGCTCTGACAGCAGGGTAAGCCTTGGCCCTACACATGATATAGTGGTATTTTCCCCCATTCTTAGGGGACAAAATATAATATGCTTGCATTATTCCTGTATTTTCCTATTATAGCTGTAATGGTAACCAACTCTAATGGGTTCTTACCACTTATCAAACACTGCAGAATCAGTGGCCTGAGACTAGTCTTCTCTCTCTACTCTCTGAATTCAACTAGTTGGCCATTCTCCTGTCCTCCCATTTATACTAGAAGCCCTCTTGGTGAGACTGCTTCAAGGTTATCAGCCAGGTTGGTCCATTCAAATAGTTGTTTTTTTTTTTTGTCTATCCCTGCTTAGCAGTGTCCTTCTGCCAGCATGGCAAGAATAAAAACCCATGAGCCCATGGTACTCACAGTCACATAAGCCATGGATCACAGCATCCAGTCCAGGCACCAGGGAAGCCAGAATGTCTACCCTCAAAAATGTCTGCTGAATTCACCATTCACGGGTCACTGAGATCTGAGGACCTGTATTCCATAACTCCACCAGTGTAACTATAATTTCAGAAGTCCTGTGCTCTGCCCGAAGTCTCAGTGTTTTAAACCACTCAAATTTATTTAATGAAACTTATAATTGCTCACATGTATTGAGTGCACTTTAGATACCAGGAAGTCTTCAGGCAGATTCATTTTTAAATTGAGGAAACTGAGGTTTAGAGAGATTAACTAACTTGGCCCAGAATATTACACTTATTATTTAGCAGGAGAGGTAGGATGTAAACCCAGATGTAATTGCAGAGCTCAGACACCTAAATTCCATACTGCACTGCCTTCTGAATACTTTATTCTCATGCTATAGTGATAGTTGGAGATCCTATCAGTAGTAGGCAGCTGGAAGCCAAGACCAAGGAAAACCTTCAGGAGCAATAGTGACCACCTATGGGTGGCACCATTTATGCAGGGCATGGATAGGGACAAAGACAAATGGAAAAGTGGTTACCGTCCTATAGGGTTCTCCATGCCATGACAGCATGCTCTGGTTCCTCTTACACCCCCCACCATACCCCGATTCTCCCTGTTCCCCACCTTACTCTCTGTGTCAATTGCTATTATGTGCAGCCATTATTTATTCTGCTTTGTCCCCCTTCTCCCCCTGTTTTCCTGCACGGACCTAGCACCCATCTCCATGACACTCTCCACCTGGCCCAGGCAGTCTGTGTTTATGAAATTCATCCCTTATGTCTCAGTTCCAGGACGGCTCTGTCTTGTCCATGAACACCTATGAGAGATATTGCCAAGTGATGTACAGGGATCTGGAAGCAGTCTGCCAATGGTGTACCCAGGCAGAAGGCAGTGTGGATTTCTCCTGGGATCAGAAACATGTGGATGCTTTAGAACTGGCTCTAGTCCAGGGAAAGAGAAGAGCCATTTCCCTCAGTAGGAAAATATCCCCGAACTCCATCCTCTCAGCAAAGGCTAGCTCAGGCCCAGAGTCCATCAAAACTTCAATTTTATCAAAGTCTCCTCTATAGATGCCATTGTATGTGCTATTAAACAGAACAATGCAGCTCACCAGTAAAATCATTTGCAATAACAGCCCATTAAAAGCTTTCCTTAATATGGAACTTTCTAATTAATGTAAATGGGGTGCAAAGCTTGGAAAGCCAAGTTGATTCTAATGTTCAGAAAGTAGGTAAAATAGGAAAGGGTCTTATTTTTCATTAGCAATGTATTATGGAATCTAATGAAATCTTTATGGCTTGGATATATTACCCAAAAAAGTCACAATTGCTTTGTTTCCTGCCTCATTTCTCTGCCACCTTTCTCTATAAATATCGCTATGTTACACATTAGATTTGAGAAAATAGAATTTTCTTTTATACAAAAAAAGGCATGGAGTTTGTGTCTGAATCGTATCAGGTTTTCTGTGTTGAAGGTAGAAGGGAACACAGTAAAGATGAACATTATTTCCCAGATGTCTAAGTTGGAAACAGACCCAAAGAGAGGTGAAGACTAATCGGGTCATTTACATATTTCTCCCTCCTTCTCTTTTCTTCTCCCTTCCCTTCTTCCCCCATTTTCCCTCCCTCCTTTTCTTCCACTCCTCCTTCCCTTCCTTTCACTCACCCTAAAACATATATTGAGCACTGTATCTGTCAGGTTAGGCTAGATTACACCTCAATAACAAATTCCCAAATCTCAAAAGTTAAACATCAAACATCAAAAGCTTATCTTTCACCCACACTATATGTTAAAACATCAAATGTTTACTTCTCACCTGTATGACACGTCCATCATGGGTCAACAGGGAGCAGTCACACAGGGACCCGGGCTGACGGAGCTGCCACCAAGCTGAACGTTGCTAGTCATCATGTCAGAGGGAAAATAGAAAGCGGCAAATTGGGCTTTGGCTCTTAAAGCACTTACCTGGATAAAAACAGGTCACTTCTGCTCACGTTTTGTTGTCCAATACAAGTCATCTGGCCATACCTAACTTCAAAGGGCTCAAAAGTATCACCCTACAATGAATCTAAAAGGCCCCCAATAAGGTTTGAATCTGTGTCCCCACCCAAATCTCCTGTTGAAATGTAATCCCCAATGCTGGAGGTAGGGAGGTAGGGCCTGGTGGAAGGTGATTGGATCATGGGGGCAGTTTCTCATCGTTTAACACCACATCCCCTTGGTGCTGTTGTCCCGATAGTGAGTTCTCGTGAGATCTGGTTGTTTAAAAGTGTGTAGCACCTCCCTCCCTTACTCCCACTCCCACCATGTGAAATGTGCCTGCTCCTCCTTTGCCATCCACCATGATTGTAAGTTTCCTGAGGCCTCCCCAGAAGCCGAGCAGATGGCAACATCATGCTTCCTGTACAGCCTGCAGAACTGTGAACAAGTAAACCTCTTTCTTTATCAATTACCCAGTTTTAGGTATTTCTTTATAGCAATGCAAAAACGGACTAACACACTAACATACCTCCATGAGCCAATTAAGGTAATAATCTATGATATCAAAATGAATTAGAAACACACCCTACTGTCGGGGAGCTCAGAGTCCAATGGGAGAACAAAAACACGCTCAAGACAGCATGATAAGTGCAATGCAAAGCTACGCTAAGAGCCGTAGGACCAAGCAGGCTCATTTTCTTTCCCCTTTGGCAGCCCTTTCCTGGGGCTTCTCTGTTTCTTGCTGTGTGACCATCTTCCCCATTCCGATTGGGGCCCAATGTCTGGGAGGGAGACACATTCTCTGTTCCAGTTCTCAGACCCAAAGGCTTATGAGAAGGGGAACTATCTGAAACCAACCAGGCCAGGCAGGCCTGGGGCTAAGGGAAGTGAGGAGTGCATGGAGGGAAGGCCCAGGTTGTTCCACATCTGAGGCAGGACAGTGAGTGTGGGCTAAACCTGATCTCTGCATAGCCTACCAGTCAGTGCCTAATGCATCTCGGTGCCAGAAAGCTGGCCATTTTAGGAGACAGTGCTCCAGCACATGGAGAAGGTGGCAGCGTGATTTAGATCAGGGATCCAGTCTCCACAGGGAGCTAGAGAGAGTGGGATAAGGAAACTGAGGCAGGATGCAGCAGAGGGCAACACTGAAGTTCAAGGTTTTTAAAAATCAGCCTGCAGTAGCATTCTGACCCCAAAGCTATCTACTGAAATAGGGCTTAGGTTCTTAGTGGACTACCAGCCTCACACGTTTACTCTATAGGCCTTGGGCAGGATTGACTATCGAACTCATGGGAGCCAGAGATTAAAGCTTTGGGAGTGAAGGAGTCCTTGATTTTTGTGGGCTTGCTATGGATGGCCAGACTTCATATCCTTCACGTCCCTCTGCAACAGGCCTTTTGAAAGCCCATGAGAAAATGCTCTGACTGCCTTTGTAATCACTTTCCAATCAGCTTCACAGAATTGTAAAATTGATTATCCTGCTGATCTCACACAAGCTTTGGAGGAAAGCATGGGGGCACTTTAATTCTTTGTTGAGTTCTGCACACTGATTCAAGGAGACTTTAGCTTTTCCATTCATGCCCAAGAAGAAGGAAGTTCAAATTACCTTGAAATTACAATTTAGGGGCATCAAGCCTCGGCCAGTCTGTTTCATTTTCCCAATCACCCGGCCAGGGCCAAGGCCGAGAAAGGAGGTACCTGGCATATAACTCCTTTGTAGGAATGTGGAGAAGGGGTGGAGCTGGAGACCGAGCTCCTGCTGCCCTCCACAGGCTCAGGTGCCTCTAGGAAAAGTAAGAGTGAGAGGCTCTGGGAAGCATGCACTGGATGCCTCAAATTTGAGTCTGGTTGTTCTAGGGTCTCCCCATGAGATGATGATTAGGGTGTCATAGTTATACCAAGGCACTCCCACTCATTTTTCTTTGTTTTCCTCTTCTGTTATGATTAAACAGTTGGGATTTCTCTATTGCTGCAGGGAAATGAATAGAACTTTGTCATGCATTTCACCAGCCTAGAGATTCAGGGAAATCTTCCTGCAATAAAGGGGCTTGACCCGGGACTTGAGTAATGACCAGGTGTTGGCCAGTTGTAGAAAATTGGAAGTTCATCACAGACAGAGGTGACAGCATATGCCAAGGCACAGAGGCACTTTGTGGAGCAAGACTGAGGGAGGGAGTGGTAGGCATAAGACTGGGGAGGCTGGGCACGCCAGAGTTGAGCACCTGAAGGCAGAAGCAAAGGCTTACATGTTCAAAACGAAATGCAGCATTCCAAGTGCAAAAATGGAGCTGTGGGGGCACGGTAGAAGCACCAAGTGGGGAATGGTTGCCTTGGAGACTTGCTGGAGCAAGTTGAGTCAGTGTCACACCTGTCAAATTACACATGGAATTCACAAGGAATTTCTTTTTTCTCTAAATGAGGCTGATAAGTATTGAATGCTTACTACATGTCAGAACTATTTTAACAGCTTTGCATGAATTATTTAATCATTTCAAAATCCTGTGAAGGGGATACCATTAGTATCTGCGCTCTACAGATGAGGAAACTGAGCCTCAGGAAGTTAAATAATTTGCAGGTCATAAAACTGGTAACTGGAGGAATCAATATTCAAATATAGGCAGTCTGAACCTAGAGCCCGTATCTTAACCGTGGCACAATGCTGCCTCCAGTGATCTTAAGAAAATAGAGCTTGTTCATTCCTTTGTTCATTCGACAGATACTCACTGAGATATGCCTCAGGTTTTGTGCCAAGTTTTGGGATTACAGGGTTGTGCAAGATGGCAACTTAGATTCCCACATTGGAGAACTCGGTCTAGTGGGGAGACAGAAAATGAGTGAACAATTAACCAAAAAAGATACTATCAGGTTGCAAAGGAAGAGTAAAATAGGGCATCAGGAGAGAAAACACAGGAACTGGAAAGCATCTTTGGTGCCACACAGCCCAAATCCTGACTTTTCGAGATGAAAGAATTGAAGCCAAGAAGAGAGGTGTGATCTCAGAATCATACAGTCAGTAGGTATCTGAGAACAGAAAAAGAATCAAAGACTCCTAATATATTTAAGAGATGTTTATCTGGTGCCTCCCGCTGTCCTAGGCACCAGGAATGCAATGCTGAGCAAGACCATCACGGTCCCTCTCCTTGGGGATCTTACATTCTTTCCCCTACTCTGTGGGGGTTGCTGTGCTGTTTTCAATACACACTTCATTTCATCAAATGTCGGTTTGGCTCCAGAATCTGAATTCTCAACCAGTGAGATGTACCACATCTGTTAAGCCTTCTATTCTGCCCCAACCTCTGCCTCTGAAATAATCAGTCCTCCTCTGGGTAGGACCCCTAGTACTATTTCTGCACTATTAGTTATAATGATGCTATTTTTACTACTGCTACTCTATTGGTGCTCCTGCTGTATTCAGAATACTATCATCCAGGTTCTTCCTATAGTGTTATTTTTGTGAATCACAGCACTAATGCTACCACTTCACTCTGGCTTCATCTTTCTCTTCCTTCACTTTTCTTTTCTGTCCTCCAAAGCCATGTCTTCCACAGGCAATTTACAGAGGTGGCGAACTGAGGCTCAGCGCTAGGAAATGTCTCCTCCACAGTCACAAGGCTCACAACCGGAAGCACAGGATTTTAGGTTGAGGTCGTTTGTTAGGTTGAGGTTTTAGGTTGAGGTCAGTGGTACTTTGAAATTGAGACAAAGAGCTTGCAGCTGAAAGTCTATTGGTGTTTAGAACCTCGTTACACCATGTAGGATCCACCAATTAACAACAGCATCAGAATCTCCTGGGAATGTGTTTGAAATGCAGAATCTCAGGCCCCAGCCCAATCTACTGAATCAGAGTTCAGTTTGGTCGTAAGTTAAAGCTTGCAAAACACTGGTTTATGCATGCATACATTTGTGTTGGGGGAGTGCAATCAGGGGCAATGACCGGTGTTTGCCCAGAGGGACCACCACGTTTTGGGCATCTTTACCTTCTAGGAATAAACCACTTGTTGGAGGAGCATTAGACTTGAGGATTTCTGGAGTTAGCATGTACCCTGAGCTCAGGGGTCCACTTGGGCTCACAGGCAGATCTCCCTTGCTTTTCTCTCTTCTGTGGGCAACTCCACCCAGTGCCTGACTTCTATTGCCCCTGAATGTTTCTGCAAAGGTTCTTCAAGCACAGGTGAAATGCATCGCTTTGCTGAGAAGGAAACAGAGTGGTGAAAATGGCATTTATCCAAGTTATCAAAGGACGGAGGTAATTGCAATATGAACCAAAAGACACGCATCTGACAGCCTTGCTCCCTCTCTTTCTATGTAGCTTCTCTTTACACGATCCAAACTATCACCCGTGTGTGCTTTCTTTAAAAGGGGAAATATGATAACGTCAGTCTCTGGTTTAATTCCACAGCTGGCATCCCACAGTTTTGTGAAGCTTGACTTCCTTATCGCGCCTTTCAAGACCCTTTGCAATCTGACCCCAATTCACTACTCTTGCTCATCTCCCCCACTATAGACTCGATCACCCAGAATTTGTCACCATTTTTTCGTACTCCCCAGGCTTTTGTGGCTGGGGATCTTTCCTTGAGCTGCTCCTTCTGTCTGGAATTCTTTGCCTCAATCTGCTTAGGAGCTTCTTACTCCCATTTCATGTCATGAACACTGCTGATATCCGCCCAACACCCAAGTCTGAGCTTTTCACCATTGTACCTCCTGAATCTTCCCTTTCAGAAGGGGCCATGGAAAGGGTGAGGTTCTTGGGGTGAGGGTTAGGGTCTGGCTGTGAACTTCTCCCCAGAGAGCCTGTTATGCTGTGGTCAGGAGCCCTGTGGCATTTCTTTTCCAGAAAGGCAACTGGACTGTCTGGTCACAGGAATGGAACAGAAGACATGTCTCCGCAATGGAGCCATTGATCACTGTCATAGAGTGCAACCAGCTGTGGCCTGGAGAGGGAACATGCTTTGGAGAAGTTCTCTCAGGGAGAGTATTCCTTAATATGAGACTCTTGAGAGTGTGGTGAGGGTCAGCCAGTGTGAGAAGATTCTTTCCCGATGACATTTCTGAGACAGTTTTGTACTGAATCAACTGTAGAATGTCTCTCCTTTCTGCTGTGGGAACATAGGATTGCTATTTCTCCCCTGCAGGGTGGAGCGTTTCCATCTTTCATCCGGCAAGCTCGTATCTTTTTAGTCCCGTTCATCACAGTTTTCTCACGTAATTGGGGATGCAATTTTCCCCATCCACTGTGATCATTTGCTGTTGGCAAAATTCAGCCTTTGGATTCTGGAACTATTTTAATTTGTAGAGCTTCCACATTTTTTTCCCAAAGAATTTTGCTATCTTTATATCCTCCCATGCTGCTTTATTGGTTATGGTGGTTGTTTGTTTGTTTAATTCTGATTGCTTGTATTCTGATAGCAATGTTGAACACTAATGTTCTGAGCAGGCACCCCCTTCTTTGTTTTTTGCTTTAATGGGACTGTCCTGACTTTCACTACTAAAAATGAAATTGACTGTCAATCATTCTATAAGCCTTCACCCTGCTTTTCTTCATAGCATCTATCATTCACTTCCTTTTATGTTTAAATAAAGAAAATCTGCCTATCTATCCATCCATCTATCTATATCTCATTTATTTATCGGTTTACTTGGTTACCACCTCTCTTAGTTCCTTTGTTCTGTTATAACAGAATACCATGGACTGGGTAATTAATAAAGAACAGAAATATATTTCTCAAACTTCTAGGAGGCTGGGAAGCCCGGATCCAGGGGGGCAGGTTTGGTGTCTGGTGAGGGCCTAGTCCCTTCTTCCAAGAGGACACTTTGAATGCCATGTCCTCATATGGCAGAAGGCTGAAGGGCAAAAAAGGGCCTAAGCTAGTTCCCTGTAGCCTTTTACGATGGCAAAACCATCCTGGTTTAATCACTTCCCCAGAGGCCTCACCTCCTAGAGCCACCACAATGGGAATTAAGTTTGAACATGAATTCAGTAGGGTTCAAATTTAC